>NC_000001.11:63796259-64099289 GCF_000001405.40 Homo sapiens | reverse complement strand
AATCTGTGGGGCTTTGGCAAGATTCTTCACCACTCTGAGGCTCAATTGCCTGATCCCTGATGTGGAGGTAGTATTAACAGTCTTGCCTGCCTCGGGGAGTTGTTTGTGATGACATGCACTGTGAGCAGGATATGGCTCCATGGTGGGAGTATACGCTAATGTGTAAGATTACAGGTTCACTCCTCAGCAGCCCCACTTTATAATCCCAGAAGAAGGCCTGCGAGAACACAATCTCTGCTTCACTTCCTGGTGTATCTCCAGCACTGGGGCCCGCCAGTAAACATTTCCTGATGACATGAATAACATGTGTGAAAGTGCTTTATGAACTGTAAAACAGGGCAAAATTCCATTATATTATTGATAACATTAAATTTCCTTCAGCAACTTATTTCACCCATAGCCCCGATATTTATTTTTCATCATTGTTGGGGCAACTATTTATTTAGTACTGAGAAAATTATTTCAGGCTGATGAAGTCCTGAAGTCTAAAAGGATCTATTTCAGTTCTTTATCAATATCACAGAGCTGATTCTGCCCCACAGTCAGCTGGGATGAAAGAAGAGGCCTGTAGTACCTTGGGGAACAGTAATCCCCTCTGGCTGGACTATGCAGGACTGATCCTGAAGAATCCCAAAGCCCTGGAACCACTATAAACAGGGAGGTGTGACTGACAACTGTGACAACATGGGACAAATTACACAGACTCATACCAAAGCCAGGTCTGCACCTAGCAAAGTGCTTTAAGTTCTGGGCTGCACTGGAGCCCTAGTTTGTGCTTAAGCTTAGTTTGCCTGAGAATTCTGGCATGTGGAGGGGCAGCAGAGGTGAGCCAGTGAGAGTCTTAAGAGAGACCGCGGAACCTCCAAGACCAGACCTCACACTAGGGGCCAAGTCAGAAACATGCTTTTCTATTTGCTGCAAGCACAAATGAAGACCTTGTGGTACCTGAACTGCACAGCCCGGGCCCCTTCTTCCCCATTTCAGAGGGGGTTTGGGACTGAGTTGGCAGGGAGCCTACCTCTGGGTGGGGACTCAGTGCATCTAAAAGCACAAATACTTGTGATAAGGGTCTTTCACCCTCACTTCTCACTCACAGCACAAGCCTCCAGATCCAGTAAATCAGGGGCTTTCACTTTATTTCATCACTGCCCTGGAGTCTCCTCAAATTACCTGGAACGAATTTGAAAGGGCTGAAGTTCCTGTCGAGTGGCAGAAATATTGATTTGTGACAAGCACATGATCCAGGCTGAGGGTTAAATATAGGGGAGTGTGAGGCAGATGCTAAGTCTTACAGATGAGTAGCAATTGTGTGTAAATTGACGGAGAACGCAGCCTTTTGCATAAATTTGTCCATGGACTAGCACTTACTATTCAGCAACTGCCAATCCTTCATCTCTCAAATCCTTCAATCTCTGAAACAAAACCCACCTAAATTCTCAAATTGTCCACCACAGCTCACCCTCCAGAGGTTCTGGAGCTTGAGGAACATGACAGCTGGGTTTAGGAAAACCACTTTTCACTGAATGAGAACACTGGGTTTGGAAATCTGGCTTCCAGTCCTGGCTCTGCCATAACCAGCTCCAGAAATGTAGGCAATTTGCTTCACCTTATTCTTTTTTTTTCCCTTGGTAAAATGGAAATAATTATACCTAGGACAAAATAACTTTGTTCTAGGTAAAGAAAGCATTGTCTCAAGGCCTTATATATATATATACTATATGAAATATGTATATATGTATGTATTTCAAAAATGCATAAATACAATCTTGTCTGTGATAAACAGAATAAAGGCCCCTAAAAATGTGAATGTCCTAATCCCCAGAGCATTTGAATATGTTACATGGCAAGTGGGAATTAAGGCTGCAGATGGCATTAAGATCAGTAATCAGCTGACCTCAAAATAAGGAGATTCTCCTGAATTTTTTGGGTGGGTCCAGTGGAATATAAACATCCTTTAAATATGGAGGAAAGAGGCAGAAAGTCAGAATGTTACAATGATGCAGTGTTCAGAAGGATTCCACTGTCTGTTGCTGACTGAATTTGGAAGAGGGCTGCTAGCCAAGAAATGCAAGTCACCTCTAAAGCCTGGAAATGACAAAAAAAAAATGGATTCTCCCCTTGAGCCTCCAAAAGGAACCTTAATTTTAGGCCAGTGAGGCCCATTTTGGACTTCTGACTTTCAAAACTGTAAGACAGTCAACAAGTTTGTGCTACTTTTTTAGAGTAGCCATTAAAAAATTAATTTAGCAAATGAGGAAACTAACATACCACCCATAAGACTGTACCATTGTCATCATTGTTTACATTGTCAGAATCCTTGACATCATCATCATTATCATCATCAAGACTTTATTTCATGGCTATTATTAAAAAAAAAAAAACAGATGCTGGTGAGGTTGTGGAGAAAAAAAGGAATGCGTATACACTGTTGGTGGGAGTGTAAATTAGTTCAACCACTGTGGAAGACAGTATGGTGATTCCTCAAAGACCTAAAGACAGAAATACCATTAGACTCAGCAATTCCATTACTAGGTATATACCCAAAGGAATATAAATCATTCTATTATAAAGACATGTGCATGAGTATGTTCATTACAGCACTATTCACAATAGCAAAGTCATGGAATCAACCCAAATACCCATCAATGATAGACTGGACAAAGAAAATGTGGCATGTATAATATACTCCATGGAATACAATGCAGCCATAAAAAAGAATGAGATCATATTCTTTGCAGGGCCATGGACGGAGCTGGAGGCCATTATCCTTAGCAAACCAATGCAGGAACAGAAAAGCAGATACCACATGTTCTCACTTGTAAGTAGGAGCTAAATGATGAGAACACATGGACACATGGAGGAGAACAACACACAGTGGGGCCTATTGGAGGGTGGAGAGTGGGAGGAGGGAGAGGATCAGGAAAAATAACTAATGTATACTAGGCTTAATATCTGGCTGACGAAATAATCTGTACAACAAACCCCATGACACACATTTACCTATGTAAAAACCCTGCACATCCTGCACAAGTACCCCTGAAATTTAAAGTAAAAAATTAAAAAAAAAAGACTTTATTTCAAATACATCCTGGGAATGAGATTTCAAGCAATGTATAATTTTGCCAAAATTTTCAGAAACCAAATCAGATGGTATCTCATGGAGTGAGTGACAAAGGGATTTTATCTTTAAGAATGATATCATATTGTTTCTATGCAAACACTGATGGTATTGTTCACATTATTTATTTATTTTACAAACCCTTTGTTCCTAGTACAAAAGTATACTTCAGAGCAAATTATTTTAGAATAGTATTAAGAGGTTTATTTAGAATATCTTTGTTAACATAGCTAAAAGATCTAAGGACTAATCTTGGCTCTACCAATTATAAACTTCATAATTTATAGCCTATCACTTTACTTCTTTGGCCACGGTCTCTCTTTCTGTAAAACATTTCATGTTTGAACTAGATACTCTTCCTTAGATCACTTCCAGTTTTAAGAATGTTGAGTTTAATTTCTTGTTTTATATAATGGGAGACCATGACCTAGAGGAAGTAAGTTTTATGTCTAATTTCTAATAATTCAGATATTTTTGGGGTAAGCTTTTACAATTGAAGTATAATATACATACATAATTCTGCACAAATGATAACTATAGAATTCAATTAATTTTTGCAAAGTGAACACAGCTCTGTAACTACCACCTAAATAAAGATATCAAATGTTATGGCACCCAGGAACCTCCCCTATGACTTTCCTGGTCATTCCCTTCAAGAGGTAACTATTATTTTGATTTCTATCACAAATGGGAATTAACATGGCATTCACCCATGTTGCTGCCTGTAACTATAATTCATTACTTTTTGTTGCTGTATATTATTTTGCTGTATGAATACATAGTACCATAATTATCTATCTTATTGCTAGTAGAAATTTGGGCTATTACCATTTGGAGACCATAATAACTTAGATTTCTCTTCTCAAGTTAATGTTTGTAAAATATAAAGCATTTTGTTCTATTTAATTGAACTTAGTATCCCTGGCTTATTTATTTTGAACGTTCCTATTTTACATTTTCTGTCCAGCAGGGAGAAGTCTAAGAGACAAAATCAATAAGGCTAGAGAAGATTGGCTTTCTCTGGATACTGTACCTTATCCATGTGAACAGGAGATTTTATAGTGACTTGTTTCAGTATAAACAAAGAGGACTGGAATAACTGATTGCTGAGGACTCCAATCATGGCAGCACTGTATGATATGAATGTAAAATAAGCATGACTGACTGCAACAAGAAGGCAGCCTGAATCTACCTGAAGAATCCTCAGGCCATCCGATTTGATGATATAGTCAGTAGGATTGTTTGGTTTGCTAGTAACATAAATTCAAAGCTTCAGGAAGGAGACTGGGCACAGCGGCTCATGCCTGTAATCCCAGCACTTTGGGAGGCCAAGGCGAGTGGATCATTTGAGGCCAGCAGTTCTAGACCAGCCTGGCCAATATGGTGAAACGCCGTCTCTACTAAAAATACAAAAATCAGCTGGGCATGGTGGCACATGCTTATAATCCCATCTACTCAGGAGGCTGAGGCATAAGAATCGCTTGAACCCAAGAGGTGGAGGTTGCAGTGAGCCAAGATTGTGCCACTATACTCCAGCCTGGGTGACAGAGCAAGACTCTGTCTCAAACAAAACAAAACAAAACAAAACAAAACAAAACAAAAACAACAAAACACACACACACAAACACCAAAGCTTCAGGAAAAAAAAGGCAGACTAAATTATATGGTAAGTAGGCTGTTTCATTGAACTGAAATGCAAAAGTAAACCGGAGATGTAAGTTGTCACAAGATCTCTCTTCTTGGTTCTCTTTCCACTGCTCAATCCATACAGTGAGTAAAATTTTACGTCTTAACTCTCTCCTGCTCCTCATTCCTAGCTTGGCCCACTCAAGACCAGACTTGAATTAAACATCAAAATCATGGTTTCTAGAGCCCCAGTTTCTGGATGAGATAGGGTAGAGGAATGACAGAGAATGATTCCCAGAGAAAGGGGTGTTGTTTGTTAAAGGCAAAACATGCTTGCAATAGACATAGAAAACTTTGGAGAGGGACAGTCTATGGTAGTTATTTAAGAAGAGTTACTTAGTATTTCATGAATTATGAGTCAGACTTTTTGAGTCAAACTTATGTTAAGAGAGGGTTTCATTTATGACAAGCAATAGTTGGCATTGTTTAATCCTGTGGTATAGTAGAAAGAACAGCTTTGAAATTTGATAGGCCTAGCTTTCAATGTAAGTTCTGCCACTTCTGGCTGAGTTTCACTGGATAAGTGATTTAACCTTTCTGTAAAATGGGCATAATAATAATGCCCACCTTGTAAAGTTGCTTTGAGAATTAAAGACAGATGTACAAGAATTGAGCACACTGGTACATAATTTTTTCTTCCTGCCCTTTTCCAGGGTTCAAAGGTGAAGTGGCATAATAAATTAGAGAGGGGTGGAGAGGAAGATTAAACCAGATTTAGAAGTGTTGCAGTCTGGCACTGAGATCTCTAGCTGTGGGGTCTTAGGCAAGTTACCGTATCTCACTGTTTTTCAGTTTCCTGACAAACAAAAAAAAAGAGGTTCAGGACCGGGGGTTTCTATTGCTTTTGGGAGGCCAAGGGTTCCCTAGAAGTGCTTAGGTATTGCTGAGTGTGTGTGTGTGTGGTAGGAGGTAGTATGGGGGGAGGATAAATAGCAAGGAAAGTACCATTTGGTAGAATTTCTCCTACCTCCCACCCCTCTTTTAAAAATCTGTTTTATAAATTGAGGTTTTGTGTCAGATTTGTATTGGGGAAAGAAAAGGTTTGCTGTTTAAAAAATTAAAAAGCATCTTGAAAAATACCAGATGAGATGCTCTCTCAAGTCTTTCTTGCTCTAAAACATGAGGCTCTGCTAAATGCCTTCCATTGTTAAGGCCGAGCTACCCCCAGAGCCAGAGGCAGCCTGGACATTTTCAGCAACCCATTAAGTCATCTATTCTGGGACAGCAGGAAAAACAAACCCTACAAAGGGCAGTGGCTAAAACAGAAAGAGAGAGAGACTCATCCAGCTTGTCCAGAAAACAAACCCAACACATCCTCTCAAGATGCATCCTTAATATAATATAGGAAATGTCATCAGGACCATAAAGTTGTCTCTTTCAAAGTGGATGAACAACCCGGCGTTGCTTAGATGACAGCTTAGGGTTTCCCGGCTTCAACAGAGGACAGCTCAAGAGCCCAAAGCTGTCCTAAGTGGTCACCCTTACTAAAACAGTTGGCCCTGTGTGGTAACTGTGAAAACATCTATGTCTGTCATAAGCCCCACCGATGATGGATGAGTCTAAACAGAAGATATTCACAGGGGAATAAGGGATCTAGCTTGGGCATTTTGTGCTCTGTTGAGCTAGGTAGGAAGCAGAATGAAAAGCAGATTATTCTCTTGATAAGAAATGCATTCTTAGAGCAACAACCACACGAGGAAAAGAAAGGCTCCATTATTTCTGTAAAGGAAGATCACACACAGATAATTTATATATTGAAGTCAGGTATGCTGGAAGGCACCTTAAAGATAATCCAGTCTGGTAGTTTTCAAACTTTTTTGGAGTAGGTTTTCTAGCAGAAAGCTTAAAAATGGGATACATTCAAAAAGTTTCACCAGAACATTAATTCAGGTTGAAGTAGGAATGAGGGACTCAGCCCTGCCTGATCTATGCAACCACCTCCTTCTCTACCATAACATCCCTTGTAGGACAGACTCTCAAGACACCTCCATGAATCTTTGAGGGCTCCCAGGAACAGTTTAAAAATCACTCATTAGTCCTACCTTCCCTATTTACAGATGACAAAACTAAGCACAGAGAGGCCAAGTGATCTGCCCAGAATTCCAGGCATACTGAAAAGGGAGACCAAAGCTAAAGCCAGGCCTCCTGATGTCAAGCTCAGTGTTCTCATTATTATATAACATGGGATCATTCCCAGAAGATTTTTGAAACCACCTGCGGTCACCTCTTAGGAGTCACATAGTTGGATATAAACTGCTTAAAGTCTCTGTGAAGTTTCTTTCTTTGCTTGTCTAAAGAATTTCTGGAAGGAAGGAAGGAATGGAAGAAGGGAGGAAGGGAGGTAGGGAGGCATGCAGGGAGGAAGGGAGGGAGGGAGGGAGGGAGGGAGGGAAGAATTACATCTCAGCTCCAAAAGCATGGGCAACTACCGCCACCCACCATAAACCCACACCCAAAATTGTAATAAGTAATTTGAAAGGGGAGAAGAAATGATATCAAAATGGCTATTTGTTCACTGAATAAAATGACTTCAACAAGTCTTGAAAGAAACACATGGTCAAAAGCCCCATCCATCCCTTGATCTGTCCATCCAACTAGTAGACACTGCTCATACCCATCGCTTCCTGCAGGGATATGGAGGTGAATGATCTTTGAGAAACTCAGTTTTGAGGAGAAAAGGCATGGCTTCATGCTAAATCTTATGTTGGGAACAGAGTAGGAGAAGAGACACATGGAGAAGAAAGGAAGCAAGGGCAGGGAAGGGGAGAAGAGGGAAGAAGAGAATATAATGGTGGCTGTGGTTAGTTGGGGAGTGTGGTGTGGAGTGAGAAGGAAGAATACCAGGTGGGCATTATGTGTGAGAGGGTAGGACATGAGAAGAAGTATTCCCATGGCTCAGAATGGGACACATGCCCAGGAACACCAAAGACCAGACTGGCTACCAGCAGGCTAAGGATGATTTTCGGGATCCCAGGGTACAATGGGATCAAAGATTGTCATTTCTTTTTCCTCTACATCAGCAACCTCACTTATTACATGTGATTACAAATATACTGAATCTTTGATAAATTAAAAAGGGGTTCTTAGGCTCCTCATGGTATATAATCCTAGGATTACAGTATTTCATCAGCTGTTTAGATTTGTTAATGTGAAATGTGAAAGAAACATGTTATTGTTTTAAGGCTGGGCACAATCTGTATTTCTACTCTAGTCAGACCTTTCCCACACTTATCCCATGATGCTAAACTGTGACTGGCCGGGGTATGGAGGAAACACCACCAGCTCATCCTTAATATTTTTTTTAAAAAAAGCATTTGTGGGTTAGATGCACTTGCACATGTGAGAATGGACTGCATGTTGCAGTGGGTTTGGGGATTAAGAGATAGGCTTCAGATCCAGACAGATGGGTATTTGAATCCTAGCTGCCTCTAACCATCTACAGGATCTTTAAAAAAGTATTTAACTTTTCTGATTCTCAAGAGAGGCTGATAACAATAAAGATACCAAACTATTAGGGCTGCTTTGAGGATTACTTGAATTATACATTAAAAAATGTCCATGATGACAATAGGCCCATGCTGAGTGTGGGAAGTGGAATGTTAGGGCCTCTAGACAGAACTGAGTTCTCTAAGCTCTGAAATCAGGAAAAGGAAATCCACCAGGGAAAAAAGGGCAACTTTAGTAATGCTGGTAAACTAAATAGCTTCCCTCCCCATCTCCCACCTATCTCTAGGCCTGGGAATAAGACATCACATTGATTTTCACTGAGGAAAACCATCCCAGCCATTTGCTTATCACCAGGACAACTTATTTTTTGTTTCTTCCTCTGTGTAATCAAGAGCAAACAAAATCCAGATTCTAGTCTGTAACAATGGCCACGTGGGGTCGGAACTAATTTCCTCTTGGAAACATTGAGCTTTTGGGTCATTTCCCTGTACTCTGATGACAGCATATCCCAATATGTTTATTTGTTTATCTTTAATTGTTGCTGTATGTACACTTGACAGCAATTGAAGGTGCTTACGTACTAAGCAGAGCATCAAAGAGTTTTTTTACAATTAAGGCAGCTTAGAATCCATGGGATATTTGACATAATCCATGTTTCAATGCATCAACTAATGTTCATCCAAATCTGACTTTTGAGATCCTCTGCTTTTCTTAATAATATTTATGAACACAATTATGTTTTTTTCCCAAGGCCTGTCACATGACTCACTGTCAGTGTTCCTTGAATGAACCATGAGACACCCCAGACTTGGAATAAATGCAATTGATCTGGACATTGAGAAGACAATAGGCTTTTTCTCTTCAATATGCAGAAGACTTCTGTATTAATCTGTTCTCATGCTGCTAATAAAGACACACCCAAGACTGGGTAATTTATAAAGAAAAAGAGGTTTAATGGACTCACAGTTCCAAGTGGCTAGGGAGGTCTCATAATCATGGTGGAAGATGAAAGGCACATCTTACATGGAGGCAGGCAAGAGGGAATGAGAACCAAGTGTCTTACATGGTGGCAGGCAAAAGGGAATGAGAACCTCATAAAACCATCAGATTTCATGAGACTTATTCATTATGACGAGAACAGTATGGGGGAAACTGCCCCGACGATTCAATTATCTCCCACCAGGTCTCTGCCACAACACGTGAGAATTACGGGAGCTACAATTCAGGATGAGATTTGGGTAGGGAAACAACCAAACCGTATCATCTTCTTACATTTCCCCTGTTCCACTGTGAATAACAAACCTTTTCCTGCATTCAAAAACTTTAAGTTTTGGCCAAATTTTCACATATTCTTTCCTCACTTATGAAAAGTATAGATATAGACACAGAGATGTGTCTCAGTTATTATTAACATTTTCAGAGAAGATGAAAAAGGAGTTCAATGTGTCCTTTCCAGCCACTTTATTCCCCAGTTAATGTCCCTCAACAGAGCTTATTTACACGAACAGTTCTTAATGTACTGCTTTGAGGCCTGGCGCGGTGGCTCACCCTTATAAAGCCAGCAATTTGGGAGGCTGAGGTGGGTGTATCACTTGAGCCCAGGAGTTCAAGGCCAGCTTGGGCAACATGGCAAATCCCTGACTCTACCAAAAATACGAAAAATTAGCTGGGCATTGTGGCATGTGCCTGTAGTCCCAGCTACTGGGGAGGCTGAGGTGGGAGGATCATCTGAGCCTGGGAAGTTGAGTCTGCAGTGAGCCATGATTATGCCACTACACTCCAGCCTGAGACACAGAGTGAGACCATGTCTCAAAAAAAAAAATACTGGTTCGATTATTTTACTATTATTGTCAAATCTTGCTAAAATAATAATCATTAGCTGAGAAAATAAAATAGCATTCTGAAGGTGAAACACATTACAATTTTGTATATAATAATTTCTCACCATCTTTGGAGTAATGCTCCTAAAATACCAATAAAAGTATTATAATAATATTTAATAACAATGAAAATATATTTTTATTATTTAAAGTATAGTAAAAAAAATTCTTAAAAAAATCACTGTGTCCAGAACAAACCAGATTTGTCATTTTAAAGCCCTGCTCTGGCAGGTAGGTGATACTTTCTCAGTTCTGCAGAAAACACTGTGGAGACTGATTCTCCCACAAGAATTATATTCTGCAGTCTGTATTGCTTTCCAAGGATTTCAAAACAACCCTTCATGTCTTGAGGTATACTGTCTTTTGCATAAGAATTATTTTTATGTCATTTAATTTATGGTTTGTATGCTTCTCCTAATTGTCAGATACTAAGGGTCATATTTCTCTGGGCCTGATTTAATTATTTATGTCACTCAGGACACTTGGTTACAAATGGTGGGATCAGAACTGGAGCTAGTTTAAGCAATAAAAGGATATTTATTAGCTCGCTAGCCCCGACCCCCCCGCCCCATGCATGGGAAAAGTGGAGCTGGCTCAGGGAAGACTAGATCCAAAGAATCAGATAATGCTATTTTTCATTTCCAGATCTTTCATGGCCATGGGCATTTTCAGATTTATATTGCAATTGCACACCTAAAAAATGCAGGAGAGCAATTTTGGCAGCTCTATATTAGAAAACATTTGTGGAAGAATTAGAATTTGCCTGGTTTTGTCATCTGCCTATCCTTGGACCAGTCTCTGTGGCAAGAATGTGAAGCACTGTGGTTGGCACCTGGTAAGACTCTAATAGTTACTCCTCAAAAGTAAGAAGAGCTATTCTGGACATACATAGCAATAATATCCATGATCCCTTTATGAGAAGGTGTATAATTATAGATCTTCCTTTTTGGATTATTCTATAGATTGTCTCATGCTCAATAGTACTGAAAAGCAATAATTGGTGTCAAATTCTTTTGAGCAAAGAGACTGAACTAAAATGTGCCCACAGGAAAAAGATCATGAATTTTAACTTTGGCATACAAATTTTAAGCCTTGTTATCTCAAAACCACAACTGGCAGAAATGTAGCTTGGTGTGTGTCACTCTTCCAGCAATCCCCAACGAAAGCAGGAGCCTTGCATCAAATAAACACAAGCATCCACAGGCCACCCAGTGTACTGGCCTTTCTCTGATGGTACTCACCAGTTGAGTCATTATCTACATAGAGAAACCCAGCAAAAGCCTAGTTATACATGTAACTCATTTGTTATCCAAATCTTCACATTCAGAAATTATCAGTTCCTTGTCGACAGACTGACTGATGAAAGTTCCAAAAGGATTAGGATTCATTTTCTTTAAAATTTTTTTGGTTTTCATTTTCAAAAACTCTTGTCATGCTGCAGGGCTCCCCTCCCTACATTTTTGTTTCTTTTTGCCCAGACCTTGGAAACTGTCTGCAGTTTCAGGGAGCACTGCTTTATATTAACACTACTGCTTATCACAAGACAATAATAAATACACTTCTGTGTAGATTGAAGAATGTAAATGAAGATTAAGCCCACATTACTTAAAGTGGAAACTATGCCATCAAAACAGAAATAAATGGTTCAGCTCCACCTAGTTACCAGGGTCCCTGGTGGCTCCAGTGTGGTTCTGATTTTCAGCAACTGGGCCATGCTCTGGCCTTGGTCTGCCATCTTTTCTCAGAATGAATGCCAACCGCATTGGCAGAACACAATCGCCATCCATTGTGTTCGTACTTACGTTTTGTATAAGCCAGTTATTACAAACAGGTGTGAACCTTCCACTACCCTCCTCATGCTAGTCAATCTCTGATTTGTCACCTTTCTAGGAACACAGGGATTCCTTTGAAAATTATTCTATTGAAAAAAGATAGCATTTTAAGAAGACCACAAAATAGAGGGTGGGGCAGGAGCCAAGATGCCACATGAATTTTACTATGAAGGTCTGAGTGATTGGAGTGACTGGATGAATCAATGGCTGGTATTAAATTCACCTTATGTATCATGTATATCATATCATAGGGTCTTTTGATATTCTCTATATGTTTCAGGTGGGCAAAGATTCCCTCACTGCTCAGGCTCAAGTACATGGTATACAGAAATTGGGCTTTTGAATTCAGCCACTGGCAGAATCCTAGCTTTTCTTCTTACTGACTCTAAGAACTCGGGCAAGTTTCTCAGCCCTCATAAGCCACAATTTCCTCAACTGTAAAATGGGTCTTATAGTTGGGTGGTGTCAGCACTAATGAGACAATATAAACATAACATTTGACAAAGCTCAATAACAGAAGCTGCAATAGCTAAGCTCTAAATAAAACCCCAAATGATCTTAAGATCACAGTAATAAAGATGTTCTACAGGAGAAAAAAAGCACTTATTTAATGGGTTGTGCTGGGTAGACTGTGAAAAAGAGAAATATTAGACAACAGCCCTGCCTTCACCAGGCTCATCATCTAGCTGGGGGAGCCAAAGGTAACACACCATACTCAAAGGTAATGTGCAATACTCAACAGCAAAATAAAATATCAAATTACAGATGCTGACTGTGCATGTGAAAGTAGGTTAGAAGAGAGGATGGTTATTGGAAGTTAGACTAGTGCTTCCTAAACTATAGGCCTTGTGATGGCAGGAACATTGTCAGTTGTGTCCAGGGCTCTATCCTCAACAACTAGACCAGCACCCGGCTCTTAGTGCATGGCCAATAACTATCTATTGAGTAAATGGATGAACAAATGAATTATTTGAATAACTAGTTGAAAAGACCTGGACTTGGAATATAAAGACGGGTTTGAACCTCTGCTTCATAGCTCTGTCGCCATAGATAACTTTCTTAACTTCTCTGAACCTCAGTTGCTTTGTCTGTAAAATGGTTGTATCATCCTTGCCCACTCCATTAGGTTGTCATACAAATAGACAACACATTTTGTGTGAAAGGAACTGATCCACAGCAGGCATTTGAAAAATGGCAGTAAAAATGCAGTTGTTAGGTGGAACTGGAAGCTTTAGAATGGGTAGAAATTTGGACAGGTGGAAAGGAGCAATTTTAAGACTGCATTCACCCATATGTCCCTTAACTTGGGTTCCAAGACTAATAACGGCATCCAGGGAATAAGGGATGGATGGCTGTTTTTCTTTCCCGCCATGATAACCAACGGCACATGCCCCGTTGCTGTTAACAAGATCAGTAAACTTGCCACATTCAGAAATCGACAATTAACCCCTTTTACAACACTTAAAGTCACAGGCCTTTCTGTTTTATATGGCCAAGCAGGCTGCTGAGCACATGGTTTTTATTATTGCCCTCCCCCAACTTAAAAAAAAACTAATAATAATTTAGCACCTTATAGAACCTGTCCCTTTCTTAATGATTTTGCAGGGAAGCTCTGTGCACTGCAGCTGTCTTTGCAAGGGCCACCTCCAGGTCTGCCCTCCTTGCTGCTTGGGGAAACTATATTATCTTTAGTCCTGCTTACCTTTCTAAATGTTTTATGGTTTACAGCTGTGGTGAAAAGCATTTTGGGGTCGGCAGAGATTTATTCCCCTTTTTAATGTTTTTACTAGGCTGAATAAACACATTCTCAAAGAATGAAACCTCTGGCCATGTTGGGAATATGGAAAGCTGGGCAACACTCTGTAATGGCAGCTCTCTTGTGACTGACACTTGCTTATAACAACGAATGCCATTGTTGGCTCTGCATGGGACTGTGGTCAGAAGCCCCTCAGTGGGTTCCATAGCACCCAACGCACGAGCCACTCTGTCACAATCCTACCTAAAACCACCTTCCTCTTTGCAGGATCCCATTAACACCTGTAGGAAAACGCTGCCTTTTAATGACTCTGGAAAGTCTGGAAGGTTGAGAATGCATAATTGATGCTATTGCTTTGGCACTTTTACATCCAGCATGTGCTCATTTAAATATTTTTGGCAAATGAGTTCAGATAAAGTGAGTCTTTCTCCCAAATTCAAACCAACCCTTAATTTTTATGAGGTTTGTAAAACTTCAGCAAAATGATTTCTTAAAAAGGAAAAAGAAAATTATTTCCTTAAGCATGCTCACTCCGTTGATTTTGGCCAAGACTGCTTGTAGAATTACTAGTATGCTATGAGAAAGATTATTCATAAAATTATTTGAAACTGGATGGAATCAGAAAGTATTATAAATCTCTTCTCATGACATTCCTGCAAACTCTGCCAGGGCTGGAATAAAACAGGCCTGGAAGCCAACAGCTAGCACACACCTGCACAGCCCACTGCAGGGCAAAAGCTGGCCTGTCGCGTTGACCTTCTCAAGGCATCCCCAAATTATACTTCAAAGTCAGCAGAATAAAGAGCTTTGTCTGTTGAAGGAGTTTGGGGGGTAATTAACAGGCATAAGTCATACTTGCAGACATAGACATATCAACTGGCAGCTTTGAAGAAACTGATGTGGCCAGCTCATTCCTTTCCAGTTTCAGTGCATTTCTCTTCACAAGACCAGGATGAGTCCTCTCCATAAAGAGCCACTTCTGGCTAAGACTAATGAGAAATGCCATGGATTTTGTCATTCAGCTCCTTTCAGGCTACTGCCCTTTGATCTGCTCTAACTGTAGAGTTGCATACCCAAGATAGCACAAGGTTGAATATATTATATTAATGAAACAATAATTTCAATGGGAAAAATACTTAAGAGCTTACAGACTTGCAGTAATCGTGATTTTTTCTGTAGAATATCAATAATAAAGTTTCCTTGATAGCTGTAAGTGTTGAGAGACCTGGACAGAGTTATAACGCCTAAAGACCACTGTACAAATCCAGTCTTTGAGTATCCAGAACGTTTGCTTCAGAGAGCATTTCTTCTCCAGTCAACCTAGTTCTGACATAGAGCATTGTGGTTCTTGGATATTTTTATCATCTTTATCACCCATTGTTATGATAAAGTACAGTGCCATTCAAACAAAGCAAATAAGTAGCTATATACTAGTTCCTTTTCTATGATTGTTGATAATTACAAAAGTGGACTGCGTAAAGCCAGTTTGTTTCTCTGAACACTTGAGTTATAGTTGAACTAGGAAAATTCAAGATGTAAGAGAAATGCCAGGACCTTATTAGTTCTTTCTTACCAATTAGAGTCACAGTCCTTTGGACCAGTACTTGACAGAGATCCAACTTCATGCATTTAAGGCAAGATTTTCCTTTGCCCCATCACATTTCTTAAGGAATAACAGTATGCTCACCAGCCATTCCTGATCATCTCCACTCTCTTTACACATTTTCCCCATCTCATTCTCTTATTCTTAGAGGTTGGTCTTGTTACTTTTGTACCAGGAACACATTCTAAGCGTGAGGTTCTTCACTCTCACCCCTTATATCTCTGTCATTTCTGCCATCTTCTTGTTGCCACGTTCCAGAAAAGAGGTTTCTCTCTTCCGTTTAAAATCTAACCCCTCCCTCTGGCCTCAGTAGCTTTTCTCTTCCCACTGCTTTCAGCATTTTAATTCTACAATGGTTGTTTTTTTTTTTTTCTCTCTCTCTCTCTAGCACCTTTAAAGCCCTCTTCTGGAAATGGTTAGGTGTTCCTAAAACACACACACTCAATCTTGGAAATTATTACTCTAATTAGCTCAATTTCCCTCCTCTCATTCATGGACAAACATTTTCAATGTGAGGTCTACTGTCATTACCTCCAGCTATTTCCCACTATGTTTCTTTTTCATTCCTGTAAACTTGGCACCTATTCTCATTCTTTCCCTGAAATAATCACTTGATGGCCAGCCAGCCACACTGTCAGTCTCTAAATACAAGACCTCAGTCCCTACTCAGATTTTCTTTGATGACATCTGCGCTGATTATCACCTGTTCCTAAAAAGCTCTCTCTCTATTTCATGTTCTATGATCCTACACTTCCCAGAGTTTCCTTCTACTTTTTCAATAACTTCCCCCCACCATCCTGAATTCTCTTCCCAATTACAAGACTAACTGTACTCTTTCCCAATTATGACTGTAACATAAGATTCAAACCTTGTCCTCCACTCCTCCCTCTAATTATGCTATTAGGGAGACTCTTGAGATTCAGTTATCCCTCAATCCTGATTGCTTTCAAGAACTGTACTATTTTCCTTCCACAATAATTTCTTTTGGATATGTAACCATCACTTGTGTTGGTTCTGGTCCTCTGGAAAGCAGATACCAAGATGGAATTCAAAGTGCAAGAGATTTACTGGGGGCAGTGTTTGTGGAAGAGAAAGAGGGAGAGAGAGAAGAGCAGGCAGGGAGAGCATTCAGACCATGATACAGACTTGATATCTGAGAAAGAAGAGTGGGAAGAAGGGAGATTGAATGGGAAGAGCTTAAACCAAGGTCAGCCCTCAGAATCTGGGTCAGCCTAGTGGGGAGCCCACGTGCAAGGACTGCCTACTTACTAGAGGAGGCTCGCATGGGCAGAGAGGATCAGCTCTAATGCTGCTTCTAAGCTTAGTCATGGCTGAGAGCTGCCTGGGCAGAGGGTGACCTCAGCTTGCATGGTATGGCCGATCCCCAAGGGGCTGCAGCTGGGGACTTTCAGATAACTGCACTTCTTAGAGCAGTTATTTTCTTGAAGAGAGATCTCAAACCCAACTCATACAAGACTAAGCCTAACCTCTTCCCCACTCCTACCATATATGCATCTCTTTCAACTATCCCATTGCTTTCCTTGATATCAGCATTCTTCCATATTCCAAACTAGAGAGGTTTAAGTAATATTTGGCTTTTCCATTACCCTCATCTTGTACATGTAATTTACAACCCTTAATTTATTTTAAAATGCCTATCAGCTTTATCATTCCCTTGCATGTCCCAACGCCACCATGGTAATCCATATAGGTTATTATCTCATATGGATTACTGCCACGAACTTATTCCCTTCTCTGGCTTGTCTTCCTCATCCATTCCCTAAATGTCAGTATTTCCCAGGGTTCAAGCCTTGGCTCTCATCTCTTCTCACTCTACAGGCTCATCCTAGGTGATCTTATCCAGTAATCAATCTCTACTAAAACATCTATGACTCCAAAATTTTATCTCTGGCCCCAGTTCTGTCTACAGCTGTAAATCAGTGTTTCTCAATCTTGAGAGTTATATGCTCTGCTTTTAAAGGGAAAAGAATTATTGTATACCTCAGCTTTATTTTTATTAAAAACGTTATAAACATACTAACATAAAACAAAGTATAAACTCTTGGTAATAGTTTGGTTTCCCTCCAGACTTTTTTCTATACATATTTTATAGAATTGAGATCATACTATAAGCATATAAATGTGTGTTTGTGTATGTGTGTGGGGGGTGTTATATTTTGCCGCTTTTTTTTTTTTTTTGACAGTGTCTCGCGCTGTCACCTAGGCTGGAGTGCAACGGTGCAATCATGGCTCACTGCAGCCTCGATCTCCCAGGCTCAAGCAATCCCCCCATCTCAACCTGCTGAGTAGCTGGCACCACAGGCATGGGCCACCAAACCTGGCTAATTTTTTTATTTTTTGTAGAGTCTCCCTATGTTGCTCAGGCTGGTCTCGAACTCCTGAGCCCAAGCAATCCTCCCACCTCAGCCTCCTAAAGTGCTGGGATTATAGGTGTGAGCCACCAAGCCCGGCCTGCTTCTTATTCTTGACATTAGAGCACAAGCATTTTTCACAGCCAATGAAACTCTTCATGTATATTATTTTTTCATGGGTACATAATGTTCCATTCTATAAATGTGTCATATTTAATCTATTTCACAATATGTCTAACATTAAATAATGAAGCAATAAGTAACTTTGTACATAAAATTATGTCCGTATTTGAGAGTACTTTTTCAATACAGGTTCCCAGAAATTGGAAGGTCGATGTCTTCATTTCAGAGATAAGAAAACCTAGGTTCTAAGAGTTTGAATGATTTCCCTATGACTGCTCAGCCTGAAAAACATAAGGGATGAGAAGGGAAATCTCAGCCTTGGGCTATTTCTGTTGGAGCAGGCTATCAATGCTGAGTCATGAAGTGTAGTAAGGGAGGCTTTCCTAGGATTCTTCAGGGGTAGGGGATCTTAGAGCTACAAAGGCCTAATTTATGATCTGGCTAACTGAAAACTTCAGCCTAATTTGGGACACAGAGGTGTAGGTACATGTTAGCATGTGCTGTGTGGGGATTCTCAGAGGGTCATAAGAGTAACCTAGTCAGGTACCATTTTCTCAGTCTGTATTTGTGCCAAAGTCACAGTTGCTTTCATACCACCGTCTTGGTCTTATCCTGGCTTGGAAAGGCTACAGGGGCCCTTCATGGCTGAGCTCTACTGTCCAATCTTTTAAAGACAGTGTGAGCTCCTACTCAAAAGCAAATGAAGGGCACCATGTGGCTGTATCTGTAGCTTGTCCTCCATCCGTACTCTTGGCCCAGAGTTGCTGCCATTGGGAAATGTCTGATGTTTTTTCTCTGCAAGCTGTGGCATCTCTGCCTTTATCCAGGGAGGGATGTGTTTCTTGTTTGGACCCTAACCAAAAGTGACTTTTCTGGTCAAAGGGAGTTTAAAATGTCCTTCTTATTGCTACAGCATGAAGAACGGGATGGGTGGGGGTAGAGTTCACAGAGACAGAGTATTCAACCACACAACAGTTCTTAAATTAGAAAATAAAAGTAGGCATCTGGGGTTTTACAGAGTGTATTGGTGGCAGCTGATTTAGAAGGAAGACTTAAAAACAGACCATGGTCTCTTAACCTCAGCACTATTGTCATTTTGGGCTGGCTGATTCTTTGTTGAGAGCGGCTGTCCTGTGCGCTGTAGGGCTTTGAGCAGCATCCCTGCCTTCTACCCACCAGATGCCAGCAGCATCCCTCTCCAGTCATGACAATCAAAAATATCTCTAGATATTGTCAAATGCCCTCTGAGGGTCAAAATCACCCTCAGTTGAGAACCACTGAAATAGTCTCATAGGTTCCAAAAAAGAAAGCAACCAATCCCAAATGCAGGGGGCAAATGAAAAGAAAGGTACAGGGCATGAAAGATGCGCAAACATCTTTCATGATGAGAAGAGGACTCCAAATCAGGTAAGAACAGAGGCTCCTCCTTTAGTCATCCCAGCTAAGGGTCCTCTCCAGATCCACAATGAGAAGGGATGGGCATTCTGCCTTAATTATAGAAAGAAGCCCTCTCCATAGTAAGTATTATATACACATCATGCCTGTTAACTCAATAATACCATGTGTATTTTTCTCAAACTAGAGCATGGCTTCTGCTAATCTTAACAAAAATCCTCCTGGAATAAAAAAAAAAATCAAGATTGTTTCCACAGTTCTTAAACTGCATAAATCTTACTGAAAATTCCAATCAAGGCCAGATACGGTGGCTCATGCTTATAATCCCAGCACTTTGGGAGGCCGAGGAGGGCAGATCACTTGAGGTCAGGAGTTCAAGACCAGCCTGGCCAACATGGTGAAACCCCGTTTCTACTAAAAATATAAAAACTAGCTGGGCGTGGTTGCAGGTGCCTGTAATCCCAGCTAATCCCAGCTACTTGGAAGGCTGAGGTGGGAGAATTGCTTGAACCTGGGAGGTGGAGGTTGCAGTGAGCCGAGACTGCGCCACTGTACTCCAGCCTGGCAACAAAGCGAGACTCTGTCTCCAAAAAAGAAAAAAAAAAAATCCCAATCAAGATTCTCTTGCTCAGACAGTGGGACAACCTGCAAGAATGCCAAAATTGGCTGCTATCTATTTCAATGCTCCATATATTAAGTATCTATGATATGTTAGTATTAAAAAAGATAGAAGAAGCCATCTAATTAAGCATACCAAATTTCCAGCACAACATCCTTGGCAGATGATTGAAATCCTTCAAGAGGCAGATTATTCCATTGCTGGATAGTGCTACTTACTTACACATTTTAATGTTTTTAATGTACACTTACTTACATGTTTTAATGTTTAATGTTTGGGGGTAGAGAATCTGTCTCCTAGGAATGACCACTTGTTGGACCTCGTTCTGTCTCCTGAAGCTGCATGGAATAGGTCCATGCCCTCATTCAGATGTCTGAACCTGAAATCACCTATTAAGTCTTCCCTTCATTACCTTTCGCCACTCTAATCAACGATTCTCAGCACACTCAACTATTTTCACATGCCATCCATCACCTTTCTCTCTAGCAGTCATTTTCCTCCTCCTCCTTTGAACACTCCTTCCTCGAAATCAAGAGTTTGTGTTATCAGCACCTCATCATCGTACTCAACAATGACTCCAAACTTTTACTCCTTTCACCAAGGCCTCTATAATACTCTGTCACCTCTCACTCTCCTTGTTGGACTTGCCTTTAACCTCAGAGACATCAGGCGTCATGCAGGTACAACTCTTAAGATCGTATCTTTTCCTTCTGCCCCCTCTTACCTGTGTTCTGCCTCCCAACACCTATTCTTAGAATGTGTCTATGTCTTTGGTTCTCTTCTTATCTTTCTTCCAATCAGAGGAGGGTGAGGTCCTGTCTCCACTAGTCACTCTCTGTCCGGCATTTTTAGTTTCTCCCTCTCATTGTTCCCTTCTCATAGCCTACCCTAGGAATAGGCTCTGCATCTCAAAAGTGAACCAACAAACGTGGCCATCCCTCCTTCTAACTGAAGCACTATCCTACCGAGTCTCCTTCCTCGACATCTTAGCTCTGCTTACAGTCTTCCACATTTGAAGCTTCATCCCACTTAGTTCTCACTTCACTGCAATCACTATTCTCACACGAGGCCCTGCATATTCCCTTTGCTCCACACATACCAAAGATCTGCAGTTCTCCAAACAGATCATTTTTGTTTCCTGTGCCCGCAATGATCTCCCCTGCTTGTCTAGTTGGCAAACTCCTATTCTTTTTCCAAGACCCTCACATGCCATTTTCTTTGCATGGCCTTTCCCAGAGAGATAGGAAGAGAATCAAACTACTATTATAGCTGTGTTTTAAGAATTAAATGAGATAATACACACTAAGTGCTTAGCACAGTGAGTGGCACACAGCAAATGCTTGATCAACTGTAGCAATGGTTATTATTGGCCCCTTATGTAGACTGTTTCTGCTTCTCCAGGTTTTTGTTATAGTGTCCAGATATTATGTTCTATTTGTCTTAGCAGGTGACAGTTTATTTGCCAGTACACCAGAGAGTTAAGGGCAGGGACATCATCTTTTCACCTCCATGTCCCTCACATTGAGCATCACATTGAGCACATAGTAGGAACTCAATTAATAGCTGATGAATGAGCAAATGACTGCATCAACATAAGGCAATGATTGTGTATTGTAATTAGCAAGGACATGCTGGTTCTACGCTGATGGCTCTGGCCTTTTCAGCAGTGATATCACATTTAAAACCTCTGACTTATCTTCATGAAATTAGAAATGGTTTAGAATGCCAAAGGCAGACAGAATGTTCCCTGAGGCTGCCTCCCCAGTGGGGAGAACCACCGTGCTGGATCTTGGGGTCTTGAGTGAACCCTTGGCTGGGCTTGGTGCTGTCTGTCCTTTGTGGGCCAGGGTTGCCCCGAGCAGCCAGCCTCTTTGAGTTCAGCTGTGGGCCAGACGCTAAAGGTGGAACAAAAGCGGCATTGATGCCCCACTCACAAAGCAGGCCCTTGGGCAAGGATCAGAGGACGTGCCTGCTTCTCTCTTCCCAGACACAGAGCTCAGCTCCACCTCTGCCTTCAGGGCCTGGGGTAAAGTCAGCCACTGAGGTTCAGGTGGAAAGGATACGTGAGGGTGTGAAAGCCCTCAAAAGAACGTTGCTTGGTAGTTAAGAAATGGAGATGAATCAGTGGACATTTCATTCTGATGACAGAGTTGAACATTGTTTTAAGTATCCAATGGAGTGATCAGAGCCAAAGAGCCATGCTCCAACCTTTTTATCAAAGAACCTTTAAAAACCTTACATCTCCCTGCCCTCAAGAACATATACTTGAAATGTTTTTTGTCTCATATATAAATTTGCAGTTTCTATGGGAAAATTATTTATCTATTGAACCATACTATGTGCCAGATACTTTGCCTCCGTACTATGTGCTTTGCATATTGTGTCTTTTTCCCCTATAACAGCCATATGAGGAGGGTATATTTTTTCTATATGAGGAAACTGAGGCTCAGGTAGTTTAAATACCTTATTTTAGACCAAACATCTTATAAATACCTGTATTAGTTAATCAGTTTTCCAACGTCACACAGCTTTTAAAATAATCTCAATTAACTAATAGCTAAGTAAAAAAGTAACTGTTCCTCTTACCATTATTAATATAAAAAATACTGCTGTAAGATATGTTAACCAAAATTTGTTAAAATTAGCATATAAATATATCAAAATATAATTGCCAAGGAAAGCTTATAACTTGCATGATAATAAATTTTATTTTTACTTAATTGATGTTATTCGAGACAGAAACAAAGAAATGTGTTACTCTGGTTATCCTGTGCTGCTGTTTAAAAACAGTAAGACATTTGAAATATGGTAAATAGTCTGTGGACTTCCACTACACCACACTATGAGGTCTGACACTTCCAGAATTGTACCACTATTTGTAAACTGGTTTTTAATGCACTGCACAAATGGCTGCATGCCAATTTTGTTCTTGGTGGCATTCTCTAAATTGAGGCAAGTTTCTTTCTATCAGGAAGGCATGCAGAGGTCTTTCCTTTGACCTGGATGCTTATCTGGAGAAAACACAATTTTAGGATTTCCTCAAGCTGTTTGTATAATCCCTGAAGGTGCAGATCATAAAGATTTCAAAGGCATTGTAGGACCTGAAGAAGAAATGAAAAGGTCACCTTTGCCCTTAGCTTTGTGTGTCCATCCACCAGGGAATCTATGGGCAAGGCTTACTGGTGACTCCAGGTGTGTACAGAAGGGTCCAATTTCAAAGTACTTGGGGAACTCTTGCTCTAAGACCCAAATAAGAGGTTGGGGCTTTGATTTGCAACAGAAAGACAGCCTCAAATTGTTTTGCAGATTCCTTGCTACTCCAAGAAATAAGATTCAGTGAGATCAGGAGAATAACCTCCAGCTAAAAGGTAGTGGGATTCTTCTTCCTCTGTCAGCAAGAAGGGTAGGAGAACTGAGCTGACAGGAAGACCCACAGTAACACCTCTTGATAGGTGAGGCACAGAATATCACACTGGAGGAAACCCACTGCTGGAAAAGTGACAATCATACTTTCCTGTGGTCACTTATCAAGCCAGCATAATCTGCAATTTGTCAAAGGCCTTTCCTGACTTGGGTGTCATTCATTCTCACCACATTCTGAAAAGGTGTGGGCAGAACCATAATTTGAACTCAAAGAGATGGTGCACTGAAACGTGAACTCTTAGAGCCATTAAGCGTAAAGGTGTGGAGTGTAGCATTACTTATACATGTTTTTAAAAGATGAAGCAAGAGCAAGTTGATACACTTAAAGTGATTTTAGGAGAACATATACATTAGGAATGAGGGACAGGGAGATCTTGTTACTTATAAAGATGCCTGAGATACAGTGTTAAGTGAAAAAATAAGGATGCAACTGCATATACACGGTTATTGCAATCACAGGGAAAATGTATAGGACAGTGACTGGAGGCATTCATAGGAGCTAACATTGATGGTGTATTATGTGTCAGATGCTCCATACAGCATGAATTATCACTCTTAAACCTTGCCAAAAACAAAACAAAAAACCCCTATGAAGAAGCTTCTAGAAACATCGTATAAGGACAGATGAGGAAACTAAGGCTGAGAGAAGATAAAGTAACTTGCCCCAGATCACACTGTGGTGATCTGGTGGGCCTAAAAGCAGATAATCTTAACCCCCTCTATATTAGAAAAACATGGTTCTGTTGTGGTTAGTGAAGTTATATGTACATTTTTTTTACTCTATTCTCTAGATGTTCTGAAGTGTAATTTTATTAAATTTAAAACATTTTAGGGTGTGTATTAAGAAATTAGAACTTGAATATTCAGATTATGTATTCAGCTCTCATTGGACAGTAAATGTCTGATAAGCTTATTGTTTGATCAAGCACAGGAATGACAAGGTTACCCCAAATCGGATTCAGCCAACATTTTTAAAGCACTGGCTATTGGGAGGATTAAATGAGATAAGGTATGTCAGGAGCTTAGCACAGTGCCTCGGGAACACTAATAAGCACTCAACAGATATTATCTACTATTATTATCATGTGCCAGGTACTATCCTAAGGGCTCCCACGTAGGTTATCTCATTTTATCCTCACAAACACTGAATGTCAGGTTATTATTTATCTTCATTGTGCAGATGGAAAAAAATTGAGATTTGGAGGTTAAGTAACTCCCCCATTGTTGCTCAGTTATTAAGTGGCGGAGCCAAGGTTAGTGCCCTGCCTGCACCTGTGCCAGTCTCTAACACAGGTAAGGCATAGAGTCATATACTTGCCCAAACTGGTAGCACAATCTGGTGTGGATTTTCCCCACCCATACATAAGTCCACACTGGGGAACTATCCAGGTAAGTTCAAACTTCTCATCCTGGGATTCCAAGTCCTCTGGCATTTTCCCTGCCTCTATTTGTCAAAACCCACTTTTCATTTCTTGTCCACAGATCTTCATTTTAACTGAGTTCTCCCTCCCTCTGTGCCTTGCACAGAGTTCTGCATTCTCTTGGTCTCACCTAATCCTCTCCATCCTTTAAGATCAGTTCAAGTTCAGCCTCTGCCAGGAAGCCCACCCACCCACATCAACCTCTCCCTCTCTTGACTTCCCACAGAGTTTAGTTTCTATCTAATTATACTTCATGCCATTTAATCCCTTAAATAGTTAATGTAGCTACTCCACCTTGCAGAAGCTGAAAAAGAAAAATGAGGGTTGAGGGGTAAAGGTGTTTATAGGCTTATGTAACTGACAAGTCCAGTGACTTTGGGGCACGGTTGGATACCCAAATACACTAACTGGGCTGGCTTGGTCATGTGGCCACCCTGATTTAGGTAAGGGTCAGCTCCACCTAGACAGAATGGGCATGAGGTGGTTTTCCGCAAAGGAAAAGCAAGCAGTTCTTGTAAAAAGAAGAATAAATGGACATTGGGCAAGCAAGCACAGCAGATGTCCCTGACCTTATTGAATTAAATTCCTCAGCACTTTAATAATAACTGTCCTTCACTGGTCAGGCACCAGACTGTAACCCCGTTAAGAACTGCCAAGCAGCAACAGAGGTCTTATTAACCTCATCTCCACTGAAGTGAGCCAGGCCCCAGGGCAGAGCTACAAAGGGGAGCTTACAAATCTCTGACACAGCATTTTAATGCCACAGGGGATTTTTTTTTCCTTTCCCACACATTGTGTTAACCCTTCGGGAACAGGGGGGAAACCCAGTGTAGAGCCCATTAGTGGCTTTCCTTCAGAGCTCTTCAAAGAGGCCCCATCATTTGCCAACATGATTTTTCTTAATATTGTGCAGATGGCAGGCTAATCCATCTTCAAATGATCTAATTGCATCTAACTTTCTCTGAAGAAACATTGCATGGAGTTGCGATGTCTTAATTGTGGGGTGTATGCAGAGTGTCTCCAAGATTACAGAGCCAAGCACTCAAACCAAAGCTGGGGAATTTCTAGTGGAAACTCTCAGGGGAAGAAAACAGAAGGTGAAGATTGGCAAACTGGTAAGCTTCATCATGTCCAGTTCTTAGGGCCCAGTCTTCAAAAAATTGAAGTCATGCTTTCACATACTGGCTGCGAATTTCCACTCAGGGCTTGTAGAGGCTCCCCTGTGCCTTCAAAGCCTTACACTTGCATTTACCATGGAGAAAAATGGGTAAAATAAAGGAGCACATGGAGCAGGAAGGGGCACACAGAGGAGTAGTTGGATCTTCTGACTGATTGGGCAAGAATGAGGACCCCCAAGTGGCTAGTATTTTCTCAGGGGTTCACTGACCTTCCACTCTCTTAGCCCAGATACCTTCACACACCTTACAAAAGGCCTAAATAAATAAAACAAATTTACATAGAGGAGGGAAGCTAAGCAAAGTAGGGGTTCAGGGTGGTGAGACTGGAGATGAAGCCTGGAATTTCAATGCTTCTGCATAGGTGAGAGAGGAGCACACAGAAGTGGGTGAGGCTACCATGAATACCAAAGGCTCTCTTGCAGTTAGCATTTCCTTTAAATCTTGTTTATTTTATTTATCTTGTTTTTTCATCACAACTACTCTAGTAGGGGTTGAATTCTTATCTGAATTTACATTTGGGAAAAACCAGGCTCCCAGCTAAGGTCTCTGCTACAAGCTGGTGTCTAGCAGAGGTGGAATCCAGACGTTGGGATCTGTGTGTTTGGAACTCAGAGTAGGATACTATCCACGAAGCCCCTCCCTCAGACATGCCATGGAGCTAGTTGGAAGCTGGGTCAGGATCATATACCAGTTGCCAGCACCCCTGAGGTTCCTGGCATGTGTGGGTACAGATAACCCCGGCTCTCCCATTCCCTGGCAGACCTGTGGGAACTATTATTTTTACTAGGATGACGTCATGTATTAAACACTAGCGTGGTTTCTGTCAACAACAGGCTTTGAGGTCTTTGTTCTCCTCTCCCCACAAACATATTTATATTGGCCCCAGTAAACAATATCCTGCTTTTCATTTGCCTTCACAATCCCTTATGTCTCATCTGGTACACAATACATGGGAAATCAGGCTGTCAGGGAACTGGCAGTAAACCTAAGGCACTTTGTTAATTCCACCGTCAAGCCCCTACTGCAGTGAGAACTGATAGAGCTTATTTGGGTCCCTGCACCAGAGTTCTTCTTTCCTCTTAGTCCAGAGCCCTCAAAGAGGCTCTGAGGGCCATTTACACACAGCAGCTCTTAAAGAAGCCATAGGAAGCAGGCCCTTAGTAATAGCAAACTTCTATCAAGGACTTGTCATATGCCAGGCATCATGCAAAGTGAATGACACAAATTATCTCTCATGATCCTTGCAATTCTTTGCATAGATGCTATTGTTATTCCTATCTTTATAAAAGAAAAAACTTCACAGGTTATTCTGCAACCTCAGAAGTTTCTCGGCTCTAAGACAAGAAGCACTGGTGTTTTCCGTTGCTCATTCAGTGTTTAGATATTAATCAAGGCCCTCTTTGTGCCAGGGGTAGTTCTCCTGTTTGGAGAACTAAACCATGGACCACAACATAGTGTAACATAGGGAAGCACCACGGTGGCGGGAGAGCAGAGGAAGGGAATCCCTTTCAGGCTGAGCTCTGGCAACTGAGAGAGAGGAGAGAACACCCTCCTTATTGGCTCTTCCCTCTCTCCTAGAACATGGCTAATTGCTTCATCCCACAGAACCCTGCTTCTCCATCATTGCTGAAGGCTATAGCTATTCTAAGAGACCAAGATTATAGAGGAATAGAAAATGGTAGACTTATTCTGTCTTCATGCTGTGAAAATCAGAGACACATCCACATCCTTCTCCCCGCAGTTGCCACTCATTCCTGATGATGGGAAAATCCAGATGAGGATGAAACCCATAAATACTTCTTCAAAAGCCACCAAGGTTTGTGTGTGTGTGTGTGTCTGTGTGTGTGTGTGTGTCTGTGTGGGTGGTGGGGCGGGGGGGAGTGGACCAGAACGGGACATGAGTTGATCACCGCCTCTGTTCTAAGCAGTTAGGCATTTTGGATGCAGATTCCATTTATCCTGTTTATTTATATAATTTAAACCTTCACACCTGCCTCCTCTTCAAGCCATCTCAAATCCTCTTACTTCTTTACAACTCACCTACCCCGACCTGGTCCAAGTCATCAAACCACCTATTTTCACATCTAGACTAGTGCAAAAACTTCCTTATTGCTCTTCCAGCTCCTGCTCATACTCTCGTCCACCCTCCGCACAGATGCCAGAGTGCTCTTCCCATTGTAAATGAGGACACATCACCTCTTTAGCTGAAACCCTCCCATGGCTTCCATGGCTCTTGGAATGAAGCCCAAACACTGGCTTGCACAGCTAAGTAACGCGTAGCTCCTGCTCGCCTTTCTAACCTGAAGTCATACTTCCCACAACTCGCTCATCCAATTTGGCCACGCTGGCCTTCTTTCTGTTCCATGATCGTGACAAAACCATTTTCCATGTCATGGTCTTTGTTCTTGCTGTTATTTTGCCTAGAATAATCTTTCTTTCCCTTGCTCTCTGCAAGCCTGGCTCACTCTGTTCCTCAGAGGTCAGCTCAAATGTCAGCCCCTTGGCAGAAAACCTTTACTCACCAAGCTGTTAAAGTTGCCCATTTCCTACCCCCAGACATTACTCTCTGACACATTAGACTTTCTTCTTCCTATCTTATTTATTGGTCTCCATGTTTATCGTCCATTTCTCCTGATAGAACCAAGTTCTATGAGCACAAAGAGTTTGCCTGGTATTGTTCACCACTATATCCGTGAAGCCTTGGCCTGGCACACAGTGGCTGCTCCATCACTATTTTTTGAATGAGCAAATGAACCCCCACAAGGATTCCTGAGATGAATATCATTTCCATTTTGCAGATGAAAAAACTAAAGCATAGGCCAGGTGTGGTGGCTCACACCTATAATCCCAGCACTTTGGGAGGCTGAGGTGCGAGGATGGTTTGAGGCAAGGAATTCGAGACCAGCCTGGGCAATATGGTGGGATCCCATCTCTATAAAAAATAAAAAAAAATTTTAACTGGGTGTGGTGGTGCACGCCTGTAGACCTAGCTACTTGGGACAATTACTTGAGCCCAGGAGGGTCAGGCTGCAGTAAGCCATGATTGCACCACTGCACTCCAGCCTAGGTGACAGAATGAGACCCTCTCTCAAAAAACAAAACAAAAAACTGAAGCTTAAAGGTGGGACAAGATTCAAATCCAGGTATGCATGGCTTCAATGCCAGGCCTCATTGCTATGCCAGGAAGTCTCTCAAGGTCATCAAAACACAAGGAAGACACAGGTCACAACATGGATGAACCTTGAACACATTATGCTAAGTGAAAGAAGCCAAACACAAAAGGCCACATACTGTGTATGATTCCATTTATATGAATTGTCATTTGGATCCTGGACATAGGCAGGATCATTTGCCTATATGAAATGTCCAGAGTAGACAAAACCGTAGAGACAGAAAGTAGATTAGTGGTTGCTAGGGGCTGGGAGTGGGAAAAGATGGGGAGTGACCACTTAATGGGTACAGGAGGAATTTTTGGAGTAATAAAAATGTTCTACAACTAGACAGTGGTAAGGATCATACCACACTGTGAATGTACTAAGTGCCACTGAACTGTGCACTTTAAAACGGCTAAAATTGTATATTTTATGTCATGTATAGTTTACCACAATAATAATAATAAAAATAAAGGGAGATTTCCCAGGAAAGCCAGGTACCCACACCTACTTGGAGACTGGGCCAGGAGTTGTGGCCTCCCTGGCTCCTCTGCAGCGCTGGCTGCCTTCTCCCATTGTCATGAACCTCTGCAGGGATCTGCCTGCTAGAGTGGT
Source organism: Homo sapiens (assembly GCF_000001405.40). Lineage (NCBI taxonomy): Eukaryota > Metazoa > Chordata > Mammalia > Primates > Hominidae > Homo > Homo sapiens. The sequence goes on along the minus strand of NC_000001.11, from coordinate 64,069,669 downwards.
GGGCTGTTTCAAAATTAACCCTAATCTAAAAGAATAACATTTTACTTTGCAACTTCGTGGTGTTTCTTTTTGCAATTTACCCTTTCTCTTTAATCACGATGATCACCCAATCACACACATGAACACGTGTACACACACACACACACACACACATTTAACCCAAGAGGAAATGTAGTCTGCTGAATGCTGCTTTGAAATCCTATCAGACTGCTGCTCCTGTTTTCTGAATTTCTATTTTTAGCCCTAAACAGAAAATTGATTCAAACATGTACTATTGTGGAGAAGTTACGAGTTCTGTAGTGTTTGAGGCAAGGAAAGTCTCTCCGAAACAAAAAAGTAATGGAAAAAAGAGACGGGAAGAAGATATGCCACAAATTTCATAATGGATCATCACAAAAAAGTTTGTTGTGCAAAAAGAATTTTAAAGATAATAAAGTGGACAATAATAAAGAGACCCTTTTCAGCAAATACACAGTGATTTTGATTTTTTTTTTAAAGTTCCCCCCGCCACCAGTTAAAAAAAATTGATGAAATTGGTCACCTGAAATTAGAATTAAATAAATGTCCTACAAAAAAAAGTCTACACAATTTTAACAGAATCTGTGCTTGCAACTTTGTACAGCTATAAAACCACTTTCAGATACAGAGATGGTAAAAGAAATAATTATTTTAGCTATTATTTAGCTTATAGAATATAAAAATAAAATCAATTGATTAAAATTTTGAAAAATTGCAGAAACTTTTCTTCAGTTTTTGATGAGGCATGACATACAAGAGAAACTTGAAAAGATATATTTTGGGTATGTTTACTTTAAAGGACTTCCAAATTCACAAAGAAATGTCAATTTGCAGCCTGTAAAACGGAACTTGTGGAGTACTTTATAATCTCCTACATCTGTCAAAGAATTTCAGTTAGGTATGAAAAAAAAATTTCTATCACAATGGATGGTACTCTAGCCATTAGGTCAAAAAACTAGACTTAGTGGAATTGTAAAACAATACTGATGGTTCCCTTATTGCTTTGTTGTACTTTGTGATACAAACTGAAAATATATGTGCTCAGTTTTCTGAGACAGACTTTATAAATTAAGGTATCATGGATACAGTCGTTAAAATCATTTCATATATATGTGCAAATAGAATCATTGACAGTTTGCAGAGATGTTGAAAAAAATCAAAGGCAATGGATTTAATGATCTTATATTCTTTGCCAGTGCTTGCTGATTGACTGTAGAATAGTTTTACAAAGATTTACTGCACTGCTAACTCCACCTCAAGACTTTCTTGAAATGGAAGGATGGTTGCCAAATAATAATCAAAGTAAAAAAAAATGGCAATATGATTTACATTTTTGCACTGATACTATGTTGCATATGAACAAACTTAATATGCAGCTCCAGGAAAAGGAAAAGCTTATTGTAACCTAGCTAGACAGATATAAGAATGTATGTTGGAACTGAGGCTTTTCACAATACAAATAAACAATCATGACGTTTTTAGACATTTAACACGGATCAATATGCTGAAGATTTTAATTGTAATTGACAGCATTTTGTAAATTGCCTGCATAAACTGCAAGAAAAATTTAAATGTTTTGTTGACATTGATAAATTCAGTGTTGCTTTTCAATTTATGCAATATCCCTTTGAATTTGATATAAATAATACTGAGTTGATACAAGATATAGTGAATCACTTTGGGAGGCCAAGGTGGGCAGGTCACGAGGTCAGGAGATCGAGACCATCCTGGCTAACACAGTGAAACCCCGTCTCTACTAAAAATACAAAAAATTACCCGGGCGCGGTGGCAGGCGCCTGTAGTCCCAGCTACTCAGGAGGCTGAGGCAGGAGAATGGTTTGAACCCGGGAGGCGGAGCTTGCAGTGAGCCGAGGTCACACCACTGCACTCTAGCCTCGGTGACAGAGCGAGACTCCGTCTCAAAAAAAAAAAAAAAAAAAAGAATTTATTTAACTTGGATAGAAATAGTTTGAAAAATGATACATTGTGGTTCAAAGTCAATTCAATTATTCTAAAAATGATGAACCAATTTTGTCAATGTGGATGCAAAAATGAAAGAAAAATAATGTTTTGGTATTTGATTCAGTTACTAGAAAATTGAGTATATTTGAAATAACTTGGGAATGTGAACCTATGTTTTTAATTATTCATTTTATAAAATATAAGTACAGATCAAGTATGGCTTTTTTTTTTTTTTTTTTTTTTTTGAGACGGAGGCTCGCTCTGTCGCCCAGGCTGGAGTGCTGGGATTACAGGTGTGAGCCACCGCGACAGGCCTCCTTTTTATTTTATTTTATTTTTTTGTGAGACAGGGTCTCCCTCTGTTGCCCAGGCTGGAGTACAGTAGTGCAATTTTGGCTCACTGAACCTCTGCCTCCTGGGCTCATGATCCTCCCACATCAGCCTCCCAAATAGCTGGGACTACGGGCATGTGCCACCATGCCAGGCTAATTTTTGTATTTTTATTAGAGACTAGGTTTCGCCACATTGCCCAGGCTGGTCTCCAACTCCTGGGCTCAAGTGATCCACCCACCTCAGTCTCCCAAAGTGCTGGGATAACAGGCGTGAGCCACTGCGCCTGGCCTCAAGTATTTCCATGAAAATTTAGCATCTGAATTAAGATGTCCTGTAAATATAAACTACAGGTACACACTGGAGTTTGAAGACTTAGAAAAAAAAATATGAGATATTCCATTATAATAATTATTATACAATGTACATGTATATCAAAATACTACATTGTATACCTGAATTATATATAATTGTTACTTGTCAATTATATCTGAATAAAGCGGGTAATAATTTTATATTGATTTCATGTTGAAATAATATTTTGGATATGTTGGGTTAAATAAAATATATATTAAAATTAATTTTATGTTTCTTTTAACTTTTTAAAATGTATCTTAAGGCTAGTCCAAGTGCCATCGTGTTTACAACTGATTGATCACAAGCAATTGCAAATTTCTTTGTTCCTTCTCCACTCTCACTGCTTCATTTGACTAGCCTTTAAAAAATGTGGCTTAAAAGTGAGTTTAGGCTGGGCGTGGTGGCTCTCGCCTGTAATCCCAGCACTTTGGGAGGCCGAGGTAGGTGGATCACGAGGTCAGATCGAGACCATCCCGGCTAACACGGTGAAACCCCGTCTCTACTAAAAATACAAAAAATTAGTCAGGCATGGTGGTGGGCGCCTGTAGTCCCAGCTACTTGGGAGGCTGAGGCAGGAGAATGGCGTGAACTTGGGAGGTGGAGCTTGCAGTGAGCCAAGATGGCGCCACTGCACTCCAGCCAGGGCGACAGAGGGAGATTCCATATCAAAAAAAAAAAAAAAAAGTGAGTTTAAAATTACATATGTGCCCTGTATGATGTTTCTAGTGGACAGCATTGCTGCTCTAGAGACACAGATAAGTATCACAGCACTCATCATGTTATATTTTAACGGCCTTGAGAGAAAGTTGGGGTTTCATGTAAGCACATAGGACAGCTACCCAGCAGTCTTAGAATAATGAGTAGAAGACAAGGACATCAGAAGCTGGCCACAAAAATACCAGGCCATCCACTGAAGTAATAGACATTTGTAATGACTGAACCATGATAACTTTTCTGTTATCTATGGAACACGTCCCATCCCAGTGGCAAGTATTTATACCTGGATGACTTTACCATTGTTCAAGTTCTAGGAGTGGGTTCCTGACTTACATACTAAGCAAGGCCAAGCGGGTTGAAAGGCACAGGGTGATCCCAGCTGGCCTGAATTGACCCCAGACTAATCTTCAGAACCACTAACTATCGGCAATCACTATGAAATGTATTTACTAAAGATAAATGATGCTCTGAAACTATGAGTCTTCAAGTTGTTTGGGGTAGGATGTATGAGTCAGTTAGCATTATTTAGTAATAATAACTGGATGGTATGATTTGCACCTGGTTTCAGTGGAGTCCTGGGGCTTCAATCACTGAAGTGTATGTCACACAGCTGGAATGTGCCCATGTGATCAGCTCACTATAAGTGACCTCCACTACTGGACTTCTTGGAACTGAGGTTCTGCACATGTATGCCAGTAAACCTTCAAGACCTGGAGATAGAGTGCCCTGTGCAACCCAGTTTTAGGAGGATAAAGAAGCCTGTATCTGATATCTCTGGGACCCCTGCATTACCTATCTGTCTTCTGCTGTTGCTGTACTGTTTCCCTTGTCTGTAATAAAACTACCCCATGAGGATAAACCATTTGAGTGTTGTGAGTCCTTTCAGCAATCAAACACTTAAGGTGACTAAATTTGTAATTCAGGTAAGAGTTCATCAACTGATCATCTCCCCACAATAAGGACAGCTGGTATAGCAGACTGGCCAAAGTCTGAGCTCTGGAGTCCACCTGCATGGGCTCAAATCAAAGCTTCATCCTTTGCTGAGTCTCCTTGTGTGAGTAAATGGGGAAGTAATAGTCTATTAGTTTTTGTGCAAAGTTTTATAAAAAGGCCTGGCACAGAGTAGCACTTAGTAAGTGTTTGCCACAGTTAGCAAATTCTGTCTTTGGAGGCCCAGGAAGCAAATATCTAGAAGTTTACTGTCTCCATTTTCAGCCTTCAAAAGTTCATAAATATTGAGGTCTAGATCAGAGCACCCCTCTACACAATTAAAAAGTGCTTGTTATGATAAAGGGCAAGGGTATGATGATTTATCAATTTTTTATTTTTCTAGATAGAAAACAAAAATACCAGGGTATCTAGTCAAAGCTATTAGATGGCTCTAAGATCAAAGGAGAAAAGAAAAAATATTCTGAAAATTACAGACAGTACTATAAATAAAAGAGGTCTGCTTATTCTTGTTCCTTTTTAGTTTCTCTTGGGGAGTTTTACTCCCTTCAAAGTTTGTCCACCAACTTAGCCAAATGTACCACCATGTCTGCCCCCTCAGCCTTGACCTTTGCTCCAGGCCTCAGTTCCACAATCCAAACTGTCCACTGAATGTTCTACCTGAAGGTTGGGCAGGAATTGCAGCTTTGAATGCTTTGTCTTCTCCCCAGCCTGTTTCTTCAAGGCTGTCTGCAGGCTCGGCTTTCTAGTGGCATGGAAATCAATCTGGGGTATGAGTGCTGTTGCTGCACCTATTTGTCTTCAGATCCGTTCCTTGCCCGTTTCCTGCTTGGGTCAGCATCTGCAAGGCAGATGACCTCTGCAGGCTGTGATTCTCAGGCTCCCTGTGTCATATAGTTTCTTGCAGCATTCCCCTAATGGGAGAAACTGGCTGGCATTTGAAAGTGTGAAGGAAGACAGCAGCCAAGTTGTTTCTCCCATTTCTTTTTGCTTTGGGTGATAACCCCAGCAGTGGAAGCATCTTCTCATGACTCCAGTGCCCACAGAACAGACATGCCACCATTCCAGCCTCCAAAGATGACCCCAAACCTAGGCTCTGGTAATATTACCCCTTCTATTTTTCCCTCCAACCTAAGTGTAGCTGGGGCTTCTGTCTGTTGCTGATGCTGCATCACAATTTCTTGTTTGCTTTTTTGGCAAACTTCATCACCTGTGTAACCAATTCCCTATGTTAAATTCTCTGTGTTAAATAGTCCAGAATTTGTTCTGCTTTCCTGATTGGATCCTGATGATGCTGTAGGCATGTTGCCATCCAGGCACAGTTTCTGCTGCTGCAACTCCTTTGGTGTCTACAATATGGTGCTGGGGCAGAGAGAGAGAGAGAAAGGTAGAGCTGGGCTAATGCAAGTTCCTTTCAGGTGAGAAGGGGGATGGGAGAGGGTCCTATCTGGTTGCATGGACATGACATCACTTGGGGTGATTTGATAAAATATCATGACTGGGTACCACTCTGAGAGATTCTGATTTAACTTATCTAGGGTGTAGCCCAGGTACAGGTAATTTATAAAGCTCCCTGGGTGAGTCTAAGGTGGAGATGGAGTTGAGAAGCACTGCCCTAGATAATGAGAACCCAGCTGTTGTTGCTTCTGGAGCATGTGTGACTGTGTGAATGAGTGTGTTTGTGTGTGTATGGGAGAGAGAGAGAGAGACAGAGAAAGAGACATAGAGAGGACAGCAACAGATGATCTTTAATTTTTAAAAATAATTTTTTAAAAAAGAGGAGAGCAATTAGATAAAATTGTCAACACTGACACTGAAAAAAGCCAGAGGCTTAACAAAGAAGGAAGAAACCTGCACATTCCACTGAAGAAGTTGGAGGGGATTAGGATATGCCATCCCACATTATGATTCACTGGCATATTCACTATTTTGGGCTGAAGGCAACTGAGAAACAAAAGATTTAGGAAGGGCTGTCTTCCTCCTTTCTATCAAAAGTCAGGGCATACATTTCCTGTGAGAAAGATCTCCTCCCTAAACCACGAAGAAGAAAACATTCATACCACAGAAGATAATGAGTTGACGATGAGAGGAATCTGTACAAACAAACCTTGCTAACATAACACTTTTTTTCCATTAGTTTCCTCCATGCATTTTCTAGTCACTTTCCCACAATTTACCACCCTATCCCAAACCTCTTTTTCCTTTGCCTGATCATGTCTCCACAATTTATCATTCTTGGTTACAATGGTATATGAGCCCCTGGGTCTAACCATATCTTTGGGGTTTCACTTCTTTCTAAGAAACCCCCTGTGTCATGTAAAAATATTAACATCAAATAAAATGTGTATGTTTTTTCTTTTGTTAATCTGTCTTTTCAAAATTCATTTCATAGGCTCCAGCCACAGAACCTAAGAGGGTAGGGGAGTGTCTTTCCTACCCTACAAAGTCGAAGGCTAATTACATACAATATTTATGTGAAGAACTGATCATTATGCTTAGCCACCCTTTAACATCATCAAGATTATTCATAACATTTCATTAGCTATGTTTGTTGTGAGGTTCAGTTGTTTCCCTCAAAAAGCTCTATGAGTGTACAAGACGTGATGAATCAATAATGGACCTGCATTCACAAGTCACACATGCAAAGCCAGAAATCTTGTTTTTCTTATCAGCCTTCTGGGCCTACCAGTCAGGCAAAAAGGTCAGTGCTTTAAAAACACCCACATGGGCCGGGCACAGTGGCTCATGCCTGTAATCCCAGCACTTTGGGAGGTCGAGGTGGGCAGATTACGAGGTCAGGAGTTCGAGACCATCCTGGCTAACACGGTGAAACCCCATCTCTACTAAAAATACAAAAAATTAGCCAGGCATGGTGGCGGGCGCCTGTAGTCCCAGCTACCCGGGAGGCTGAGGCAGGAGAATGGCATGAACCCGGGAGGTGGAGCTTGCAGTGAGCCAAGATTGTGCCACTGCACTACAGCCTGGGCAACAGAGCAAGACTCCATCTAAAACAACAACAACAACAATAACAACAAAAACAACAAAAAACACCCACATGAAGACATTAAGAGGCTGAATCCACCACTGCACTGCCTCCTGCTACAATCCTTTCATTCAATTCAAAACACAGGCAGTCACCCAACATAGCAGGAGCCTAGTGAAGAAATATGGCAAGAAAATTCTGTTCTATTCAACAGGAGGCAAGTAGAGTCTGCTACTGACCAGCAAAAGGAGCAGTAACTTCCTCTGCACCCAGGAGCGCACAATATCACAGCCACTTCAGAATTTGAGGGAGAGTTTCCAGGTGAGAGTTCCCTGTAAAAATCTTTCACACTGTTTGAAAGTAACTAGATAAGATCTTGTTTAGAATGCACAGGATAGAAGCGCCTGACAGATAAAAGAGGGTGATTAACACCTCAGGGTACAGAAAGAGAATCTAGGAGCAAGTTGCATGAAATTCACAGCAATGAAAAGATCTTACTATAACAGAGGAAATGTTGAGTTTCAGTTAGTCATCAAATGTAGATAGAAAAAAAATCATAAAAGACATTAAGCCCAAGTGCTTCACTTTGCAAATAAAGAAACTTGGGACCCAGAGAAAGTAAGCAATTTGCCCAGGGTCACTGGCTAGTGAACTAGCAAATTACACAGAAAGAACTAGCATCTGGCCAGGCACCTCTTCTCTAAACCCCTGCTTCTCTAAGTGTGTGAACCAGCAGCACCAGCACCCCCTGGGAAAGTGTAAGAAATGCAGTCCCAGGCCCACTCCCAGACCTGCTCTTTTAGAATTTGCATTTTAATAACAACCCCAGGTGATCTATATGCACATTACAACTTGAGAAGCACTGCTTTAAACTACACTTTGATTTCTCTGGGGTTTTTGGTTCACCTACAGCTAGGGTTGGAATAGTCATTTTCTCCATTCCTTGAGCACCACTTGTTCTGGAACCTATTGTAGAAGCTGATATTAAAACTTATAAATATAGGAAGGGAAAGTGTAAATGATGTAGAATGAGGACTTTTGACTGGTTTTGTTCCCGACACCCATTTCTGTGACTTAAAAACAGCTAATCAAAAGACCTGGAACACAGAAAAAAACTTGGTAAAAATGTGTTGAACAAATAAAAAGCCTTGTAATATGTGAAGAAAAGCTTTCAGGACACAGACTTCCAACATTCAATTTAACACACATTTGTTAGGCATCTACTATGTGCTAGCTGCTGTGCTAAGTGGGAGATACATTCATTACTAACAGACTGAGAAACAGATAGACTGAGAAACTCACAGCCTGGTGAACAAGCTCTCAGAAAGTGTACTCCTAGAAGGCAAGGGTGTATCTTCACCCTTCTCCCTTTAAATGTACCCTGCACACAAAGATACCCCTTGCCAATATTCACAAGCACTGTTTTAATTGGAAACTTTCCAGGCTTTATTCATACAGTGGGGATTGTTGAGTGATGGGGGTGGATTGGTACATAAGAGCTTGGCTTCTCAAACTTCTGTACATTTTACTCGCTCCCCCACTAGATTAGAAATCCTTCTTATCTAATCTCTCCACACATTCCCTCCATCTGCTCCTTCTCTGCAGAGTGCTGAGTCTAGGATGGTTTGATGAAGAGATGGAGGTTAGCTGCTTTACTGGAGCAATGGCCCTCTGTGTGCTGGCCCAGCTGCCAAGTGACTTCCTGGTCTCCTCTCTACAAGATGCCTCCCCCCTGAACTGCTTGAGTAGCCGTGTTGAAAGTTATCCTTGAGTTTATCTTGGGTTGGATATTACATTATCACTTCTTGAGTTGGGCTAGCACCCAGCTACACTTCTTCACTATGGCTAACACTTGGAAATGGATAAAAGAGGAAAATAGTTCATCAAAAGCTGGTCACTTTGTTCTCTGCAGAAAGGAGACTTCAGCCAAAGGCCAATGAGAGAAAAGGAAATAAAGGCTTCAAGGTCTCTGGTTGGGGTTCACAGCTGGAAATATTATCCAACAGAAGAACTCTGGCTGGAAAGAAGGAACAGCCTCTTTGCTCAGATAGCATTGATGATGATACTGTTAGTAATATTATCAAGCTCCTAATATGCATCAGGTACAGTGCTAGCTACTATATATGCATCATCTTATTATGTCATTTAATCTTTTCAACAATGCTATGAGATAGATTTTTTTTTACCATGCCCTTTTTATAGACTGATTCTGCAGGAGACCACAGAAGATAAAAGAAAAGAAAGAAAGAAAGAAAACTTAAATTCATTCAATGCTAATTATACACCAAGTCCCATGTTAGGATTTCTCATATGTCATAAGATAGGTGAGGGAGTGGATATATAGGAAAAAAAAAACTAACGCTTGTTAAGAATGGAATTTTATGGCATTTTAATTTGCCGTTCTCATTTTCCTCTCTCAAGTTCTGTGGTAACCGTGAAAACTAGCACCCCAGCAGTCACTAGAGGAGGCAGGATGAATTTGGACCTCCTCAGTTAACCTAGTGATCAGTTAATGACTGGACAGAGGTTTCCTTAAACCTCTTGGCAAAGGGTAGGAGACTTACTGGTTTAAGGAAATTTCTGTCCAATCATTAACTAGTTACTAGGCTAACTGAGTAGAGACATCTCTTTTTTTTTTTTTTTTTTAAGATGGAGTCTCGCTGTGTCACCCAGGCTGGAATGTAGTGGAATGATCTCGGTTCACTGCAACCTCTGGCTCCCAGGTTCAAGATATTCTCCTGCCTCAGCCTCCTGAGTAGCTGGGATTACAGGCGCATGCCACCATGCCTGGCTAATTTTTGTATTTTTAGTAGAGACAGGGTTTCACCATGTTGGTCAGGCTGGCCTCGAACTCCTGACTTCATGATCCAGCTGCCCTGGCTTCCCAAAGTGCTGGGATTATAGGCATGAGCCACCGCACCTGGCTGAGACTTCTCTCTTTAAAGGGAGTACATGACAGAAAATACAGACTATACAGAATTAATTCAGGAAATTCACCAAACAAACGGCAAAAACAACACACAGCAACATCAGAGGAGAGGCAATCTGATTTCCACAGTTGTCACAATACTCTATTTCAATATCCAGTTTTCAACGAAAGTTAGTTCTTTGCCAACAAAATTGGCAAATCTTTAGTTAGACTAGCTAGTCTGACAAAGGAAAAAAAAAGACACAAATTATTAAAATTAGGAATAAAAAAGGGACTATCATTAATGATGTTACAGAAATTAAAAGAATGATAAAGGAATAAAATAACTTAGATAATCTCAATGAAATGGAAAAATTTCTAGAAAGACATAAACTACCAAAACTGACTCAAGAAGAAACAGAAAATTTAAATAGACCTATAACAAGTAAGAAAGTTGAATTAGTAATTTTAAAACTTCCCATGATGAAAATTCAGGCCCAGATTACTTTTCTGGTGATTATACCAAACATTTAAATAAAAATCCTTTACAAACTCTTCTTAAAAAATGGAAGAAAAAGGAATACTTCCCAATATATTCTGAGGCCAATATTACCCTTATATCAGAACTAGACAAAGCTATCACAAGAAATGCAAAGCACAGACCAATATATTTTATAAACATGGACTCAAAAATCCTCAACAAAATACCAGCAAGCTGAATCCAGCAAAAGATAAGAAGAAATTATATACCATGGCCAAGTAGGAATTATTCTAATACAAGCTTGGTTTAACATGCAAAAATCAATTAATGTGATATATCACATTAATATAATAAAGGACAAAAAAAAACCCACCACGATCATCTAAATGGACACACAAAGAGCACTTGAGAAAATCCAATAGCTTTTCATAGTAAAAAACATAGAAGAAAATAGGAATAATAGGGAATTTTCTCAATCTAATAAGTGGCATCTATGGAAAAACGCAGCTAACATCATATTCAATGGTGAAAGACTGAAATCTTTTCACTAAAGATAAGGTAAAAAAAAAACAGGATGTCCACTCTCACCACTTCTATTCAACATTGTACTGAGGGTTCTAGCCAGGGCAATAAAGCAAGAAAAATAAGTAAATGGCACCCAAATTGAAAAGAAAAAAGTAAAACAATCTCTTTTTGCAGATGACACAAGCTTGTAGATAGAAAATCCTAAAGAATTCACAAAAAAACTGCTAGAGCTAAGAAGCAAGTTAGCAAGGGTATAGGATATAAGATCAATATACAAAAATTAATTGTATCTCTATGTAGTAGCAATGAATAAACTGAGATGATATTAAGAAAAAATTCCATTTCCAATAGCATGAAAGATAATCAAATACTTAAGAATAAACTTAAGAAAAGAGAGCAAGACTTGCACACCAAAATCTACAAAACATCATTTAGAGAAGTTAAATAAATGGAAAGACATCCCATGTTCATGGATTAGATGACTTAATACTGTTGAGACAGCAGTACTCCCCAAATTAATCTACAGATTTAATGCCATCCTTATCAATATTCCAGCTGACTTTTTGGTGGCATAAATTAATAAGCTGACCCTAAAATTCATATGGAAATGCAAAGCACTCAGAATAACAACAACAACAAAAGTCTTGAAAAAGAACAATATAGAAAGAGGTGATGACTAGTTTTACATATCAACTGGCAAGGTACAGTCCTGAGTTATTCAAACACTAGTCTAGGTGTTGCTGTGAAAGTACTTTATAAATTTTATTAACATCTACAATCAACTGACTGGTTGTAGGAGGTCATCCTCAATAGTTTGGGTGGGCCTGATCCAATCAGATGAAAGGCCTTAAGAGGTATCTCTGAGGAAGAAGAAATTCTACCTGTGGACTATGGCATGAGCAACTGCCCAAAAGTTCCCAGCCTGTGCCTCCTGGCTCCCTGCCCTAAGGATTTTAGCAAATTCTTTGTAATATATCTCTTTATATATGTATACATACACAATTTTACTGGTTTTGTTTCTCCAGTGGAATACTAATACAGAGTACTCATATTTCCTGATTTCAAAACTTACTACAAACCTATAGTAATCAAGACTATGTAGAACTGAATAGGGATAGACACATAGACACATGTTTAATTGGTTTAACAGAGTGCCAAGACAATTCAATGGGTAAAGAATGGTCTTTTCATCAAATGATATTGGAACAACAGGATATCCACATGCAAAAGAATGAACCTGGACTCCCACCTCACACACTGTATACAAAAATTAATTCAAGATGGACCAAAAACCTAAATGTAAGAGCTAAAACTGTAAATAAAAACTTTTAGGAAAAAAACAGAGGAGTAAATCTTTGTACGCTTGCATCAGGCGATGGTTTTCAAAATCACAACCAACCAAAGAATGGGTAATAAATTGAATGTCATCAAAATGAAAAACTTTTGTGTTTCAAAGAACACTATCAAGAAAATGAAAAGACAATCCATAGAATGAAAATATTTGCAAATCATATATCTAATAAGGGTATATACCCAAAATAAGTAACTCTTACACCTCAAGAATAAAAAGACAATTAATTCAATTTAAAAAATGGGTAAAAAGTTTGAACAAACATTTCCCCAAAGAAAACATAAATGGCCAATATGCACATGAAAAGATGCTCAACATCATGAGTCATTAGGAAAATGCAAATCAAAACCACAATGAGATACCATTTCACACTCACGAGGATGGCTATAATAATGTTTGTTTTTTTTTTTTTTGGAGATAGAGTCTTGCTCTGCTGGCCAGGCTGGACTGCAATGGCATGATCTCAGCTCATTGCAACCTCTGCCTCCTGGGTTCAAGTGATTCTCCTGCCTCAGCCTCTCGAGTAGCTGGGATTACAGATGCTCGCCACCACACCTGGCTAATTTTTTGTATTTTTAGTAGATACGGGGTTTCACCATGTTGGCCAGGCTGGTCTCAAACTCCAGATCTCAGGTGATCCACCCGCCTTGGCCTCCCAAAGTGCTGCAATTACAGGCATGAACCACTGCGCCCGGCTGGCTATAATAAATTTTAAATAAATAAATAAATAAATAATTTTTAAATAAGGAAAATAAGTGTTGGAGAGCATGTGGAGAAATTGGAACCCATATACTATCCTTCTGCAAATACAAAATGCTGCAGCCTCTTTGGAAAACAGTTTTGCAGTTCCTCAAAAAGTTAAACATAGAATTACCATATAACCCAGGAATTCTATTTCTAGGTATATACCCAAGAGAATTGAAAACACATACCCCACAATGCACATGAATGGTCATGGCAGCATTATTCAGAATAAGCAAAAAGTAGAAGCAACCCAAATGTCCATCAACAGAAAAATGGATAAACGAAATGTGGTATAGCCATGCATGGACTGTTATTCAGCCATAAAAAGGATGAAGCACCGATGCATGCTATAATTTATATGAACCTCAACATCCTTATGCTAAGTGAAAGAAGGCAAACACAAAAGGACAAATATTGTCGGATTCTACTTATATGAAATGTCTAGAATAGGCAAATTCATAGGGATAGGAAGTAAATTAGAAGCTACTATAGCTGGGAGAAGTTTCTTTTTGAGATGATGAAAATGTTCTAAAATAAGATAGTAGTGAGAGTTGCAAAATTTTGTGAATATAGTAAAAAGACTGAGTCGCACACTTTAAAACAGTGAATTTTATGGTTAACTGTATCTTAATAAAACTGTTATTAAAAAAAGAGAGAAAGGTCCTGGCCCTGGGCCTACATACAAAAAATACACAGGGAATATATGTAATGAGAGTAAAGAGTACGCATGGAACCCTTTGCCTCTTGGGATCTGGCAATGAGTGCTCGCACAATGTAATCAAAACCTTAGACATCTATTTTTGTGACCAGCACTGTTCTGGCCCAGGGAACATTTCTCTACATGTCTTGCCCTCTGTCCTTGGAATAGAAGGTGACCACAACTGCATACTGTCAAAGTTTTGTGTATTGTGACACTGCCAGTGGAGGAGATGGACTCTTCTTAGAGCCTAGGAGAAACTACACTGGCAGAGCCACTTCAGCAGGAGAAAAGATAAATTAACCAATGTGTCAAATTCTTCTCTCAGTTTGAATGCAAAATATTCTTGCACAACAAACTATCATTCCCAATATTACCAAACATCTATTTTCATTATATTCCAACCAGCGCTTCTGAAAGCTCTCACACATTAGAATAACATTTGCAAGAGTTTTGCATGGCTGAGAAAAACTTTGCAATATCAAGTGTTATGGGTTGAACCATGTCCTCCCAAATATGTATCTTGAAGTCCTAATTTCCAGGTACCTTGGAATGTGATCTTATTTGGAAATAGGTCTTTACAGAGGTAATCAAGTTAAAATGAGGTCGTCACGGTGGATCCCAATACAGTATGACTGGTGTCCTTATGAAAAGGGGAAATTAAGGGCTACACATATAGGAAGACTATCATGTGAACACCAAGGCAGAGGTTGGGGAGATGCATCTATAAGCCAATGAATACGGAAAAATTCTGACACACTTCTGGAAAGGAGAAATCTTTCCTCATAGCCATAAGAAAGAACCAACCCCATGAACACATTGATCTCATACTTCTAGCCTCCAGAACTATGAGATACTAAATTTCTATTGTTTTTGCCATGCAGTTTGTGATACTTTCCAGCAGCCCAAGAAAATTAACACATTAAACAAGTCATATTATTCTTAAATTTGTACAAACCTAGGATAATGTATGAAGTATGATACTGATTTATATGATTAAATTGTAATATTTTGTAATATATTCTACAATAATGATTATTTGTCATATATGATTCCATTTCTGTGTTTGAACATGGCATGTATAATTCTTAGTTCATTTCCAAATTTAAGTATCACTTTAGGAATTTTATTGATAACTATAGCTGCCACTGGCTCCAGGGAGTGAAGTTTCTCCAAATTAAAATTAGTTTTACAGTGTAAGAATTACAACCAGGCATGTTGGCTGGCACCTGTAGTCCCAGCTACTCGGGAGGCTGAGGTGGGAGGATTGCTTGAATGCAGAGGCAGGGGTTGCAGTGAGCCAAGGTCATGCCACTGAACTCCAGCCTGGATGACAGAGCCAGAACCTGTCCAAAAAAAAAAGCAAGAATGACAAGGACTTAAGAAATTTGTTCAGGCCAGGTGCAGTACTTCAAGCCTGCAATCCCAGCACTTTGGGAGGCCAAGGTAGGTGGGTTGCTTGAGGCCAGGAGTTCGAGACCAGCCCGGCCAACATGGAGAAACCCCATCTCTGTAAAACATACAAAAATTTGCCAGGCACGGTAGTGCGTGCCTGTGGTCCCAGGTACTCAGAAGGCTGAGGTGAGAGGATGGCTTGAGCCCAGTAGGCAGAGGTTGCAGTGACCCAAGATCATACACCACTGCACTCCAGCCTGGGTGATAGAGCCAGACCTTGTTTCAAAATAAAATAAAATAAAATAAAACAAAAAGAAAAACAAATTTGTCTAATTTAGCGATGTTATCAATAGAATATACACTGTAAAAATCTTGCATAAAACAACTTAGGTAGTCATTTTCCTGAAAGGAAGGCAAACAAATTTTTATGGAACTAATATATAACAATCTATGAATTATATATGATATCTTTGGCCCATGAACAAAACATCCAGACATGCATAACAATGATTAAAATAGCCATTTTTCATAGTTCCTGGCTCTTAATCATTTAAAACACACCACAACTTTCTATGTATTTTAAAATTTTAACGTTAAAAAGGTATATTTGACACTGTGGGAAGATAGAACATATTTTATTCAACAATGTTGCTAGCTTGATTTATAACTTTTAAATATTTAGACATATGGTATGTGAACCTCTGCTTGTACTCATGCCCCAGGTCCTATAAGTGTTAGGGGTAGCCAGGACCCAGCAATGACAGAAGAAATGAAGCCTAAATCTATGAACGGAAACCAAACGAAAATATCAAGCTTGTTCCTACTGTAAACTAAAATATCATTCTGAAAGCTTCATGTGGAAACCTGATGCAGTCCCTCAGAGGAAGTGACAAGTGCCTTTCTGGGCCATAGTCCCAAGGGTCCCTACAAGCCCTTCCCAGGCAGGAGTTGTGTAGCCCTGTTGCCTCAGTGGACCTCAGCTCTCACCAGGTTTCATATGTCTAATGTATTTCACAGTCCTTACGTTCTGAATGTTAGAGTTGGGTCATAGATGCTCCTTTTATTTCTTTTGCAGTAACTCTGTGCCACTTTCAAATAAACAGAGCAATTTATAACTGTATTTCATTCCTCTTTTGGAAATAGTAGTGTACAATTTGACAAACAACCTTTAGAGGGACCTCAATGTTATGATATTCCCCATGGCTATCATTTTGTTATCTTCTGCCTGTCCCCTTGGAGAGAAGGTTGGCTGCCTATTGAGGGCTACTCCGAAGCTAGGCATGGGAACCAGCATTCTTTCTGGGAGTTAGTCTCAGGAAGTGAAGAACTCCTAGAGACAGGGGAAGTGGTGGCAATTAAGAGAAGAGATAAAGAGCAGGATGCATCACTGGGAAAGAAAAAAAAAAGGTACCAAAATGCCAACTAGGAATGCCAAAAACAGAATGGAGATGTAACTGCAAAAGGCCCCATGGGATTTCCAATTTGAATTGTATTTTATTGTAACTCCCTGCAAGCAAACATGGTAACTATACATTTCATGCTATTACCGACTAATGTAATAGATAATCTGACAGCTAATATAAAACAGAGATGCGTGATATCAAAGGATACTTTTTAGCTGTGGTTGAGCATCTTTAAGGAACTTCAATACCCTCTCCATAGATATCGGTTCACAACAGGGGTATAAAATCTTTGTATAAAATTAAAAACCACGAGAGACCTAGACTGGGTTCATCAGAAGGACAGCAGTGAAGAATGAAAACTTCAAGAAGAACATAGAAGGATATAATCATAATTTTGATAATAAAAAGAACTCTAATGCAAATACAACAGGCTGAAAGTCAACAACACAGTACTTAATAGTAAAGGCAGATTAGTGAACCACATTAATCAGCCTGGGATATAGATTATCAGCCACATTTGAAACACAGATTAACAGGAACAAATAAGGTACCAGGGTGGGAGACATTTTTACAAGTAACAAAAGTTTTCATCTTTGTTTAACTAAGACTTCAAAAGGATTCCACATATAACCAATGGTGAGACCATTGAAAAAAAAAAAAAAAAAGCAGATTAGCATCAAGAAATGCAAGGCAGAGTGACCAAATTTCTGACCTGTTTTAAGATCAATCAGCATTTTCTACCTGGGCAAGTAGAATGCAATTAGCACTTGAGTGATTTTAAAGACTCTTTTACAGTTGCCTTTAACTGGCTGATGAAATAGCAGAACTGTGTGGCTGAAGGCCAATGTTTATTTTTACCCATTACCTATTTCATTAATGGGATTGTGGGCCACTGGGCCTCCAGGCACACACAAATGTATTAAAATACCCCACACTGTAATTAAGTGGCACAGAGGGGATTGGAGCAAATTAAGTGGCTGTTATATTTGCCATAGGTGTAGTCTAGATCAAACATTTTGATGCTCTTGTGGCAGAGCCACAAAAATTTTATTTCAAAAGTCTACAGAGTATTGAGGATTTTTTTTTGTAGAGTAAGAGTTTTAATAAGTGGGTCCTTCCCCCAAAATAAAAATATAGATAAAGAAAAATGCCCCAAGTAGATACTCTTAAAGTGAAAGATGAGAATCCTTTAGCCAGAACAAATGACAAACGCATCAACAATAGCATTAGTGAAAGAAATTGGACCTTTAGACTCCATTAACGAGGGACTCAAAATGAATCAAACTTCCATGCAACTCTCAGTCCAAGCTTGGGACTTTCTTTCCCAGTGTAAGTTAGAACTTCAGCTTTTTTATTTTATTTTATTTTATTTTATTTTATTTTATTTTATTTTTTATTTTTGAGACGGAGTCTCACTCTGCTGCCCAGGCTGGAGTGCAGTGGCGCCATCTGGGCTCACTGCAAGCTCCGCCTCCCGGGTTCACGCCATTCTCCTGCCTCAGCCTCCCGAGTAGCTGGGACTACAGGCGCCCACCACGACGCACGGCTAATTTTTTGTATTTTTAGTAGAGACGGGTTTCACCATGTTAGCCAGGATGGTCTCAATCTCCTGACCTCGTGATCCACCCACCTCGGCCTCCCAAAGTGCTGGGATTACAGGCATGAGCCACCGCGCCCAGCCAGAACTTCTGCTTTTGAGTTCTTTAAAGGGAATAAAAAATAAAGTGATTACCTAATTGTTGCCCTGATCAATAATGAATTCATCAAAAATGCTTGCAGAAACATAGACCCTGAGAGTAAAGGTTCCTATGCCAGCACTATATCATTTTTTGTTTGATTTTACCAAATCAATCCATTGTTGCCACTAAATGTTAGATTCCTTCTAAAACAGTAAATGGAAGATTTTTGCTTTGATCATTCAGAATCAACATTACTACACTTGAGAATTCTGCCAATGGTGGTCTCCTGTGAATCTTTAGAGCAGAGAACAAGCAAAATGGAATGAGGGCAGGGCAAAATGGAATGACATCTGGAAGCCAGTATTTTGGCTTAAGAAGAGGACAACATTGCTTTTGCCCTAGAAAACCACGGAGAAACACTTAGAAATGACAAGAAAGGAGATAAAAGTACTTACGAGTATCCTGGACTTGCAGTGGGAGGGGGGCCTGAAGAAATGAAAGAAAAACAAAAGAAACAGTCAGTCTAGGTTATTGGAGGGTGAGTATGGATACAGTCAAATCATTACAAATTAAAGTTCTCAACCACCCAGAGGTAGTATTTATTTTTCTGGAATTTATTGTTTTGCTCTATTCCCCCAACCATCTCTATGAAAAAAAAAAAAAATACCAGTGAGAACGTGTCTATGTCTCACAATTCAGGGCCTGAAAATGCTAAGACAAGTGCTAAAAAAAGAGTTAATCGAGTAAGCATCTTCAAACTATGCAGGGAGTTTCCAATGGGCTGAGTGGTTGCATGAAGGTGTTGATTGCAACAGTGAGTGGGGCTTCCTTCTAGTCCTTGATGGCAGGAAAAGGGCCATGCACGCTGCGAACATTTCCAACTTCTTGGACAAGAAGCATCCTTGTTGAAAAGAGCTCAACGGCACGATGGTTTCAATTAGGGGCTCTGAGGTCAGAAAGATCCGGACCTCATTCCTGCTCTGCTGTTTACTAGCTGGGTAACATGGTAACTAACTGCTGGGCCTTAGTTTACTTATTTGTAAAATGGGTACAACCATACCAGGTTTAGGGTTGTGGGCACAGAGTACATTCTCACTAAGTGTGCATTCCTTCCTTCCTGTCCCTGTGGACTCTAGCCATCCTACCACATTGGGCTGAGGGCCAAAGTCCATCCCCAGTAGGGGTCTGCTTACCAAACTTGACAAACAAGACTCCAGTGGAAGAAACCACCTCCTTGCCGTTTGTTGCCACGCACTGGAAGTAGCCTGTGTCTGTGGTGTCGAGGTTTCTAATCCGCAGCCGAGAGCCATAGATGGTGGACCGAAAGGAGAGCCTCCGGGGCTCCTGGACCACAGGAGCATCATTTTTGAACCAGCGGATGGTGGGAGGTGGATTCCCAGAGACTTTGCAGTGCAGTTCTGCTGTCTGGCCCAGAGACGTGGTGATGTTATTCATTGGTTCATCGAGGGTCAGGTAAGAATCTGTGAGCACAGAGAGGAGGCAGGTGAGAGGGGCAGACAGCTTGAGAGGGCTTCCAAGCAGCCAAATCCCCTCCAGTGTACCCTTGGGATCACAGAGAGGCTGAGCAGGAGAGGCAGGTGAGACAGACAAGGAAAGAAACAATCACATTGATTAAGACCAGAGGACTGCTAAATAACCACCCATAGAGCCTGCTGCTTGGAAGAAAATTTGTCACTAATCAGAGTATAGAACCCAAAGTCTCCAAAAGACTACATGGATAAGCTTTTGTGCTTCAGATCAAAAAATCATATACACTCCTTGTTCCAAATTCCAGCATAGCAAAAGAGAGAAAATAAAGTTCACCTCAAATCTCCCCACCCAAAAATAACACCATTTTTAACATCCTGGCAAACATCCTTCCAGTTTGCTCACTTTTGATAAGAAAGAAAGCATCAAAAATTGGAAAAGTAGGAGCAACACATTCATATCCACATGGCACAAGATCAGAAAGGATGCCTGAAACTTTCATGTTACTGACAATATAAGGTTATGAAGGCCAGGTCAGAGGCAGACAGAGTAATAAAGCAATGGACATTTCCATAATATTACTGATATCAACCATAACATGTTACAATATGTAATTATTTTGATCACATATATATAGATTAATTCATATACAATACTGTGCAATATACAGATCTTAGTTATACAGTTCTATGAGTACAGGCAAATGCATATACTCATGTAACAAATGTCCCTATCTTGATAGAACATCAACAACCCAGAAAGTACCCCCACAATCTTTTGTAGTTGGTCCCTGCTCCCAACCACTCCCTCCCACCCCACCTTGAAGCAACTAAGGTTCTAATTTCTATTACCATAGGTTAATTTTGCCTGTTTCAGAACTTCATATAAATGGAATCATGCTGCATGTATATTTTGCTTTGGCTCCTCTTAAGATTTATTGCACTATGAATTTTAATAACAAAATAAGTTTTATTTAAGCTTATTCTTCAATCAAGTATTTAAACATCAATATTAATATTAGTTGTAGAATCCAATTGCAGATAAAATTATTTATTTATTTTTAATTAAGTTTGATTTCTTTTAAAAACGTGCTCTGTTATTCATGGGTAGGGAGCTTTCTTTGGTTTCATTTTTCCTAAGCACCCCTTCTTGGATAGATCCCCTGCCATACTTTCTCATTGTCCTATGTCCTTCCGTAGGTCCAAGTCTGGGGTAACTTGTTCAGCAGAGCTATCAGCCCCATAAGGGCAGGGATGGGAATGTTCTGGTCATCACTGCATCCTCAGTGTATACTACTGTCTAGCAGTGTTATCCACCAGAACTTTCTGCAATGATGGAAATGTTCTATAATCTGCACTGTCTGATTGATAGCCACTAGTCACACAGGGCTTACTGAATGCATGAAACATGGCTGGAGCAACTGAAAACTGAATTTTTAAATTTAAATAGCCACATGTGGCTAGTGGCTACTGTACTGGACAGCACAGGTAGAACGCCACAAATTTGTTGAATTTAATGGAAGTTTATTGAAAAGTAACATTTTTCTGAGC
Source organism: Homo sapiens (assembly GCF_000001405.40). Lineage (NCBI taxonomy): Eukaryota > Metazoa > Chordata > Mammalia > Primates > Hominidae > Homo > Homo sapiens. Next base: position 64,048,133 of record NC_000001.11, on the reverse strand, counting down.
TATTTAACCGGGTAATTTAATTGCCCAAATGTCTGTAAAATGAGTTCATAAATGCTAAAAATAATTGATTCATTATTTGCTTTAATTTCCGTCCCCCCAAATTCAGAAGGAACATTGTTAATGTCTGGGCAGCCTCACAGGAGTGTGTCTCACATATGAATGGCATTTATCACATGTGCAGTAGGAAACAGATTAAGCATGACTACTGCATTACCATAATGACACTTTCCATCTCACTTAAGCCAATGAATAATTATCCTTCACAACAGATTCATGAGCCCATAAATGATCTTGCTAATGCTTTGCTTCCTAACATTTATATTTTGATCTCTATCTTTGGGCATGTTTCTCCAATCTATATACATCTATACTCAATCCACGAATGTGTTTGCTCATGGATATAAGCACATATGTTCCTAAGATGTTTGAGGTATGCCCAGAAAGGAGGGAGACTAATTAGCAGATGGCTCTATGGAGCCATTATCATGCCTTTATAGCCCCATATCATTCATTGAGAATAGATAACTATGTACCCTTTGTGGAGAGAAACTTAGAGATAGCAATCACATAACAATGCCACTATAAGCATAGTGATTAATACTGCATTGGACAGGTTCTGGAATTTGATTGGCTGGGTTTGAATTCAGGTCAGCCCCTTGCCTATCTGTGTGACTTTGGGCAAGTTACTTAACCTCTTTGTACCTCAGTTTAACCAACGGAAAAACCAAAATAATAAACAGGGCTCCATCTGAGGGAACTGTTAGAAGAGGATTAAAATGAAAGTGAGTGACATCTGGGAAGCACTTCAACCAGTGTTTGGCAAAAAGTAAGCACTCAAAAATGTTAATTAATGTTGTTACTATTGTTTTTATAACAATAACTTCTGTATACCACTTTTCACATGACAAAATGTTTTCACAGCCTCTGTCTCCTGTTATCCTCTAACAATCTAGAGAAGTAAGAAAGGCACATTAATTACTATGATTTCCAGTGCAGATGAGGAAGTCATGTCTCAGAGATTAGCAGACTTGCCCCATGGTTACTCAGGAAACTGCCCAAAGCTTCCATCACTAATGGCCTTTAATCCTCAGGCTCAGCCAAGCACCTAAAGAAAGTCCATTTGAGGCAGCTGGCCAGTTCTGGACCAATAATGGACTATTTTGAAATCCTACTATATGCTAGGGCTTTACTTTAGTATTCACCTGTATGCTAACTTTGCAAGGGAGAAGTCATTATCACTGTTTTACAATGAGGAAACCTAGGATCAGAGTGGTTTAGTGACTTGCCGGAGGCCTTGTGGCAGAACTGAGGTCCAATTTACATCTCTCTGGCTGCCAAGCCCAAATCTTTTCACTCCACCAGTCTGCTTTGGTACCATGAGACCCATTGAGGGCTGAGATTTGGTACCATGAGACCCATGGAGAGTTGGAATATCTCCCTAAACCAAGGTGGGCCGTGGACACACATATACCCACAGGGTTGTGCTCTTCCCCTAACTTCAGCCAAGACTGTCTGGTTAATGGGCCTAAGCTTTAGCCATGGGTGCTGGCTGATGTTCTTTCTGGTTTCCCTCCAGAGGCCAGGCACCTCACCTGATCTGCTCTATAAAATATCTATCTAAAAACAACATGAGGGTTGCAGGGCACCTTGAAATCAGTGTAGTAGATGACCCAAGCAGTGTGTTTCCAGAGAGAACAAAAGAAATGTAAATAGATCTTTGTGTTTACTGAACAAAGGAGCCTTGCCACAAACAGGGAATTTGGTTTTAACTTTTCACTGACGAAGAAGAAGTTTCAAATTTGTTGGCCATCTGTAGCTGCTTACTTAGTAAGCAGAACGAGAACACCTGGGCATCCCAGCAAAGGTGTCCAGTCCAGAGGGAATTCACACTAGACTCAAGTAGCAGTTCTGCCACTCTCTAGCGATGTGTGTCAGACCATCACTTCACCTCCCTGGGCTTTGGATTCATAATCTGGGCCTTTGGGGTTGGGTCTGCTTCTTCTGAGACAGTTTGTGTTTCTATATGGGCAGCTGCAGAACAACTGGATGACAGGCAGCAGGTGTCCAGTGAGCTTGAATGCCAGACAAAGCAATCTGGCTTTTATGTGTAAACCTGGCTGTTTGTACCTTTTTCAATGGTTTGATTCAGTAGCTCTGATGATATGTGCTTGAGCTATGGAAGATTTCTCATCTTTTTTTCCCTTCTTCCCTAGACTGCAAATGTCAAGATGGCAGATGGTAAGTGGGAGGTAGGGTATAGTCTGGCTTAAGGGAAAAGTTCCAGTCCCACTGAATCCACCTCTAGCTCTGTGTCCCTGAACAAATGATGCCTTCCAGTGCTAATACTAGTAATAATGATGATGATGACACTGACAACAATAATGATTTCATAATGATGGTGGTAATACCTAACACCTAAATGGTATTTATCATCATGACAGTTATTGTTATGAACATTTTACACATGGAAAACAGAGAGGGTAAGGCACAGAGAGGGTAAGAAAGTTGTCCAAGATCACACAGACAGTAAGTAGAAGTGAGATTTTAAACAAATTATTTTGGCTCCAGAGTCCATGCTGTAGGATAGAAGTTCTCAAATTCTTTGGTCTCAGGACTCCTAGATAATCCTTAAAATATTGATGCCACTGAGGGGAGAAAGTTTTAAAATATTTGTTTATTAACCTATTTAAAAATAAAAACAATCCCATTGCTTAACATAAATATTTTAATAAAATATTTAGTAAAATAATATTTTCCACACGCGTATACCAAAAATAGTGAGAAAAGTGGCATTTTTTTTTTATTATTGAATATCTATTATTGTCTTAAAACCAGACAGCTGAAGCCTCCTGTTTCAGCATTCAATCTGTTGAGGTATGTTGTTTTAGTTGAAGAAAATCTGGCTTCGCACAGTTGGAAAAGGGAAGGGTTTTTAATAGTCTTTCAGATAATTTAGGATATTCTTCTTTGATACTACACCAAAATTCGATAGGTGGTAGTTTCTTAAACGTTGGTTGCAATGTGAAATCTGAAATCATATCAATAAACTTTTCATAATCTATTAAATTATAATGGATTGATTTATCTTGTACTTTGAATGGTTATTCTACCTACATACGATTTTGTAACATCATGCATTGCCTGTTTAGAGAACACTGGTTTACTGAGTTACGTTCGTTTTCAAAATGTGGACACCCTTACTTATCTAATATAGAAAATTCAAATGCATTAATATCACCACCAGTGCCATCAGTTATGATTGGGAAGAAGTTGTCAAGCTCGTGATGGTGGCTAAAAGTTTCGCAAAATTCTAACTTTTTCTGGAAAGTTCAAATTTTATTATTGGCAATTAATACTACTGTTTCCTTCAAGCGGCAGGTTCATTTTCCTCATTTTAAAGAATATTCAAGAATAACTAACCATAATTTTTCTGTCGGTCATTCTTTAAAGTAAAAGTGGCTAGTTCAGCTCAGAACTCAAATGCTTTTCTTTGAGACAGTCATAGTACTTGGCAGGAGTACTTTACGTATACTGCCCATCTGCCATATGAAATATTAAAAATCTATGTATTCAAGGGTCAAGATTTAATACAATTAATAATTTTTACTGCTCCATGGAAGATATTCTTAAGTGCAATTGGCTTTTTTTTTCTTTTCAACTACAAGTATATGGCAGTGGAATGTACAGTGACCACTAGTTTGGTACCGTTGGTGCCATTGTCTGAATTTGTTTGAGCAGTTTCACCCACCATTGCTTTTGCACAATTAGGATGGGTAAACCGCAGTTCAGAGGACTTAACAGCCTATCCCAGAGTTCACAGCTAATAAAAGGCAAAGCCAGGATTTGGACACCAAGCCCAGCGCTGTTTCCATCACACTCCATAGCTGCCCTTTCCCAGCCCTCAGGGTCCTAGACTGGTGTAAGGCTTTCAGAACAAAATGGGTTAGCTCAGGCCCTGAACGGTATGAGTCAGAGAGCAGAGTGGCTTGGATGGCATGTTTTCTATTTCCGAACAAGCAGTTTGGGGCTTTGGGGCAATCCCAAGCGATTGTGTCAGATCTGGGCAAAAGTTTAGGACTCTGAATTAAAAAGGATTTGTTACCTTTACAATGTAGGAAAATGAAATGCCAGTATCCTTTTAGTGCCACCATCTTCTCCCATTAACAATGGAAAGTGATGATCATAGCTAACATTTTTCTGAGCATTTACAAAATGCCAGGCACTATTCTGAGCATCTTACACACTTTAATTTAAACTTGACAACAATCCTATGAGGTAGACTCTAAAACTGACCACATTTTAGAGATAAGGAAACTGAGACACAGAGAAGTTAAGGAATTTCCCAAAGTCACACAGCCAGAAAGCGGCAGAGCCAGGACCCAAACCCACGCCTTTGAACAGCAGAGACCATATTATGTTCTGATGCAATCAGATTCCCAATCAATCCAACCTGTAGTCTTTCATTGTCCTTTGCACCACTCATAACCTGAACTAAAAAATATTCTTGCCTTTTTATGAGTCCATCAAGCATGTGACAATACCCACTGGTACTGAAAACAACTAAATCACCACTAGTTGCTTATGACGTAACTGGAAGTCATCATTGAGAATGAGCTTTTTAAATACAGTGCAGGCATGGTCTGTACTGAGGCTTAATGAACCAGAAAAAGCAAACTGCAAGAAAAAAGTTATTTTATGACCTCTCTGGGAATTGAGACTCTATTTCCTCCTTTTTACATTTTTTGTATTCCCCTCAGCACTTCATGTGTTATTGTGAACTTCATAGGCATTTAATAAACGCTGGTTGATGAAGTAAATGGAAGGCTCAAGTGAATTTTAGGCAAATTAGCTTTGGAGACACCCCATTTATTATTTACCCACTTGACAAGATGTCACATCCACAAATCCACAAATCCTTCCCAACATTTATTACTTAATTTTCAAAGTGCCCCCATCTCTCCTCAGGGAGGAAGGTGGGGCCAAGTGTTATATTCCCATTTTGACAGGTGAGAGAAACTGAGATATAAAGAGTTGAGCAGTCCATTGCCATGGCAACCCAGCCAGTCAGCCGAGGAGCCAGTCACAATTAGGTTTAGGGCCTGGGTCTTGGTATCAAAAGAGGCACATGCCAAAATCCTAGCCTCCCACATGACTGATGCTTTTCAGAAGAGGGAGGAGGTTCCCAACATGAAATGAAATGCTTAGCTAAACATAAAGGAAGGCTGCCAAACACAGTTAGGTCATCGCATTTGACTTGGAGAGAACATTCTGTTCACGCTATCAACCTGCATTCACTTTCAGCACACTTCACCATAAATACTTCTGACTCACTATCTCGGGAAATATTTTTTATCTTAATAAACTCAATGCAAAGCATAATCTAAATCAGCTTGCACATTCTTGAGTTCAAGCCACAAGCTGAGTTTAATAAAATCAGCCGAAAATAGCGGGGGACTTCTGAATAACCACAGTTCATTATCTGATACAGGGCTGCTGGGAAGTCCTGAACACACAGAGCTGAAGGTAAAAGCAGGAGGTGGGTAACCTGAAGGTATGAAGGGACCGAAACCATCGGATGACCCCACCTGCTGGATCTTAGTTCTCACCGGACATCTCACTGGAGGCACTGCTTATAATAATAGACTGCGTCACACCAACCAAGAGCATGGGCTCTGGAGCTAGACTGCTTGGCTTCATATCTGAGCATCACCTTTTACTTGCTGTGATTTAACCTCTCTAAGCCTCAGTTTCCTCAAATGTGAAATGGGCTAATAATGATACCTACCCATTAGGGATGTTGTGGGGGTTAAAGGATTTAATCCATCTCTGGAATATCAAAAGTATTCCAGAAAAAAATACTGATACCTGGGTCCCACCCTTAGAGATTCTAATTTAATTGTTCGAGGATGGAATCCAGACATGAGCATTTTTAAAAGCCCTTCTCCAAATGATTCTCCTGTGTAGTGAATAAGAGAACACCTGGCTACAGTAACTATCACTACCATTTCCTGACCCCTGATTCTTGCCTGGCTTCCTGTTAAACCCTGTAATTAACTTATTCCTCAAAAATCCTCAGGAGTATTCTCCACTACAATCCCTTGTTTACAAGAAGAAACCAATGCTGAGACATTAAGTGTGTTGCCTAAGGTCACATAACTGATAAAGAGTGAAACCGCACCTCCAACCCAACCCTTCCTCTTGCACTCCCCAGTATCCAAACCTCTGCCCCAGGTTAAGTACCGAGGTGGCACAATGAAGATAAACATTTTCTGGGTGAATGAACCTGCTGGAAACCAGGGGATATGATGGTTAAAAGTGAAAAGAAAAGAAGTGCTGTGCTGGGCTGGGTGCTGGCCGAACACATTTTCTTGAAAACACAAGGACTAATGCATCAAGCTGAGCTTGGGCTATTGACTACAGAGTAGTAAGAGTGGGTTTAAAGAGTATCCACTGGACCAAAGACAACAAATGGCCAATAATGTGCCTCCTTTTTGGGGAGAGAACACACACACATTAAGAATGGTTCTGCAAATATGCACTTAGAGCAAAACCCCCTATAAATCAGGGTTAATGGGGAAAGACAGCCACCTTTATAGTTCTTTCCTTAGGAAGCCCAGTTAGCATGTGGTGCCACTCAAAGGAGTTTAAGAAAACTTGCACTTTGCTACTTAGAGGCTTATTTTAATGAATAGGTCTTTTTTACAAATAGACAAATTGTATGTAAATGCACTCTTAAAAGCTCAGGGAAACTACTTTTTCCTTTTAAGAAAAGATCTCTACCAAATTAGAGTGGCTGGTCTCCAGCATTTAGATTGTTTTATGTCTCAGGTATAATTAATAAAGGTGGGAGAAGAAGGGAAAAACATATATTAGGCACTGATTCTATCAGGCATTTTACATGTATTATTGCATTTTGTCATCACCAGAACCCTGTATATATACATAGGATTTTCCAGCCCCATTTTAAGGAAGATACCAAGGTTTATAGAGGTCTTAGCATAGCTAGACTGTACACAGGTTGGACTGGAACTCAGTTCCATTGACACTCTTCTCCTGTCCCTACTGCCAATCTGCATTTTATAACATACTGTCATTAAGAACTTTTCCCACTATTAATTGACTTGAGACCATCCAGATAAAACCTCCTTCCCACACCAAAGGTGCTATGATTTTTACCAGTCTTTATTTTTACCCCAGGAGCAGGTTATTTAATGGGATCCTTAGTAACCACAAATTAGGTTACTCTAAGAGACCTTTTGCTGATTATAAGCTTTTGTGGATATATGGTCTGAATGTTTGTGGCCCCCTAAAATGTATATGTTGAATGCTCAGGGTGAAGAGGTGGGGCCTTGGGAAGTGATTAGGTCATGAGGATGGTACCTTCACGAATGGGATTAGTCCCCTTATAAAATAGACCCCAGGGACATCCCCTGCCTCTCCTACCATGTGAGGACACAATGAGAAGACAGCTGTCTGTGAACCAGGAAATGAGCCCTCAACAGGGAGAACCTGACCATGCTGGTGTCCTGATCTTGAACTTCCAGCCTCCAGAACTGTAAGAAATAAGTTTCTGTTGTTTTATAAGCCACCCAGTCTATGGTAGTTTATTATAGCAGCTGAACAGACATAGAAAGTGTATTTTTGTATCTATTTTACCTCAAATTTTCAAGTGTTTTTATTATGAGAAGGTATCATTTTGTTACTTTATATTTATCATATGTGCACTTTTCACTTAAATTTCTAAGTGGGAATACTTAGAATTTATGAGCAGAAACAAACTTAACCATCAGGGAAATGACTTGATTTTTATATAATATGACCAAAGTCTTTTAACTAGAATTTTGAATACAAAGTTTCTGGCTTGAGAATTGGTCCTTGAGTTTTGGTGAAATATTCCCAATCTTGTTTCTAACTTTCTCAGCCTCATCCATCCCAATTTTAAAATGCTAAATTTTTAAAAACTAAACCCCCATCTTTAGCTGAATGCTAGGATGATAAGTAAATCTATAGTCCTAACAACTCTTTAGGTTTAGGGTACATCTACATTCCAAGAAGTCACTTGAAGCTTTTCCCATCCCTGTAAAACCAAACCAAATAATAATAACAAAACCACCAGCTATTACTTTGCTTCACTATAACTTAGTAAGGGCCTAACTTAAAAACAACAACAAAAAAGCAAAGTTTCTGACCCCGGGGCTTAAGCTTTATAGGTCACATTGCAGCCTAAAGACTGCATTCTCCTTTGTGGTTGAATTATAAACCTTTGAAAAATGCTGACAGACCTTAACTATAGCAGGACAGGATGAGTGGGTCCACGTAATGAACTTTTACATGACTGGAGATAGAATCTAGAAAGCCAAGCCTGAAATACATTTCTGGTTTGGGCTTTGGGCCAACACAAACAGAACACATCATAAGTCATCTCTGTGATTTCAGTACCATGCACAGGAGATGCCTCAGCATCAACACGACACATGATCCTCACTGTGGAAGCTTTTGGCTGCTTCTATGTCATGCAAATGCAACAGTTGTGCTTTCAGCTCTGGTAGAGAGCCCTGTGCTAGGAAGAACTAGGCCACATTCAGGTCATTCAAAGACAAAGTCCGTGTGTATTTTCACTACCCTGGCCTGACTCTTAGGCAGTGGCTTGCCCAGTCATAATAAATTCTCAAGCATTTGATGGCTCTAAGTGGAGCCTAGGTGGCTTTCAAAATAAAAGTTTGTCATTCTGGCCCATGAATTTCTATTCCTCTGGGGATCCATAAAGTCATACAATCTCAGTATTCTAAAGTCACATCTTGGTTAAACAGGACCAGAATCCCTTTGTGTGCCAGTCAGCATTCCAACTCAGTTCCACCAAGGCTGACACTCCAGTTTCATGTTTTCCCAGAATGTAAACTTCAAGGAGCACAAAAGGGCACACAAGCCATTCTTTCTCCCTTTCTCCATTCATTATGCAAGATCTGTATTTCAAAATTTAAAAGAATCTGCTGACTTGACCACAACTCAAGGTCTCCTGTTAGCAGGGCAGTGCAATGGTGAAGGCCCTGTCACTTGAATGTTCTCTCTCATGAATGGGGCGGTTTTGCCTTGAAATTTTGAACCAGATTCCTCAACAATTAGAAATTATCTGCTCTACTGCTTTTCAAGAAAACAGAAAAGCACTGAGAAATCTGGAGATGAAGACTGAAGGAGCTACTATTTTCTTTGTAGCAAGAGACAAAAATCAATTCAACACACAAGGCCGTGAACTTTGAGGATGGGACCATGCCTTTTTCATTTGCTGTGGCTCCTTAAACTGATCACAGGCTTGCTAAAGATAGACGTGTAAAATGCTAGATGAAGAGATGAACGGATCTATTTTTATTTTGCTATCTATTATAAATAGATAAACAAAAACCTAAGAGCCTGCACTCAAAGATCACTCATCCTGGCTACACAGTCATGCAGGTAAAGAGATAATCATGATAAAGTGTGATCTGGGTATGTTCAGGGTGGTAAAGAACCCTAGAAAGGGGAAACTTAACCCATTTTCCAGGCCAGAGGTGTCAGAGAAGGGTTTCCAAAGGAGGTAACACCTTGCAATCGGTGGAATTTTTTTAAAAAGAGGTGATGCGGCCTCTGTCCTTCAGGAGCCCCTTAAGATCTGGAAGGAAAGCAGAGCTATTCTAGGGATCTAATTTGGAAGTACAAGTCAGAGTGAGAGCAAAAGCCAAGTGTGTGGTCAAGATGCTGAGTGTTGAAGGCATTCACAAGATAGGGTGGAGAAAGGGAGGCTGAGATCAAAACAGGCTGGCCAAGGTTACTGAGGTGGTGGCAGAGAGGCCAGATGGTTCCCTGACTTTTATCAGGCAGAGTGGGCAAGACCCAGTGTGGAGTGGAGAGGCGGAGAAACCCCAGACTTCCTGTCCTCTTGCTGGAATGTGCAGGCATTTAGGGGAGGCGAGGAGTAGACAGGAGAGGGGAAACAGAAGATAAATAAGCAAATACTTATTAAATACTTGTGCGGACATGGAGGGGGGACCTGTCCCATCTCTCCTTGGCCTCGCAAAACAGTGATACAAAAGAAACATATGAAAATAATCAGAACAAGGAAAGAGGTAAGGAAAGGGCTGTTTTATGCTCAGGAGGGGGTGAACCTGTCCAGCTCTAGAAATCAGGGAAGGTGTGAGAGAGTAGGGGGTGCTTGCATTGGGCCTTGATGGAGAGCAAGGCTGCAGAGGGGAGAGGAAGGGCAGAAGCTGTGCAGTTGTTTTGGGGAGAGTGTGGCACACAAACCAGATGCCACCCTTGGTGACATGTACCATGCATATCTGCTGAGGACTCCACAGTGCACTTCTCACAGCTTCCCCACTTCACTGTGTTTCTGACATTAGGTCAGAAATTATTAGCATTTTTGGTAGGAAAGTTCCTCCTCCAGCAGGATTGCTAGCACATGGTAGCGTGTTTAACATCCTAAACCCCTATTCAATAAATGTCAACTGCACACCCTCATCATGGTGACAACTAAAAACAGAACCACTCATATATGACTACATTGAGGAACCCCAAGGCATCTTTTCATCACGGTCTTATTAACCATAGAGCCTAGCCAGTTCCCAGCACACAAGAATTGCATGATAAAACAAGGCCCTGATCCACCTTGCCTGCCCATGCTAACTCCTAGGCCACTAAAGTCCATAGTTAGCAAATTCTGTGAGTAACTGCAGCTCGGGCTAGCAAACTAGTTGCAATGGATGTAGCTGTCAGTGAAGCCAGAAACTATCAGTTGTCTGAAAATCATGGCTTCCAGCTGAAATGAAAGCTCCCTGAAAAGTGTTCATTTTTTCATATTTCTCATGCAGGAAGACATATCAAGCAGAGATGTAGAAAACTATCTGCAAATTGTTTGATGCTCCTTCTATGAGAAGGTGGAGTCTGTGTGCCCTTTCCTTGCACCTGGCAGGACCTCTGTGATCGTGTCTTTCTTGCATGTGGCAGGACCTCTGAGAACAGAATGTTGCAGAAGTGACACTGTGTGAGAGACTTCAGAGTCAGGTTTAAAAAAACTTGAGGCAATCCCTCTGGGAGCCTTCAGTCACCAGTTACCCTGAGGCCACCACATGGAGAGTGCTTGGAGAGAATAAAGAGAAGCTCTTGGACATCTCTTGTGCAAACAACACTTGTGTGTGAAACAGCCCCAGCTGTTCCAGACTCCAGCTGTTTTTGTCTTCTCAGTCGAGACACCAGACATGTGAATGACAAAGTCTTTAAGATGACCCTAGACCCAGCCACCATCTGACTGCAACCACATGAGAGACTCTGCACAAGAATCATCTAGCTGATCCCAGTCAACTCTCAGAACCAGGAGAGAGAATAATAATACATGATTGTTGCTGGAAGCTACTATGTTTGTTGTGGTTTGTTACCTAGCAGGAGCTAACTGATACACAGCTCTCACTTGAGATTCTAAGGAGTGAAGTAAATTCTCTAGAAAAGCAGACATTTATTGGAGAAGTATCTTGTGACAGATTCCGTGCTAGGAAGTAAAAGCAATGACTTACACACAGTCCCTGGTTTCAAGGATCTCCCAGGGGAGATTCAATATGAACATGGATTATCACAAATATTAGGAAAGAATAGACCCAAGAGGCACAGAGAATACATGATGGGAGTATATTCTGGGAGACTCCTGGATGAACTCGCTGTGATCGTGGGCTAGCAAAGTTAGTAAAGTGCCCTCCAGATGGGAAACCCCAGGGAATGAAGTAAAAATAAACATAAAGAACTTTGGTCCTTCCACACTGTGAGTTTGTTGAGGACAAAAAACATGTACCCCAGTACCTGTCATGTAGCAGAATCTTGCTCAGTTTATATTTACTGGATGGATGGGTGGATGGATGGATGGATGGCACTAGGGAGCCAGCCTAGAAAGAACATTGGCTGGCCTGAGGACCAGAAGGCTAGGGATCGAGTCCTAGCTGTGTGACCCTGGGTAAATCACTTATTTTACCTGTCTATAGTCTTCAGTTTCCATATCTGTCTAATGTGAGGATAAGGCTAGGAGATCTCTGAGGTTTGTTCCCAACTCAAACCTTCTAGGGTACCAAAGGGCAAGTATGAACATCCATCTATGTGTTTACTTGGCCATCTCTATAATCAAATACACACCAGAGAGGTATCAATCTGTCTTTGTTAAGACTCTTTGATTACATGCAACAGGAACTAACTCAAGCCAGTGTAAGAGGGTGAGGAAAAGCAGACGAGGTGGATGGGGAATTTAACACAGGATGCAAGGGTTTCTTGTGAAACTCTGGCAAGATGTCTGGCCAGGTTTCGGGAGGAACGAGAACCAAGAACTGGAAAGCTGCCGGGAACCAGATCAGGAATCTCCCTCCACCCCCAGACTCTAATTCTCTTTATGAATCTGCTTAAATCTCTCTTTGAAAACCAGCTTTCTTGGCTTTTCTATGCACACAGTAGAAGATCAACACTCTATGGCCCCCAGATTGATCTCTTGGCACTAACAGCAACTGACAAACACTAACAGGCTACCTCTGAGTTCCAATTGCAAATTCCTGGGAAAGAGACTCTGGCGTAACCTGGGCCAGGTGTCCTCTCCCTGGTCCAATCAACTCTCACCAGAAGGACAGGGTTATAAATTCAAACATGGCTGCTGAAGGCCCCTCATGATGGGTCGTGAAAGCAGCTATCAGACAACAGAGGGCTATTATGAGGTAGGCAGCCTCCCTGAAAGGTATCGCATATAAAGTCCAAGAAAATGAAATAAACAATTTTTGTATGGATTATTGATAAGGACAAACATTGTCTAACTTAAGCTTCCTCTTCGTGTGCAATGGAACCCTTTCCAAAGCCACTTTAGAAACTCTGACAAACTTGAGGAAAATCAGTTAATTTTCAAATTCATCTAGGTTGCACACAAGCATCACTATTTTCTAGCACCTTTAGGATGATCTCACAAACATTATGATGATGGAGACTCATGAGGGGGCCTTGTGCTCTGGACTGCTAGTGTGTGCCACAGCCTCCTTTCTCATCACTTTACCAAAAGATGTGATTTGAAAAACATATGAAAATATTGCCACTGAACTCCCACACCAATTCCTGAAGAGCTACTGAGGATTTTGGTGTCACTTTAGAAGTCACTCTATTTGTGAATAGCCCAGCAAGAGAATCAGGTCAAGCTATTAGGGAGAGTCTATGGAAAGGTAGGTATCTACCTCGAGATTAATGATACTGAATAAAGGAAAAGCAGTTATTTTTGACATTTTGACCATCACTTTAGGGTCTGGTTCTTATTAGTTCCATTTCTTCCTTTTAAAAGGCTTATTTATTTATATATTTTAATGGAAAATGTCAGGAAATTTGGAACAGAAACTTACAATAAAACACATCCCCTGACCCTCTGATCTATCAATCTTTCAAATAAACAAGAATACTTACAGAAGCCTGGAAGAAGGCACTTCTTGGTAGTTACCTGATATTAGCCACCATAATGGTCATTATCTAGCAATTGTTTTTTGGGAAATGGAGTAGAATGGAGAGAATAGGAAGGAAAGAGAATGCAGATGAGTGAGTGAGAGAGAGTATGAGAGAGAAAGAGGGGGGACTCAATAATTCATTTTTGCTATAAATGCTTAAAAAACTTACAGGTGCCAAACAAGACACCCTCGTTCATATTTTTTCTCCAATCATTCCATTTTGGAAGCTACATTATTCACAAATGAGACATTCAAGAAACAAAAATTCTGAAATAAAAATGGGCACACCACCAGTGGAAAAGCAAACAAAAGCAGCTAATGTACTGTGGCTAAAAAAATTTTCAAACAAAGTGGCAGTAATTTACTGCCCTTGCTCTTAGCTAGACCCCATGAACATAATCAGAACCCCCAGGACTGATGGGAAAGTGTGATTTACAGTAAGTCTCAGGATAATAAAAAAAAAAAAAAATGAAAAAGCAAATTGTGCATGAACATGAAAGCTGTATTTCTTCCATTTTCAGCAATGGAATCAAATTTCCAGCCAGAATTTCAGGGTAAAATTAGAAGTCTTCAAGAAGTAAACTATGAGCCAACCAGCATCCCTACTTGGACACTGCTCCAGCTGCCTGAATGACGTAACTAACATTTAGAGATAACAGTGAATAGAAAGACACACACGACACCATCTGAATCACAGTAAAGAGATGGGTGGACCTGGGTTTGAGTCCTGGCTGTGTCACTTGTTCTCATGTATCCTTGAGCAAATTATTTCACATCTCCAAGCTCTAGTATTACCTGTTGCTTCAGACTGTTACACGGATTAAATGAGATAAAGTGTATAAAGCACTTAGGAAAGTGTTTGGCACATGCAAGTCTCAATAAATTTCATTATACATTTTAAATACAAATAGTACATTTTGATAAATGAGTTAGTGTTCTTAAGGTACTTAGAACAGTACCTGGTGCACAGTGAAGTTCTATATAAGGGTTTGTCATTATTATTACTATATAGTAAAACCTCCATTAATCAGGATGTCTAGACAATGAGGTAACTAAGTTAACTTATTTTCATGCTTAAAACCTCTAAACCACTTCAAGTTTTTGAAAATCCTTTTAAAATGTGTTAGTCTCTTTTCTAAGATTAGTAAGTAAAATATGTTAAGTATCAACTTAGAACTTTTACACAGGATCATGCATGGCTCCAGGAATACATGTCAGAAGTCCTGGGTTCTAGTACCACTCTGTTACTTGTCAGCAGTGTAACTCTGAGCCTCAGTTTACTCATCTGTGAAATAAAAGATCAGTTATGCTTTTCTCCCAGTTTTGGTGACTGTCAGATGCAACCACGTATATGCAATTATTTTGAAAACAACAAAATTAAGGTGAATTAAAAATAGCATAAATTTGTTATTATCATTCTTTAGAATACGATATCCTGTTTCTGGGGATGCATGTGCATAGGGGTATGGAGATTCCAGATTATACCAAGGACGTTGCACTTTCTGAAAACTGTGGTAAAATATACGTGACAAAACGTACAATTTTAATTATTTTTAAGTGTTTAGCTCAGTGGCATTAAGTACAATCATATTGTTATGCAACCATCACCACCATCCATCCCAAAACTTTTTTCATCTTCTCAAACTGAAACCTCGTGCCCACTAAAGACTAACTCCCCATTCTCCTTTCCTCCCAATCCCTGGCAACCACCATCTTACTTTCTGTCTATCAATTTCACTACTCTAGGTACCTCATATAAGTGGTGTCATACAGAATATTGTTTTTTAAAAAAAGTCTCTTGTTTATTTTCTTACCTTTTCCATCTTTGACTTTAAAAGTTGAGTACAAAAAGCAGTGGAAATTGAGAATTTCCTTTTGTGGGTCCTAAATCCTTGAGGCTTACAATAGGACTGTGATTAAGAAGAAACAAACATACACTTCCCTGATAGCATCCTCCAAGCTCTGATGGGGCTGACTGCTTGGTCTGGTCTCCATTGCAATCTTAGGATACTTTTGAGAAGCTATGATGTTATAAGGCTGTGCAGTGAGGACCAGGGGATGGAGTCTGGTCCCACCTCTGCCACAAAGTACTCTTGATATTGTGTGAACCATTCTTTTCTTTGGGTCATGTCTGTTAAGCTTCAGGCACAATGGGCTACATTATTCCAAAGTAGTGTCAACTTCATATTCAAGTGTTTTGATGGTATTTATTCCTTGCAAGACACTGCAAAATATAATTCTCTTCCTCCCCCAATCTCCATGCAGGAACAACATATTTTGCTTTTTGCATTTTTTTTTTTTTTTTTTTTTTTGAGACGGAGTCTCACTTTGCCAACTGGGCTGGACTGCAGTGGCACAATCTCGGCTCACTGCAAGCTCCTCCTCCCGGGTTCACACCATTCTCCTGCCTCAGCCTCCTGAGTAGCTGGGACTACAGGCACCCACCACCATGCCCGGCTAATTTTTTTATGTTTAGTAGAGACGGGGTTTCACTGTGGTAGCCAGGATGGTCTCGATCTCCTGACCTCATGATCCGCCCGCCTCAGCCTCCCAAAGTGCTGGGATTACAGGCATGAGCCACCGCGCCCGGCCATATTTTGTATAATGAAAATGGAAGAGGAGGAAGATACCTGTGATATTTTTCCTAGGAAAAGAAACCAGGGGGTAATATTGAACTGGTTTTGGATGTTACTGGCAGTTGATTCAGTGTTGTCATCTTTCTTCTGACCAGAAAAAAAAAAAGAGTTTCATAGCACAAGCCAAAATGTTATAGTGCATGCACACGCACACACAAACACACACACACAAAAGCAAAAGCTGTGTTCAAATTCAAGGCTATGCCTTCACAAGAAAAAAGAAATAATGAGTTAAACCATCTGAATTTAGAAGACAGAAATACGTGATCATTTTTAAGTTATCTCTGAAGTCACACATACACCAGCTCCAGGATTCTAAGATCCAATTCTGTTGAGTAGAAAAAGCAATATAGTCAAATATAAGATGCCACAGACAAAAAGGGTTATGTATTTTGGAATGAGCAACTATCCTTAACATTCATAAACTTCCCAACTGGGATCCATTTGTATGAAGAGACTCTTCTGGTCTGATAAGAGCCTGGCTTTGGGAAAAAGAACAAGATGACCCAAATTCTTTTGGGGGAGACATTTTCACACATGAATCATCCAAGAAAAATGGCAGCTACATCAGAACATTGGCTGCCTGCCCCAGAAGCTGACCCTGGGGGGCTCAGGCTGCTGGGACCCACCTTCAGCATGGAATGTACTCAGGATAGCAAGGCTAAGTACCTCATCCATCTGACTTCTACAGTCGTGGACAACTCATGCATATTACCATTTTCTTCCCCAGACAGTGTAGCCTTTGGTTGAAAAATACAGCCTCTACTGGTCAGAACCAAGTCAATTTTGTTAGTATGGATATTTCCAAGCTGTGTCCTCCAAACAGCTTCATAAATACTAACTGACAGAAGCTGGGCGTGGTGGCTCATGCCTATAATCCCAGCATTTTGGGAGGCAGAGGCGGGCGGGTTGCTCAAGTCCAAGAGTTCAGGACCAGCCTGGGAAACATGGCAAAACTCTGTCTCTACAAAAATTAGGCAGGCATGGTGGTGTGTGCCTGGAATCCCAGCTACTCAGGAGGCTGAAGTGGGAAGATCGATTGAGGCCAGGAAATTGAGGCTGCAGTGAGCTGTGATCATGTCTGGGCGAAGAGTGAGATCCTGTCTCAAAACACACATACATATGTACACACACATACATACACACACACACCCCTAATTCACTGGACCAACATACATGAAACAATGTAAAGATAATTTGTAATAATCTAAATATAAGTTTTCTAATATATATTACCCACAAAGGGATGGGAGAAGTTAGGTTTTATAGGTCTATTTCCATTAAGTCTATGTCAGGGATAGAGAATTCCTGAGTCAGAAGACTTTAGAGATGAAAGAAAACTAAAATATTAGTTATACCAACACCCCCAGAGCATTCTCGATATAGCATTCCTGAAAACTGGTCATGCAGATGGCTTCAATTCCTCTAGAGAAAGGGAGATTACTTCTCCATGAAGGAATGAGTGACGGAGGTAGGCTACATGATCTTATATCAGATCTTTACACTTTTTGGAAATGTGGTTTTCTCATCTATAAAAGATGGGAACTATTTTATAGGACCATGTGGAAGTGGAAATTGTAAAGCAGCAGTTTAGCAACTGATTATCAATGAGTGTTAGTTTCCTTCACCTTTTTGTTATTTATTAAAAAGTTCTTCCATAAACTGGGCAGAAGTGTGCTTCTTTGTAACTTTTACCTGGTGGTCTCAGTCTAAACCCCTCAAGCAACATTTTTTCTGTCTTCTGTAAGGCATCACTTCCAACACTTGGAGATGGGCACAAGCATTTCTCTTATCTAGCCTACACCCACCCAATTGCCTCCATCATTCTTTAGAGCTAATGAAAAACTCAAGTCATAAATGTTATGGAGTACCAATAAAATTGGGAGCAAACTGGGAGCATATTAAGGCAGAGTCCCTAACTTCAAGGAGCTTAAGTATATAATGTAGTTTGGGTAAAATAGGGGCTCAATCAAAATACAGTCAAAAAAATCATTATTGAGTAGGTGAAAGGGCAACTAAATTTGACTGGAAAACCAGAGAAGGCTTCATGGGAAATGACATTTGAGTTGGGTAATGAATAATTGGAAAGATTTTAAAAGACAGAAAGCTTATGCTGGGAAAACAGCATAAGCAAAACCATGGAGAAATGAAAATACATGTGATGTTTTAAGAAAGGTACAATGGACTGAACTGTGTTCCTCCAAAATTTATATTGGAGTTAGGGTTGAAGCCCTAACCCCGATGTGACTGTATTTGGAGACAGGGTTTTTAGGAGATGACATTTAATGAGGTAATCAGGGTGGGGTCTTAATCTGATAAGATTGGTGGCCTCATAAAAATATAAGGACCTCTCTCTCTGTCAGTCTGTCTCTCTCTGCCATGTAAGGGCAGAGCAAGACGCCAGTGGCCATCTGTAAGGCAGAAAGAGAGCCCTTACCAGAAACTGATTCCTGCTGGACCTTGATCTTGGACTTTCCAGCCTCCAGAACTGTAATACAATACATTTCTGTTGTTTAAGTCACACAGCATGTGGTACTTTGTTATGGCAGCCCTAGCAGACTAATACGAAGGGCAATTACGAGGAGAATCAATGGGTAAAGACCAAGGAAGAGAGTCAGAGGGTATATTGACCAATGGGGTAGAATAAGAAAATGTAAATGGTCAGGCTTAGGAGACAGAGAAACCAATGTTCAAATCTGTTTTGCTGCTTGATTAGTTACATGACCTGAGGTTACTCAACCTCTCTGAGCTCAGATTTCTTCTTTGTTAATGGTAGAAGGAGATAATATATGCAAGGTACCATTCACAGGTATGATTCACAGGTACTATTCACAGAAGGATGGTAGGTTAAGTACCTTCCACCCAGCATGTGGAAGGTACTCTATAAATGTTAACAAATATTATTTTTATTAATATAAATATACGATAATTAATGATCATAAAACTAGTACTGAAACAAGACATAAGAGTGATATAGGATGTTCAATGATCTGAATACACCTTAAAAATTCCTCTGGGGCTTGTTTTGGCAGCACATATACTAAAATCAGAACAATAAAGAGAAGATTAGCATGGCCCCTGGGCAAAGATGACAGGCAAATTCATGAAGTGTTCCATATTTTTAAAACAATGAATAAGACTTAGTATTGATAGCACAACAGGGGTATTATAGGCAATAATAATTTAACTGTACATTTTAAATAACTAAAAGAGTATAACTGGATTATTTGTAACACAAAGGATAAATGCTTAAGGGAATAGATAACCAATTTTCCATGGTATGATTATTATGCATTGCACACCTGTACCAAAATATCTCAAAAACTCCATAAATATATACACCTACTATGTATCTAAAAAATTTTTTTTAAGTCCTCTTAGAATGGTGCATATTTTTTCTTCTTAGCATTTCTGGATGGCAATTGCATCTTCTAGAATGCCAAGAACAAAAATCTAATTGTGAATGAGAAAACACTGCTTTCAGAAAAACAGCAGCAACTGTGAGAGAAAATATGCATGCAATATTGGCATTCATGTGGGCTAAAGAGAGGAGATGTGGGTCATGGCCAGATGTGTCCTTGATCTGCTTCCTATTTAGCAAACGCCCATGCATCCTGTAATACCCAACTCAAATGTCACCTCCACAAAGTCTTACCCAAACTTCCCCAAACCTATTATGTGCCCAATTCATTTGATCTGTTTCTTCCACTAGACTGTGAGCATCTTGAGGACAGATGCATATTACTTATTTATGCACCTACCACAGTAACTGGCACATAGCTCATCAAATGCTTGTTGAGTGAATTAATGTGACAAAATGGGAATGCTGACCTTAAAGTTCAGAGAAACAGGAAGATGCTGAAATCAGTGAAAAGAATTTTTTTAAAAAATCTAAACTACATGCATTTGTAAGAGAAGAGAGGCAGTTCTCCACACTGGCAACAAGACAAGGTATAATCATGATAGAGGCTCTGTCTACATTGTTTTCCTGCCAACAGCCATATCAACATCTTAGATAGGAACTAAATTAAGGCCAGGCGCAGTGGCTCACACCTGTAATCCCAGCATTTTGGGAGGCCGAGGCAGGAAGATCATGAGGTCAGGAGATCAAGACTATCCTGGCCAACATGGTGAAACCCTATCTCTACTAAAAATACAAAAATTAGCTGGATGTGGTGGCAGGTGCCTGTAATCCCAGATACTCAGGAGGCTGAGGCAGGAGAATCACTTGAACCTGGGAGGCAGAGATTGCAGTGAGCTGAGACCAAGCCACTGCATTCCAGCCTGGCAACAGAGTGAGACTCTTTCAAAAAAAAAAAAAGAAAAAGAACGAAATTAATATCATACACAAAGTTGGGATGTTATGAGCATGCAAAATGATAGCATCAAATAATATGACAAATCTAACATGTTGAAATATAATAGGAATAGCTTCTAGTGAGTGCTGGGACACAAAACACCGATTATACAATGAGAGATGAGAATTAAACAATGAGTATGAGAAAAGGGAGATGCAAGTGAATGGTAAAAACCGCAAGAAACTCACAGGAGATTTAGTTAATTGCCATTGATTAAAAGTCAACAATAAGTTAATAAGTTGATGTTATGGAGCAGCAGATAATTTAGGTTGAGAAATAAAAGCATAAAATGAATTAGCAGAAAAAAAGTGCAAAATGAAGTGGCAGCACAAAGTATTCTGTGCTCACTCCAGGAGCCCACCTTTTATGAGGGAAGGATCTGGAAAACAAGCTAGGAAGGGGATAATGAAATGAATGGAAACTTTAGTCAGAGAAAGAAGAGATTCTGTGGGCAATAACATCATAATGAAAATGCACTATCAGAGCTCTGCATGATCTCCTGTAATTCTCAAATCAACCTCATGAGGTTTAGGTGTCCATATACCAGGTCCTCTACCTAAAAACAGACAAGGTCTGAAAGGCTATTTGTCATTTTATCCAAAGTTCAAAGGAACACTGGAACTAATGAGGACACATCTATGTAACAATAAGTTTCATAACAGATTGTTGGTATTAATATATTATGACACTGATTTTGATCCTTCTTGCTTCTTTTCAAAGTATTTACAATTTTATCTAGAGATATTGATATGGTTGGGGTCCCCACCCAAATGTCATCTGGAATTGTAATCCCCATAATCCCCATGTGTTGAGGGAGGGACCCAGTGGCAGGTGATTGGATCATGGGAGAGGTTCCCCATGCTGTTCTTCTGATAATGAAGGAGTTCTCATGAGATCTGATGGTTTTATAAGTGTTTGACAGTTTCCCGTTCACACACTCTCTCTCACATGCCGCCATGTAAGACATGCCTGCTTCCCCTTCAGCCATGATTGTAAACTTTCTGAGGCCTCCGCAGCCATGTGGAACCGTGAGTCAATTAAACCTCCTTTCTTTATAAATTACCAAGCCCAGGGCAGTTCTTTATAGCAGCGTGAAAATGGACTAGTACAGATATATTTTGGCTTTCTTTATTAAGCATAAATTATACTACAAGATACTGCTTTGAATACAGCATACACAGTTTAGAAGCATAGAACTAAAGGAAAACTTGAGTCATAATCAAGTCTAAAATGACCACACATAACTGCTAAATAAAATAGCATTGATGCCCACTTGCTCCAGCATTTAGCTTTGTCTGTCTCAAAGTTAGAATGTGTAATAATAGTAATTTTTGAACCCCCATTTCATAGATGATAAAACTATAGCTCAAAGTGATCAAGTAATTTACCCAAAGCCATACAGCTACTGAGTATAAGATTAGAAACTCAGGCCAATCTTACTGCAAAGTCCAGAGAACAGCCCCCAGCCACTTTCTGAGCAGAAGAGGGAATAAAACACAGAAGAGTGAGAATGAAGACAAGTTGGCTCAACATAAGAAAGGCCTACCTAATTTTAGAGTTTCTCAAAAAGAAGAATAGGTTATTCTTGTGTAATGTCACTTAAGAAAGTGTTGAGCTAGAAGGAAACGCCACTTAAAAAATTATTTCCATACCTTTTGGGGGAACAGGTGGTATTTGGTTACATGAGTAAGTGCTTTAGTGGTGATTTGAGATATTTTGGTGCACCCATCACCTAAGCAGTAAACATTGAACCCAATTAGTAGTCTTTTATCCCTCACCCACCTCCCACCCTTTCCCCCAAGTCTCCAGAGTCCATTGTATCATTCTTATGCCTTTGCATTCTCATAGCTTAGCTCCCACTTATGAGTGAGAACATACAAGGTTTAGTTTTCCATTCCTGTGTTACTTCACTTTGAATAACAGTCCCCATTTCCATCCAGGTTGCTTCAAATGTCATTAATTCATTCCTTTTTATGGCTGAGAAGTATTCTATCATATATATATGTGTATATGTGTGTATATATATATGTACATATGTGTGTATATGTGTATGTATATATACATATATATATATCTCACAATTTCTTTATACACTCATTGATTGATGGGCATTTGGACTGATACCACATTTTTTGCAACAGCAAATTGTGCTGCTATAAATATGTGTGTGTAAGTATCCTTTTTGTATAATGACTTCTTTTCCTCTGGGTAATGGGATTGCTGGATCAAATGGTAGTTCTATTTTTAGTTTTTTAAGGAATCTCCATGCTGTTTTTTCCATAGTGGTTGTACTAGTTTATACTCCCACCAGTAGTACAGAAGCGAGGAACCACCACTTATCAGGCTTCTGGAAGACGGGAATCACGTTATCAGCCAGGAGCTCACATTATACGACTTCTAGAGGTCATTCAACTTGGAGATTCCCTGAGTCTAGGTTGTGGAGAAAAGTTGTCTCTGGCACCAGACTAATCTGCTGCCCTTCCTAGGGGTGGAAATATTGCTCAATTTGATTCAGACTGAAAAGGAAGTGATTACTTATAACACCTTAAAGAAAATATAAGTGACTGTTTTGATCATCTTGGAGAATGGAAGGCTTTTCTAAGCATGACACCAAAGATTGATAGATTCAATTTCATAAAAATAAAATTTTTCCATGTTAAAATATACATGCAAACAAAATTAAAAGTTAAACTAGAAAAAATGCAGATTTCAAACAAAAGATCAGTATCTTAATAGTAGAATGAGAAAAATTAATATGTTAGAGATAAACTGGCTACTAAACATAAAAAATTCAACCTTAGTTATCAAAGAAATGGAATTTAAAATAACAATGACATACCATTTTTTTGCTTTTAAAATTGACAACAACCAAGAAAATGACAATACTTAGTTTGAGTGAAGGTAAGTAGTAGTAGAATAGGACATTCTCCTGCACTGTTGCTAGGGATGTAAATATGCAGAGAGATTTAAGAGAACACTGTGTAGTAGGTACCTCCATGAGGCCAGGTACTGTCCTGGGCCCTTTAAGGCATTTATCATCACCCTACTATTTATAACACAAAGCTAGAATAATTCTAACTTTTCAACAATAGGTGATAATAGGTTCAGTAAATTACTGAATACCTCTACAATGGAACACATTTGTTTTTGTTTTTTTTGTTTTTTGTTTTTTGTTTTTGAGATGGAGTCTCACTCTGTCTCCCAGGCTGGAGTGCAGTGGTGCAATCTCGGCTCACTGCAACCTCCGTCTCCCAGGTTCCAGTGATTCTCCTGCCTCAGCCTCCCAAGTAGCTGGGATTACAGGTGCATGCCACCATGCCCTACTAATTTTTGTATTTTTAGTACAGACAGGGTTTCACCATGTTGGCCAGGTTGGTCTCGAAATCCTGACCTTAGGTGATCCATTTGCCTCAGCCTCTCAAAGTGCTGGGATTACAGGCATGAGCCACTGCGCCCAGCTCCCATTTGTATTAGTCCATTTTCACACTGCTATAAAGAATTACCTGAGACTGGATAATTTATAAAGAAAAGAGATTTAATTGACTCACATTTCCACATGGCCGGGGAAACCTCAGGAAACTTAGAATCATGGCAGAAGGTGAAGGAGAAGCAAGCACTTTCTTTACAAGGTGACAGGAGAGAAAGAGAGAGAGGAACTGCCACACACTTTTAAACCAACACATCTCATGAGAACTCACTCACTATCACAAGAACAGCATGGGGAAAACCGCGCCCATGATCCAATCACCTCCTACCATGTCCCTCCCTTGACACGTGGGGATTACAATTTGGATTACAATTCAAGATAAGATTTGGGTGGGGACACAGAGCCAAACCATATCAACATTTAATATGGCCAATAAAAATGATGTTAAAAATATTTAATGACACAGAAAGATGCTTGCGAATTTGTTTCTAAGGGACAAATGTTGTTTACAAAAGAGAATGGCTCAATATGATTCCTTTTCAGTAAATATATCTGTAAAAATATATGCATTAAAAAGACAAACAGTATCTGTTAGCAGTAACATAATTTTGGCTTCATTTTACTTTCTAGATTTTCTACAATAAATAAATATGTTTAGATATTGCAAGAGCTAGTTTTTTGTTTTGTTTTGTTTTGTTTTTAAAGGAAGAAAATTATTTAAGGATAAGGGCAATAAACAGTACAGGTGACACATCAGGCCCACCTTACCTTAAAAGAGCTGAACAGCTGGGAGCCATCTCTCTTCCTGCTATTAGTCTCCTGCCTCAACTGGCCCTGGGAAAGAGGACCCAAGCTGTTTAGCTGGATTCTGAGGTGGTCTTTCAAGGTTTCCCCAGGTCTTCTCCAAATTCCTCTCTCAGTAGGATGAGGGCTGCTGAGAGCTAAGAAGGCACTGTCTAGCTAGTCTGGGTGGACTGGAGGGATGGGCTACAGTGAGCTCCTCTGACTCGATGCAGGATGCTAGCATCCTTCTGTTACTCAGCACCACTGCAAGGGCAGTATCTCAAGGTCTACCCAGGGTTTACCTGCGATCCAGCACAAAAGTCTGATTCTACTATCTTCAGCAGTATTTGATTCCTATTGGGAATCCTTAGCAGAAAAATGCCTGTCACCAGTAGAAAGGCTTTCCCTGAGCTCGTGTCTTCAATAGATGATCGCATTATTAGAGTTTTCCATTACCTCAACATTTCTCCTAGCCCCAGCCCAAACATTCCTTTTTATATAAATAAATGTTATTATAAAGTAAAAACAAAAACAAAACCCCCACAAACAAAAAACAGCAATGTCAACATCAACAGAAAGCATGGCCTCTAAATAGACACTTTACCAAGATTTCACCCCTTATGCTCACAGTTCTTTTAACACAGATGCTTGGTAAGCAGAGATAATTTCAGATCACCTACTGTTTCTTGATGTAAAAATAAAGAGACATATATTCAAGTCAATTTACATTTTACGAAGCACAACATTATCATATTAGGATCTGGGAATGACTTCGTGTAGACATTTTTACCCTTGTGTGACAACTGAGGACACAAGAAGTCCAGAGAGGTTTAGTGAATGGCCTGGGGTTACCTTATTAGTGGACATGCCAGGGCTCTTACGGGGAAATGGGGCTGTAGCACTAAGTAAAAACAGTTAGCGTTGCAATGTTAAATTCATTTTTGTAGCCCTCAGAGACCTGGCAGTACAGAAGAATAGCAAGACCAAAGCTCTTCATTGTGACTGTTTTGTTTATTTAGAGTTTTCTTATTTTTGTTTTATTTTGGCAAAAGTCACTTAACACAAAATTAACTGTTTTAAAGTGAACAATTTAGTGGCATTTAATATACTGACAATGTTGTACAACCACCATTTCTATCTAATTGGAAAACAGATCTGGCAGCCCAAAAGGAAAGTGTGTACCTATAAAGCAATTGCTCCCTTCTCCCACTCTAGCCAGCCCCTGGCAACCAATTCAACTTCTGCCTCTATGCATTTACCTCTTCTGAATATTTCACATGAATGAAATCATACACGTGACCTTTTAGGTCTGGCTTCTTTCACTCAGCATAGTGTTTTTGAGATTTATCCATGTTATGGCATGTATCAGAACTTCATTCCTTTTTATGGCCAAATAATATTCCATTGTATGTCTGTACCACTCTTTGTTTACCAGTCATCCCACTGATGGACATTTAGGCTGCTTCCATCTTTTGGCTATTGTGAGTAATACAGCTATGAATATGTGCGTACCTGCATTTGTTTGAATACCTGTTTTCAATTCTTTGGGGGTATATATGAGTTTTACAATTTTTATGTCTTCTACTTATTTTTTATCTGACTATAAGAGTATAGGATATTTATTAAAGAAAGTATGAAAATCAAAGAAAAAAGACAAATAAGAAAAACCACCTAAGGGTAATCAAGAATATCCCCTTCCAGAAAGGATATCCTACCAGCAAAAAGCCTTCTAAGCCTGTTCCTTCTTTCCTCCCTATACACACAGATTATTATTTTAGAAATAAATAGTCACTGAGAACATGGACTTGGTAGCCAGGAAAGCCTGGATTTGAATTCTGGCTCTGCCATTTACTAGCTGCGTCACTTTACCTTGAACTTGTTTTCCTGCCTGTGAAATGAACATAATAGTACCTACCTTGCAGAGTTTTTATGGCACATTAAATGGTGCTCAGGAAGTGTCAGGTATAATAGTACTTCCCACACAGGGATTTGCTAACTCCACCAGAAAGTGAGGTTCATGAGACAGGAATTTTGTATTTTCACCTCTGTATCAGCACAGTGCCTGCCACATGACTGGTACTCCATAAATACCTGTTGAATGTATAAGTGAATGTAACTATTGAGGACATTGGGGTTGAAATTAGAGTCCTAGGAAGGATCTTTGGGAAGAATTCAGGTCTCTGAGTTCAGAAGACAAGTAAAGACCATGGATAGAAAAATCTTGTAAGTCAGTTTTAATTCTATACAACCATAGTCCAACGGCCAGAGTTCGTCTGGTCTGACTTTGGGCCCACAGATAATGAAATCATGAGTTATTTGCAGCAATTAGGGCAGAGGCTAGGAGGCCTCTGAGGTATGCGGGGATTTGAACTTCCTAAGCTGCTAGATCAACTAAGGCTTGGGGCATTTTTTTTTTTTAAGCAAATAAGCATTTGACAGAATAAACCCAGACAAAGAGATACTTAAGCATGAAGCCTTGACAGAAACTTCCCTGAAGTAATATAGCTTGGAACTAAAGAGATGATTAGTGAGCTTCTCATGACCCTACAGGAAATCTTGCTTGGTACAGGAACACAACATTTTCGAAGTTTGTCTAAAAGAAGTTTTCACACACTCCACTGCCTCATAATAATGTCTGCAACGGGTTGCAGAGCTCGCCGTCTGCTGAATTCTTTACTGCCTTTCTTCTTTTGTGGGTCTTTATCCCCAAATAATCTGTTTGTGGACCAACTTCTGCAAGCTCAGGAGGGCTAAAGTGGAGCTGTAAGCCCTCAAACCCTCAGTAAACAGGCCAGAGGGAATGAAGAGCTGACCTCTACCTCAGCCATTAGCTGGGCCTACCTAGGATGGATCTGATCCTATATTCCAGGATAAGTCTTATTTTTTCATTCATCTCCTTTGCAGCACCTATCATTGCTGGAATTAAATGATTTTCAGTATTTCTGTGTATGTGAAAAACCTTGTCTAAAGTTTTTCTCTTCCACTAAATTGTAGAGTATCCAAAGGGAAGAATGTTTCTGCCTTTTTCATTTTTGTATCTTCAGCCAGTACAGGCCTCGTCCATGGTAGGCACTGAATAAACATTTGTTGAATAAATGAACCTAAGACATTTTATTACAAAGTTCAATTCAGCTTAAAGGCAACATAATATATTGATTAAGAACATGGGTTTGAATTCTGGGTTCACTGCTTTGTGACGTAGGGCAAGTTGCTTAAATCTCTCTTAGTTTCCTGATGTTACTTTAACAAATTATCACAAACTTAGTGGCTTAAAGCATCAGCAATTTATTCTTTCACATTTCTGGAGGCTAGAAGTACAAAATCCAGCAGAGCCACACTCTTTCTGGTGGCCCTGGAGTGGAATTCATTCCTTGTCTCTTAGTTTCTGAGGGCCCTGGCATTCTTGAGCTTGTGGCTGCATCACGTGATCTCTGCTTTCATTTTCACATTGCTTCCTCCTCTGTGGGTCCATCTAAAAACTCCCTCTGTCTCTGTCTTATAAGGACACTTGTAGGCATTTAGGCTTCTGGGGATAATGACGGATAATCTCATCTCAAGATCCTTAATTTAATTACATGTGCAAAACCCCTTTTCCAAATAAAGAAAAATTCACAGGTTCCAGAGTTTAGGACATGGACACATCTTTTGCAGGCAGGATGTCACTATTCAAAATACGACTTTTCCCTAAGGCTCAGTTTTTCATCTGTAAATCTGTCACAGTATCTCAGAATTTTTATGAGGATTAAATGTGACAATCCATGTAAATCACTTAACATGGTTCTTGGCATATCATAAGCCCTCGATAGATGGTAGCTATTAATAATTGGTATTATTTCATGAGAAAGGGAGGTGTTACTCCCGATGTCCATAAGGAACAAGTGATGGAGTTATGCCAACACATTCAGATATTTTAAAAATATATCAATATCACTATCAATCTACCCTTTTCTGTATTTATTTTATGAGTTCTGGGGCTTGTGCTTAGCCGTCTCACATATGTCATTACATTCTGTACTTACAACAACACTTGAAGGCTGGTATTCTCCCCATTTTACAGATGGGGGAAAAAATCCAGATCTTAATATTCAAGAATCTGGAGTTAGCCACAGAGCTTAAATATAAACCAAGGACTTCTCACTCCAAGCCCAGGTCTTGTCTACATTACCTCAGAAAATTGAGGACAGAAATTGACAAAGTGCCAAGCACCTATACTTGTATTAATCACTTGTTAGAATATCATGAAGAGTCAAACTACAAGGCAGGTTAGCCTAGAAGAACTCTAAAGCAGTGATTCTCAAACTTTGTTGCACACTAGAATCACCTGGAGACCTTTTAAACCTCTCAAATCACAGGCTATACACCAGACCAATAAAATAAGAATGAGGGGAGGAGGAGAACAGACCCAGGCATTAGTAATTTTTAAAATTCCCCAGGTGATACCAATTACAGCTGAGGTTAAGAATTACTGCTCTATCACTGGTCCTCAAACTTTAGTGGGCATCAGAGTCACCTGGAAGATGGTAACAATGGAGGGGAATAGGGTCTAGCCTGATTCAACGAACCCGGGTCTCTCCAAGTGACTCTAACACCCACCAAAGCTTGAGGACAGCTACTCTAAAGTAACTTTCGGCTCCCGTATTCTGATTTTCACCACTCATTCATTTCTCTCTTTATTCAAACAACTGCACTAGATGTTGGAGAGATAAGGATGCATAAAGAAGACATGACTTCTGATCTCAAGAAGTTCACAGCTTGACACGCTGTTCTTTTCTCTCTCAAAGCCCTCTCCATACTGCTTTTCCTGGTCAACCTCTCTTTGAATGGGAGACACATGAGGGCCTTGCTTGAAATGACGAAGATCTTCAATAAAATTTCTTGCATGAGGAAAGAAGAAGAATGGGGAGAAGAAGAGGAAGAACATACATGCAAACAAGCATCACCTGGCATGGGGAGGAACAAGGTGTGATCATCAGTGGGAGAAGGTGGAGTCAGGGAAGTCTTCTTGGAAGTGGTGAAGTGTGAGCTGGGTCTTTAACAATGACAAAAGGTTGGGGGAGGGTGTTCTCATCAGAGCAAATAGTAAGGTTTGCACAGATGCTTGAAATAGGATGTTGTGTTTTAGAGCACAACAAGCAAAGGTGGAGAAGGAGAAGCAGGAAACTGAGGGAGGAGCCCCATGGTAAAGCACTTTGTATAATCTCCGTTTCCCCTCCCTTTAGCCAAGCAGACCTTTTAAGTCCGAAAGTCCCAGCAAGTCTTTAGATAAGGTTAACCAAAGCTGTGGGCCCAGGGCTAGGAAAGACTTCCATGATCCCTGTGAGCAGGACCCTAGTCCATAGGTTTCTGGAAGTACCTTGAGGCCAAACTGTAAAGCCATTTTTGAAGTGGGTGCAACAGGAGGAGATAGGCTTAAATCCAAACTAAAAGACACACAGGCAAGGAAAAAACAGCCTGGGAAAAAGCCAGACACTCTTTCTCTGTGACTGCCTTATTATTTATGAGTCCAGAAATGTGCCTCGTCTTAGCCAGTAATTACTGAAAATAGTACCAAGGGAGTAAGGAATCTGAGACTCAAGATATAAGGTAGATAAGCTCTCTCCTCATTCTAAATGGTAAAAACAGGAGCACAAACACTTCCAAGCTTGCTCGGTTGCTCACCTGCCTGGGCTGGGGCAGCGGTTGCTGGGAGGATGGAGGTGGGGTTCTATGCTGCTCACACAGCCATCTGCAGAGCACCCACAGGGCCTCGTTCCTCTAGGCTGAATGCCCCCCTAACAGCACAGATGGGGAGATGAGGAATGATGGGAGGGCTTGGGTGCCAAGAGCTGGAATAACCGGCTGGAAAGACCCCTACATGGTGAGGAAGACCCTTTCTGCTCCATTGATGGCTGGATGGCAGGGGGGCTGATGGCAAATCTCTCCCCTTTGAGCAGGTTTTGAAGAATCAAGATGGACCATAAACGGTCATTTTCCCTCTATTTCCGGATAGAATTCCATATCCCTCATCTTGCCAATGCCTTTCCCTAAAGTGAATAGACTTGTCAAAAAGGATTAATACCGGTCTTAGAGAGAGAGAGCTGCTTGGTCAAAGGGAACTGATTTTCATGTTGCATGCTTCTATACTGGGTGTAAGCAAAGGGAATAAGAGCTGGTTGCCAGCAAAGGGATACAGGAGATATACAGCAGGCAAGAAGCTCCCCGCATATATCCAAATCCCTGCTCTCCTATCAGGAAGGTGTTCCTGGCTGAGTGTGGTGGCTCATGCTTGTAATCCCAGCACTTTGGGGGGCCGAGGGGGCAGATTGCTTGAGCCTAAAAGTTCAAGACAAGCCTGGGAAACATGGTGAGACCCCGTCTCTAAATACAAAAATTAGCTGGACATGGTGCACCTGTGGTCCCAGCGACTTGGAGGCTGAAGTGGGAGGATTGCTTGAGACTGAGAGATGGAGGCTGCAACGAGCCATGATCACATCACTGGACTCCAGCCTGGGCGACAGAATAAGATCTTGTCTCAAAAGAAAAAAAAAATAATAATCCCTATGTGTTTTTCGCCTTTTAACCCACAATATTTTTCTCCACAGATGAGAAATTACTCCAGATATTGCTTGTCTCTAATCATATTAGTGGTCAATTTGTAATCTAGTTATAATAATGATCAGACTATAATCAGTAATGATAATCCCTTACACATAAAATCTTTATATATATATATATAATTATATTTTAAGTTCTAGGGTACATAAAGCATTATATACACACACACAAACAAAATCAGTGTTTAGAAACATTTCTTTTTATAAAAAGTAGTTCCTAGAATTTTAAAGCTGGAATGGATATGAGAGCATTTCCTTTTGCTGCAAGGAGGAAACAGGTTACATTTACCTAAGGTTCCAGCAATTGTTTCCTGAGAGCAGCATTATCTAATAGAAATAAACTGTGAACCACAAATGTAAGTGAGAAGTGTAATTTTAAACTGTCTGCTAGCCACATTAAAAGGGATCAGGTACTATAAATTAATTTTAATGTATTTTACTAATTCAATATATGAAAATATCATTTCAACATGTAATCAATGTAAAAATTATTAGTAAGATATTTTCTTTTCTATATTAAGGCCTTGAGATCCAGTGTGTTTTACACTGATGCTACCCCTCACTTTGGACTGTCCACATTTCACATTCTCAATAGACATAGGTGGGTAGTGGCTACTATACTGGTTCACGCAGCATTGGAGTCTCAAAATGGGTAATGCAGCCAGAACAAGGATTGATGCCTCCCTTTCAACAGGTGAAAACCCTGAGGCCCAGAGCTTAAATAGGTCATTGACCTGGTGATGGAGCTGAGCTGGAACTAGAACCTAGATTCCTTGTTAAAGTGCTGTTTCCTCAAATCATGCTGCCCTCCCCTTGGGAAACAGAAGGGAGTTGGTGGGGAGGGGGCGGTCAAGAGAACTACCAGTAGTGAGCACCTATATATGCTAGAGACTGTGATGAGATTTATATTTTATTTAATTCATACACCAGCCCTTTCAAGTACATATCACTCCTCTATTTTCCATATGAGGTTAGAGAGGCTCTAAGTGTTTTAGTAGTTGATAATGGCAAGGTGACAACCTTTAAAGAAAATGGTGCTATCAATATTAGAAAGATGTTGCTTACGACCCCAACCAGCTACCAGTTTTGAAGCTGGAACACAAGGATGGATAAGCTCTCAGACACCCCAGTCCTAGGAAGACTGTTCATCAGCTTGCCACGTGCCAAGAGCCAAGGCAAGATCCAGTCTATCCTTACAATACCACCTTCAACCCATAGCTCCAAATATATACAATTAAAGCACAAGAAAACGACTCAGTCACCCCATTCTGACTAGCTAAGCATCAAGCTCTAAGCTATAGGCCAGTCAATACCATTTAAATAGACCATGTGCCAAGGACAAATCAAGTAACAGAGTGGGGACAAGAGGGAGCAAACCACTCCTGAGCTAGAGAACCTGGTCATAGGCCTTGATGGTGAAGCTTCGAGGGAAGAGGCAGGCCAGGGGGCTGAGTCTAAGATGTATCTGTATGTTGTGACCGAGCAAGCAGCTATCCTATCACAACATGGGCATGAATCCCATAGACATGCTAGTTGGCTAGGAAAACCACCTTAGGTAATTGATATGGTTTGAGTGTCTTAACCCAAATCTCATCTTGAATTGTGTCTCCCACAATTCCTATGTGACGTGGGAGGAACCTGGTGGGAGCTGATTGAACTATGGGGGCAGGTCTTTCTTGTGTTGTTCACGTGATAGTGAATGAGTTTCATGAGATCTGATGGTTTTAAAAACAGGAGTTTCTCTGCACAAGCTCTCTCTTTGCCTGCCACCATCCATGTAGGACTTGACTTGTTCCTCCTTGCCTTCTCCTATGATTGTGAGGCCTCCTCAGCCATGTGGGAATGTAAGTCCATTAAACCTCTTTTTCTTCCCAGTCTCGGGTATGTCTTTATCTGTAGCATGAAAATGGATTAATACAGTAACAGATACATATATCTCCATCCACAGGTGAGCAAAAGGAAGCTCAGAGTCATAGTAACTTTAGAGCCCATGTTTATAAGACCCACACTGCACACTTCCCTGCTAAAGCTCCAACCTGGTAAAGAAAGCCATTTGAAAAGGCAAACCAGGACAAAATGTGTATATATATATATATATATATATATATATATATAGTGTGCGTATGTGTATATATATATATAGTCTGTCAGCACAGAGAACTATTTGCAGTTGGAAACAGGCCTCAGTATTTTTTTTTTTTTAAGTAGTAGGTTCCCTCCATTTCTGCTGCCTATGGGAGCAATTTCCAGCCCCTTCTCCAAAAGAAACATTTGGCTTTCTATAGAGAACCTCTGAAACCTCTTGTGACTGAGTATGGTAGAAGGGGAAATAGGCCCTTATCACACCCACCCCAACACTCTTATGGGGAAGCTGAGGTTGAGCCCCTGTAGATCCATTTATTTTAGGCAGTATTTGGTTCTGAAGCAGTTGTTTCAGAAATTACCCCCTTGACCCATCAATAGTAGCTTTCAGCGGCTCTTCCAGGGTGGCCTTGTCTCTTTTAAATTTCATTTCCTGTTGGAAAGGATAGACAGGTAACTGGTTAATGCCAGTGACTGGACTCATGTAACAGAACACTGGGACCTGAGTGTGGCTGGGGAGCTGCTGTGGGACTGACAGGTGGAACACAGCAGCTGGGTGAAGAGGAAGGCATTAAAGCCCACCAAGAGATGGATTGTATTTTACTGCTTCTCCACGTGAGGGAACTTGCCCCACAGGAGGAGGGGATATGAATGCACTCAGTTGTCACAACAGACATGGTCCTTGGACCTGGCCCTGAGGCCTTGGTGGGAATCCTGGCACTTCCCCTCCATCAAATCCTTTAGCCCAAATGAGCCTCTGTTGCCTATCTGTTCTATTGCAAAGGGTGGTGTGAATTCAAATGATGCGTGCAACCTGCTTAGCAGGTGCCTCACGCCTGGTAGGCATTTACACACCATAACTGGGATTTGAACCCAAATAATTTAATGCCATGTTTCCTACTGCATGTTACCTACTGCATGGTGTTAGACAATAGATAAGGCAAACCCTGACTTTAAAGAGGCAGGCACGAAATAGATAATTTCAATACACCGAGGTAAGGATTCTGATCAAGATAGACATAGGCTAATACGGTACCCCATAATTTGGAGCACTGTTGATGTCATGGTCAAAGGGGTTGATGGAAGGATTTGTTAATCATCTGTCTCTTCCTCCAGGAGGTTCCAACAAGGAAGGAATACCACCTGTGTTATTCAGAAGTATGTCCATTAGGGGCACTGCGGGGAAATGGGGAAGGAGGGAATGTTCAAGGTGTGCTTAAGTAAAAGAGGGGTTAGCCAAGTGAAGAACAAACCCAGTCAGAGGAAGCTGCATGAACAAAGGTATAGAGGCTGGAAAGAGAATGGTATGTTTAGGGAATCGGAGGCAGATTATTGAAATAAATTGAATATTGAGTATGGGGACAGGAGGTAAGATAAGAAGAGTCAGTAGGGGTAAGACCATGGAGAATCTTGTGTTGCCAAGCTAAGAAGTATGTCACTTGTATGAATGAACACTAAAGTGTGGAAGGCCAGAAAGGGATGATTTATCAGAATCTAAGATGTCTACCCCAACCCTAAAATATGCCTGCCTTACCAGACTGTTGAAGTACGCATGATATTTTAATATCAAGCCCAAAGTAATAACCATATTAACCCAAAACAGCTATCACTTCTTACTCTCCAATGAGTTTATCAGATTTGCTGGCCAGGTGAATTTTCACAACAGCCCTATGCAGTAGGTGCTTTTCTTACCTCATCTTACAAATGAGAAGACCAAAGCAGATAGGTTGAGAGGCTTGCTAAAAGTCACACAGGAAACGCATAGTGGAGTCAAGATTCAAACCTAGTCAGTCACCCTGGCTCAAGTCCATTTTCTAAACCACCGTATTATCTCAAATCTGTCTCCCAGATCACTACTATTCTTGACCTGAGTGTATCACTTTAAGACCATTTGATAAACTTCTAATTTCCATAGCTCTATTCTTCAATTATATAATTTTGATTTAGTTATTTTGAAATATGCCTTTTTTGTCATATTATCTTGCATTTGCCCCATGGTTTCTACTTTTTCACCATGAAACGTTTTAAACATATATACTCTCTCAAATTGGTCCACTGTGTTTAGTTTCTAAGGTATGAGCTTTTCCATGTGTTTTGTCTGCTAACCCTTACTAATGGTGGCTTTCTTCCCCTCCCTTGTATGCATTATAATTTTTTAAAGTAAGCTCAACATCAGCAGGAGTTTGCCATTGTTGTTTTGTGGTTTTCATTTTTAAAATTTTGTCTTTGGTGGAAAACCTTCATGCATGAGGATGTTGAGACATTTTTAAGAGCTGGTTTTAGGTTTGCTGCTGTCAGTGTCTCCTAGTTTAATCAATTCCAGGCCAAGTTTTTATGTTACCATCTTGGTTTGTGGCTTGTGCAATACCTGAGAAGAACCTCAACCCCACTCCCACATGTAGTACAGGCTGAGGTTTTGATTTCTCCTGGGTGATCCCAATGGCCCAAGGTGCTTCATAGATTTCTGTATCACATCCTCAGCAGAATTTTCCTTATTTCATACTTAGGCCAGTCATTCTTCATTCATATCCTAACGCAGGGAGTTTGTTTCCTGTGGCTCCAACTCTTATCCCCATGGGATACCAAAACTCTAGGCCTTAGAGAGTACCCATAGTTTTCAAATTATCATGGACTCTTTTGCTTAATTCCTCCTCAAAGATCATTGTACTAGTATTGAACTTGTTCTTCATTTCTGGAACCTAGGGATTTCACCTCTTTGTGTACCAGCTTGGCAATGGATTATTTTCTTCATTGTATATTTCACTAGTATCTCTCTGTGATTGGAAGAAGTGTCTCTTGAAAGCTCAATCTACCAAATTGACCAGAAGGCTTTGATTATGCATTTAGCTATCAGTCTTTCCAAATAGTCTCTGAGTTCATGGAGGACAGGGGCCTTTGCCTGGTTTATCTTTATATCCTAATTTTCATAGAGTTCCTAGACCAGAGTAGGAATCGATAAGGTTTTGATCAACAAATGATCTTCCTCTCTCATTCAAAATGGAAATTAAAGAATATACACTAATTACCTTCTAGAGAAAGATGATGCCAAGCATCCTCGTACCTCCAGAAAGCCATCCATACTCTCTGGAAGTCTGTGTTGAACAAATAAAGGAGTCTGGGGCCTGCCTTTATCCTTCCCTTCAGCCAGCAGGTTCATACTATTGACACCACTACTTTCTTAATGGGCAACTACTACTAATTACAGTGCTGGTCTGGTAGAAATTCCAAGTCTGGCAGGCTGGGTTCTAGACTGCTGGCTCTGCTGCCTTTCTTAGCACACATTGATGCTTTTCTATTGCCATAACTGGAATCTGATCAATAACATGCAGTGTGCAATGATATAATTTTTCTGTTGGCACCATAAGGAACTTGCAGAATAAGTTCACAAAAAAGCACCCAGCACAGTGCCTGGCACAGAGCAGGTACTAAGTTAATGTTCAGGGTCTTTTATTTCTTCTTTTCCATTAAACATATTCTATAAATATTTGTTGAAAATCTGCTTTCTAGGCATTGTGGTTGATGCTGGAGGTGGAGAGGAGTAACATGGAGTGCCTGATTTAATATTTAATAGAAAAATAATGTCAGGTCAAATTTGGCAATAGAAAAAATATTCTAAATGTCCTTTGATTTAAGGTGAAAAGACATCTCACTTCATTCCACCATCCTAAAGTGCCTAGTAAAGTATAACCAGCAAAATAACTTCACCCATTGCTGTTTTATAAAATAAACTTATCTCTTCTCAGAGAGGAAATACAACTTACAGTGAATGTATTAGTAGATGTATTAGTTTGTTCTCATGCTGCTATAAAGAACTGCCCAAGACTGGGTAATTTATAAAGGAAAGAGGTTTAATTGACTCACAGTTCTACATGGCTGGGGAGGTCTCAGGAAAGTTACAATCATGACAGAAGGCACCTCTTCACAGGGCGGCAGGGGAGAGAATGAGTGCCCAGCGAAGGAGGAAGCCCCTTATAAAACCATCAGATCTCATGAGAACTAACTCATTATTATGAGAACAGGATGGGGGAAACCACCCTCATGATTCAATTATCTCCACCTGGTCCCTCTCACAACACGTAGGGATTATGGGAACTACAATTCAAGATGAGATTTGGGTGGGGACACAACCAAACTATGTCAGTAGACAATAGAGAGCTAATCATAAAAGACCATTTATGACAATGACTTTTGAGCTCCCTTTACCACTGTAATCTCAGAACCTTGAATCATGCCTGAACTAAAGTAGAAACTCAGTAAGTTTGCTGAATGTATTTGCACACAAATATGTATGGCTATGGCTTCTCACCAGGTAAGATGTGACTCATCATTCCACACACATTTATTGAGAATTTCCTACAAATAAGAGTTTGTGCTAGATTTTGTGATGGAGACCAAAAAAAAAAAAAAGTAAGATAGAAACCCTCCTACAAGGAACTTCTAAGCTTAAGGGTGAGATAAGTATATAAATCACCATAACATCATATAGAAAATGTGAAGAGAAGAAC
The DNA here is from genome assembly GCF_000001405.40 of Homo sapiens. Lineage (NCBI taxonomy): Eukaryota > Metazoa > Chordata > Mammalia > Primates > Hominidae > Homo > Homo sapiens. Next base: position 64,010,268 of record NC_000001.11, on the reverse strand, counting down.
AGAGAAGAAAGAGAGCTATGGGAGTTTCAAAGAGGGAAAGGCCACTTCCAGCTGGAGGGATTAGACAAGACTGGATAATGTAAATTTTATGCTTGGTCTTGAGGGAGAAGTAATTTGTTGCCTTGCAAAAGGGGGAGAATGAGTATTGGCAAAGAAGAGAAGGCAATCCAGGTGAAAAGGTGAGAGCAGAGAGGCAGAAAAGCACAGGATGTATAAGAAGAAATCGAAATTTGGCTGGAAATGCATAAAGGGGAATAAAGATAACTAAGGCTAGAAAGGTAGATTGAGCCAGACTGCAGAGGTTTTGAATGTGTCCTGATGTACCACTCCAGGACATAGGGTCTTTATAAAATACCCAATGCTTAACATATGGCGGGGCTTAATTAATGCTAAACAACAATCTCCTAGCAGAAACCTGTTCCCCACGTGCACAAAGGAAGCTGCCATCCTTATGCACAGGCAATTACAAACATTCCAGATACTCGGTCCTGAACCCTGCAAGCACATCAAATGCTCATCGTGAAAGGTCACCGAGCAAACAGCTCTGATGAATCCTGGCTTGGGCTGAATCAAATCCCCTAAATAAGATCCACTAGATGTAGTGTCAGAAAGGTCAGAAATGACCCTATTTCACATCTTGAAGCATTTTTACCATGTGGAACATTTTAGAGGAAGAAGAAAAAGGAACGAGGGGGGGAAAGAAACTCTCCAGAAATAATAGAATCCCAAGTAATTCAATGTTAAATGATCACAAAGTAAGCTGGGGATTTATTTTGGCCCCCACCTCCTTGCAGTGATCTGAAAAACAGTTGATTTCAAAGAAGGTCATGCCAGGATTAAAAACAGTTCCACACCTCTTTCCTCGCCTCCCCTGTGTGCCCCCACTGTGTACCTTTGTTGAGTTCACTTGAGATGTTCCATGATGAGGTAGGCACTAATTCAGCACTGACTGACAGCTCTGTTTCTGAAAAGAAAAAGAAGGGAAGGGAGAAAGACAAGGGCAATATTAAATATAGTAATTTATAGGCTGTTAGAAGCATTAGAGGAGATTTCCAAAGGGCCTGCCTTTGGAGAGAGACCACGGCAATCCCATAGCTTATTAGACTGGAATGGTGGCTCTAGATGCCAGTAGAGGCGCCTGCATTTTAGATGCCATCCAAATGAACAATCTATTGGCCAGATTTGAAGATTTTTACTTCAAAACACTGGCTTGAAAATTAAAATGTAAAATATTACATTAACCCTCTCAACATCACTTACCACCAGAGAAATGCAAATCAAAACCACAATGAGATGCCATCTCATACTAGTCAGAATGGCTATCATTAAAAAGTCACGCTGGGCACAGTGGCTCACACCTGTAATACCAGCACTTTGGGAGGCCGAGGCAGGTGGATCACAAGGTCAGGAGTTCGAGACCAGCCTGACCAACATGATGAAACCCCGTCTCTACTAAAAATACAAAAATTAGCCCTGCCTGGTGGCATGCACCTGTAATCCCAGCTACTCAGGAGGCTGAGGCAGGAGAATCGCTTGAACCTGGGAGGCGGAGGTTGCAGTGAGCTGAAATGGTGCCACTGAAATCCAGCCTGGCTGACATAGCGAGACTCCATCTCAAAAAAAACAAAAAAAGTCAAAAAATAACAGATGCTGGCAAGGATGCAGAGAAAACGGAATGCTAATACACTGTTGGGGGAATGTAAATTAGTTCCACCACTGTGGAAAACAGTTGGGAGATTTCTCAAAGAGCTAAAAATAGACCTACCATTCAACCCAGCAATCACATTACAAGGTATATACCCCAAAGAAAATAAATTATTCTACCAAAAAGACACCTGCATCATATGTTCATCACAGCACTATTCATAATAGCGAAGACATGGAATCAACCTAGGTGCCCATCAACAGAGGACTGGATAAAGAGAATGTGGTACATATATACCATGGAATACTATGTAGCCATAAAAATAATGAAATCATGTCCTTTGTAGCAACATGGATGCAGATGGAGGCCATTAGCCTAAGTGAATTAACAGAGAAGCAGAAAACCAAATATCATGTGTTCTCACTTATAAGTGGGAGTAAAATCATAGGTACCATGGATAGGAGCAATAGACACTGGAATTACAAAAGGATAGAGGGAGTGGGGCAAGGGTTGAAAAACTACCTATTGGGTAGTATGTTCACTATCTGGGTGATGGGATCAATGGAAGCCCAAACCTCAGGATCATGCAATATACTCTCACAACAAGCCTGTACATGTACCCTCTGAATCTAAAATAAAAATGGAAATTGCAAAAAAAAAAAAAAAAGAACAAGGGCAAAATACACCTCGCCCCTAAAATACTACATTAACAAGAAAACAAATCTGCAGAAATGACCACACATAATCAAACATAAACTCCTTTTCTTGTTGAAAGACCAGTCTTAGACTAATAAATTTAATAGCCTTCCTAAGGAAGAACAACATTGCTCCTGTAACTAATTTCACTGGTCGTGTTTGGAATTGTTACCATTTCTGTGAATAGAGAAATTCGTTTCTCTACATTGGAATTTTAGGTCAAGACAAATGAAAGCTAAGTATTTGAATATAGAGAGTCATTTGTGGTAAATAACTTAAAATATAATTTTCAAAGCCATCATGAATCAAAGCAAACATACAAATCAATAATCTAAAGGACATAATACACTATGAAGTACTTATGGACTGTTAGAAGTACTTACGGGCTGTTAAAACTCTTTAATAATAGACTGTAATATACAAATAATCTTGGTTGTTGTTCTTGTTTTTTGAAAATTTAATCCACGCTACTAATATATTGTAATGGGGTTATACTAACCTCCCCTCAGGCTATGTCTACACACACACACACACACACACACACACACACTCAGAACATTACTAGAGAATATTAGGGCTGGACAGGACCTTAGAGGACCCAGGGTCATTAGCTATAAGGCATACAAGTTGTCAATCCCTCCTACTTCAATCCAGTGTAGGCATCTTTAATCAATTATGGCTCTGTTTACCTGTTAAGCCTGGGATCTGTCGTAGAGTCCTTTAAGCACAGTGCTCTAGGTAGCCACTAAAAATTGATCTGAGATAGAATGCAGGATGAACTTTATTAAGTGGAAGAATTGCAATTCAAACCCAGGTCTCTTTGACTCTAGCACTCCACACCTTCTGGCAGCCCATGCTGACCAGTACTCAAGCCTGTAAAACCTGGCTTTTTTTTTTCACCTTACCTCTGGCCTCACCTTTTCACAGAGATAAGCACATTTTTCGTATTTCCATATTTACTGATGGTGACTGTCTGCCAAATGGCCACATGTCATCGTCACTGACTAAGCTTGAACAAGAACAGGATGTTGACTCACTGAGACCTTGCAAAGGCATACTTCTAGTTTATCTCCCTGCCACAGCAGAGACAAAAGGATTGTTTGGTTTGTGCAGACCTCCTTGGCTTACCTCTTTCCTAGTCCTAGAAGCAGGTGGGAAAGAAGTAGATGAACCACACATACCCTCCCCACCTACAGTGGCCCTGGTTTCCTCCAACGTCCTGAGCCAAAAATAGCATAGACTCTTTCAAGGGGACCAGATGTCAGATAGGCAGTATGGCAGGGATCTTAATTCCAAAATATGAAAACAAAAAGAAAATTTTACCCAAGTAGGAGAAATGCTTACTACAAAGCCACAGTGGAAAGCAGTGCTTCTGTTATCAACCTCTTGTTTGGGGAACGGGTATTTCGTGCAGGTGCTTTCCCCAGAAGAGCTAATTGTCTACATTTCAGGGCCCTCCACATATGACTCCAACCCCAACTCCAGTCTGAGCCCCATGCTGCTGCCACCCACTTTGGCTCTTTCAATAATGACAGCCCTTGTTTTCAGTAGTATGGACTGCTGCGGTTCACCTATGAAAAGGCTCATCAAACACCCCGACACCCAGACTTCAGGGAGCTTGGGAATAGAAGGTTGGCAGCCAAGGCGGCATTTCAGGGAAGGAAGCATAGGTTGGAAAGTGGTGGGATTAAAATGAACCTTGACAGCATTTACATGCAATATTTTCATAGCTTCATCTTACTGCTGCTCACAGCCAGAAATATAGTTTCATTTTACAGTGTTAATTTTATAGACAGTTAGCTATATGTCACTTGGTTTTTCCAAGCTGAGTTGAATTGCTGATTGAATATAATTTGGGACCAATGACAAATGAATAGATTCTTGGCACTGCTAACACTGAAATTGTTCCCCACGTGTCCCTGGACACTAATTACCACTCAGTTCTTGGGCTGTAGCAAAGATAATTTCAATTCGCAAGCTCATTAAGTGATTGTGCTGATTCTGGGGAGTTTTGTTCTCAACTTCAAGATCCATTCCTTTAGATAACCACGTGTTCAGCTTCTCAGATAAAATGATAATAAAAACAGATAAAATATTTTAAAATATGAATAACTTCCCTGAAAAATAATATCTTCCAAGGCCATATTTTTTTAAAATAAAGGCTGATTATTTTATGTAGAAAGTTGAATATTAATAATCTCCCCTCACAAAGTGATGTTTAATAAGCTTTTTTTCTTCACTGAAAGGAAAACTGAAGTTTAAGTGAGAAAAATCAAGCACATCTCAGCTGAACTCCATCAATTCCATGGCCACCAGTGGCTTCAGAGAGAGACACGGCCACAAGTTTTGACCCTGTAGGATCTCCACTGATGGATTCCTATTCGCCTCACCACTGGCAAAAGCATGAGACATTTCCAGGTATATTTACCACCAGCCTGGCAGCCTCTCTTCACCAAAAGCATTATGGTAATAGCAAATGTGTATGTGCCATTTAGAAGACAGTAGACTATTTAATGGAAATACACACCAGATTTTAACACTACTATCTGACACTTATTAATTTTGTGATCATGAGAAAGTTACTGAACATCATTTAACTTCTATTTTCTCATCCATAAAATGGGAGCAGCAAAGGACTGAGGTAATGATTAACTAATGGACCAAAAGACTCCTGTACAGTGTCCAGCATAGAGACTCAAGGGCTTTCATACCTCTCCTTTGTCTAGTAAGGCAGACAGTGGCCATCCTCTGCATGGATGTACTTGGTTAGCTACTAAGTCACTGTCTGTATTTGAAATAACACATTTACCATGCTCTTAGAAAGACACTGCATTTCACATGCCTCACTAATCCAAGCCAGTCTTTTCATTTTGTGAGGTTTTCCTGAATTGGTCACCAGTTCTCTAAGAACATAAGTGTTTTTATATGGTTTTATCCAATTTGAGCAAACCAAGCATGTTTTAGAAAACTCCAACCCTTATCTTTCTCGACCTCTTTTAGGAGGGCAAACCTCAAAAGCTATTCTCCTCCCGATTTGATCAATAGGGGCTATTATCTTTGCAGTTTCTCGGAGGATTGACTTTTTGGCACTGATTCTGCAAACCATAAGGTTTTGGTATTTAAGCCTCAACAGTGGGAGTGTTATTTGGAAGGAAGGAAAAAGTAAGCCTTGAATCCTCCTCATTGATAAAAGCCTGTGCTCTCCGAAAGGATTACTGGTTCATCTCAGCAGTTGGCAGGTAAAGACCCAACATTCACAGGATGTGGAGGCCCTTCCAAGAAGCTCCCAGCCATGCCACATCCTGTATCCCCGATTCAGTGATGCGTGAGGTTACACAGGCATGCGCATACTCACAAGACCAGCGGCCAGCCCAGTAGCTGCAAAGGCTGAATGCAAGAGAAGCAAGTGGCTACCCCACTGCCTTTCTTGACCACTCACTGAGTCCTAGAATGTTATAACTGGGTGGGCCCTCAAGGCCCAAGACATATTTATCAAATTATATTCTTTGGATCCATGGGATTTTTTGGAGCTATTTATAGAGGAACATAAGAGGATTTGGGGTTCCAGAGGACAAGAGTACAGGCTCTAGACCCTCCTTCAAAAGGAACAACTCTACTTTTATCTATTTTATATATTGTTGTGTTTACAGGTACTGTGGAAAATGCCCCAATGTTTTAAACAATTGTTTAAAACATTATGTCATACAATCTCCTCATTTTTCAGAGGAAGCAAGTGAGGCCCCTGGTAGGGAAGTGGCTTCGCCAAAATCACAGAAGTTCTAAGATAGAGCCAGACTTTAGAGGTGGCTCAAAAGGAAATACATGCTGACTTCTCACTGAGCTGCATGTTCTGCCGTGTATAGCCATAAGATGTGGTATGTATTCTCAGAGGCCGAGCTTTGAGAGACACTCAAGGAATTTCCAAGCAGCCAGGGTCAGTCACATAGAAGGGGCACACTTTCTTCCTATGGTAAAAGAAGGCCTCCACTTGTGATCATTTGGAGGGTGGCGGGAAAACAGTCAAAGATGCTGATGGCTTTGAGACTGTTGGTTTTCAGTGTTACTTTAGATGTTGTTTGGTGAAGGCTTTTAGCCCTGTTTCTTTCCTCTCCCTAGTGCCTCAATGGAGACGCCCATAGCCAGGTAAATCACCTCAACCAAAGGCGCCTGTTTGGAAAAGTAAGAGTCTGCTGTAACTTAAAAGGACAGGCAGGCTACATTCCCCAGTAGTGCAAGGTCAGTCAACCTGAGCCATGCTCTAGCCCTAGGCTCACAATTGCCCCACATCTGGGGTCCTGAAGGAGGGGGCCTCTCCACACTAGGGACTCGGCTGACTTACTGAGGAGAGAGAAAATTTGGAGTTTTCTTCATCCTATATGGGATAGTCAGGACTGGAAAGTACTATGCTCAATGTCTACAAGGATCTTCTAGTCCTCAGTGACCTCAAATTTGGATTTCTGATGCAATCTCTAAATGAAGTTATCAATATAGTCACAAAGAAAGAAGATGGCACAATCCTGCAACTTTAAACCCCTGCTCAATTACCCAGTCACACTACCTATATTGCAGTACGAAATCACTTTTTAACCATGTAATTACATTGTAATCAGCATAATTCTTATATATGTGATGAATCCATTACTTTGTTGAAGAAAAATTCATAATATATCAAAATTTGTGCTATTATTTGTATTGTTATATGGTGAGATCTGCAGGAAAAAAAAGAAAAAGAAAAAAAAGGAAGGAAAAGGTGCCTAGGTTTTGTCAAAGTCCAAAAGACTCTGCTTGTGCTCAGAGATCTTCTCAACCGTCAACAGTCTATAAGGTAGGTACCTTTATTATCTTCATTTTATGATTGATGAACCTGAGGCAGAATGAAGGCAGCTGCCCAATCAGCTTGTCAGGGTAGGGAGGGGGATCATCATCAAATCCAGGAAGACTGAGGGCAAAGCCAGAGCATCTTCAACTGTGCCACATGGGGGATGGGGGAAGGAGCTGAGAGACATAACCACTTGCTCCCTGGCTTAAACCCCCTTCAGCCCCAGAGGTCCCCTGTGGAACTCTAAGCTCTGCAGTACATAGCTGGAGAACCAATACCAGAGGCCAAGCTCCTCAACGATCAATGTTTGTTTCACCAATTCTAAAATCCCCAAAGGATGGCACAGCACAAGGTGAGGAGAGGAAATACTTCTTGAATCACACTTAAATGCCTTTTTTTTTCCTCTTTGGAGATGCTGTTCCTTTTTTAAAATCTATTAAATTCAACCTATAGACCACATGCAGTTCTTGTATTTAAAGAAACTATGCTACAAAAAGCACCACAATGACACACATCTTTAAAGTGAATAAAAATAGACTGTATTCTTGAAAACTATATTACTTTAAAACTATCATACTTGGGCTCTCTTCCATGGAACTATAGAGATTGACTTATTCATTCATTATATATGCATATGTATTAGCACTTTCTATGTGTAAGAACTCGGATGAAAAAGCTCGAACCAGGCCGGGCGCAATGGCTCACGCCTGTAATCCCAGCACTTTAGGAGGCTAGGATCACAAGGTCAGGAGATCGAGATCATCCTGGCCAACATGGTGAAACCCCGTCTCTACTGAAAATACAAAAATTAGCTGGGCGTGGTGGTGCATGCCTGTAATCCCAGCTACTCGGGAGGCTGAGGCAGGAGAATCGCTTGAACCAGGGAGTCAGAGGTTGCAGCGAGCCAAGACTGTGCCACTGCACTCCAGCCTGGTGACAGAGCGAGACTCCGTCTCAAAAAAAAAAAAAAAAAAAAAGGTTGAACTGGTCCCTAACACCTTCTAAAACCTTACAGTCTGGTGGGAGAGGAGTACATGACCACAAACAGGCAATTATAAACAGCGTGATGGGGTTAACAATAAGACCTGACAAAAACAGCCTCCCTGTCCCCTAGCCACCACCCCCACCACAACGAGACTAAAAACTTGAAGAGTACTGAATAAAATGTCACAAGGAAATATATGATGCATAGCTGAGATGGAAAGAAAAGGAAATTCTTGGTGCCAAAAAGGATAACACAAAGTGGACGCCGATGCTGAAGGTGCCTATGAATATGGGCCCTGTGGACTGGGGCCTGCAGTTTTAATGTTCATTTAATAATCCAAGATGTAGCCCTAGGCCAGAGCGAAATCTGAGCTCCCTGCCTAAAGTCTTTACTAGAGCCTGGGAGAGCCGCCCTACCTGTGGGAAGGTGCTGGAAATACTTCTCCTAACAGTCCAGAGAAGCTGCTAGGACTCTTGAAAGTCCATTCAGGACTTGGGTGGGGTTGAGGGAAACGTCTCCATAAGACATCAAAAGCTGTGTAAAGACCAGAGAGATTCTGCACCCTTCACCCAGTTTCTCCCAATAGTTAACAGCTCACAGAATTATGGTATAATGTCAAAGCCAGGAATTTGACATTGTTAAAATATGTATATATAGTTCTGCCATTTCATTGCAAGCGTAGATTCGAGTAACCACTACCACAGTCAAGATAAAACAATTTTGTCACCACAAAGATTTCCTGTGTGCAACCCCTTTGCAGTCCTACCCATCTCCCTCCTCCCAACCATTCCTGACCACTGGCAACCACTAATCTGTTCTCCATTGCTATAATTTTGTTGTTTCAGGAATGTTGTATAAACAGACTCATTTAGTATGTGACCTTTTAAAAACTGGCTTCTTTTACTCAGCATAATGCCCTTGAGATTCATCTACTTTGTTGCATGTATCAATCGTTTGTTTGTTTTTATTGCTGTGTAGAGTATTCCATGGTATGGACATGCCACATTTTGTTTAACCATTCGCTGCAAACATTTGGTGGTTTCCATTTTCTGGCTGTTACAAATAAAGCTGTCATGAACCCATGCATAGACTTCTGTGCTAAATTATTCATTCCTGTAAAAAGGAAACTGCATTTAGAAGGAAGAGTTGTATGTAAGAAGCAATAATAAGCAAATACATTGGGAAATGTGTTTAATATTTTAAAATAAGCCATGGCTCTAAAAGTAAATATGTGATAAGAGGTAAATATGTGATCAGAGGTACAACAGAGGTAGGCACAGGGTTCTAAGACATCACTGAGGAAGAATACATATTCCCGTTTGGGGAGGAGGAATCCCAAAGGGCAGGAAGGTGGTCCTTTGAAAGATTGTTCTGGGTTAAGAGGAGACCTATGTATTAGAAAGACCATGGCACATTGGAGGAAGTGCAAATAACTCAGTAATGGTCTCACTCCACTACAGCCATAGCAACTTTTTCCAATCCAGGGCCTTCTAGTTCTTTTTGTCGTTATTTGTTTTGTTTGTTAAAGACAAGAAAGAAACATCCCAACTAGTTACTAAGGAGGCAGGATCTCCTTAGGGACAGTGGAAAGTCCTAAAATAAATTTCAAAATGGTTCATATCTTGCTTTTCCCCAAGGAGAAGTTCAAATGAGTGGACCCAAAGTTAACACTCCCTCATTCATCCATGGTGCCACTGGAGACTCAATGGATGCTTAATACAATAAAATAATTTGTTTATTTCTGGCCTCAGAAGAAGCTGGCAAAGACAGAGTATAAAAGGGAGGAGGCATGCTGCAGAATGCTTCGCTCAGAAACTGGTCTCAGCTCCCTACAGAGGTTCCATTTCATTTCCTTTCAGTAGCTGTGGACATCTCGGGTTTCCAATGACATCAACAAACTTTACTCTTTTTTTCCTATTTCCACTTGACTGCCCTTCCTTAAACATGCTTCCCCCAAAAAGTGCCTCCAGGCAATTTTTTCTTCTTACTCATCTTTCTGTGTCATCTGTCTTTGTCTTATGGAGTTTGCCATTTCATTTTCCCCTTTGTATGGCCCACGTACATTTTCATTTCATATTTTATAATCCATTTTATAATAAAAATCTATTACCTACTAATTGTCTCTGGCCAATTCAAAGTCACATGCCACTCAAAAGAAACAAGAGACACAAGGAAGATGCTTTCACAGCTGCAATTCCATGACAGACTGAGAGTTTGTTCTTGACTCTTTAAAAACAAGTGAAGTCTTGGTTAAGTCCTATACACAATGGGAATGAAGTTATACTGGGTGTTTCCTAAAGCCATAGTATATTAGCAGACAGTTTAGAAAACTATATTGCCACAAGGAGCTACACAACTCCTTATGTTCATTTGGAGTTTAATGATATTAAATTCATTTGTTTGTTCATTGATTTATCCATCCATCCATCCATCTAACAAATATTTATTGAGCACCTATTCTGTTCCAGACTAGCTAAGTGCTAGCCAGGTGCTAGGATATAATGGTGAACAAAATTGAGACAGTTCTTTACTTCATGGAGCTCATTTTCTGGTAGGAACACAGAGAAGCAAACAAAAAATTAAAGTATAATATGATAAATGCTGCAATAGGGGCCTGGGAAGGACAAAGGGCTTAGCACAGTTCTGGAGGATCTTGTCCTGACCAAAGATTTTGGTGATGAGGCTTATGTGGCTTATGGCAAACCAGATATTTAGATAGACATGGAATCCTGGATAATCTAATTTCTTCCTTTGAATAAAACAGAATTTTCCACCACAACTAAACAGTGAGCTGAGACCTGGTGAGGATAGCACCTCCCCAAGAAAGACTCCGATCTTCATAGAAAAGATGGTCTACAGTGGGTACATCTTCACCTGTCATAATCACGTATCTGTCTTTGCCTGCAAACTTGGATACTCAAAGGAGCCTTCTATTGGAAACAGAGAATGCCTCCCTCAGTTTTAGTGATTTGGCCTTGGCCATGTATACGTCTGTATTTCTGTATTAGTCTGTTTTCATGCTGCTGATAAAGACATACCCGAGACTGGGAAGAAAAACAGGTTTAATGGACTCACAATTCCACGTGGCTGGAGAGGCCTCGCAATCATGGAGGAAGGCGAAAGGTACTTCTTACAGTATGGCGTTGGCAAGAGAGGATGAGAGAGAAGCAAAAGTGGAAATCCCTTATAAAACCATCAGCTCTTGTGAGACTTAGTCACTACCACAAGAACAGTACAGGGGAAACCGTCCCCACGATTCAATTATCTCCCACTGGGTCCCTCAACACATGGAAATTATGAGAGTACAATTCAAGATGAGATTTGGGTGGGGACACAGAGCTAAACCATATCAACCTCCTAAATTGATTCTTCAATCAGAACTGAGTCTTTCTGGCTTTTATTTCCCTAGCAACATAAATATCTGCTGGGAATGGAGGGTTAGCCTAATGTACTTGTCTAAGACGTTCTAAACTTTCAGTTCCTTTTGTCTTTCTAGTTTACACTTAGCCCCTGAAAAAGATAAAATAATTGTCCATTCAACATGGTACTAGGTACAGGTTACATTATTTCTGCTCCAACCTGTGTGTTTAGAGACCAATGGCAAAATAGAATATGTAAAACAGAATATGTTGATGCACAAATTGCATCTCCTTGAAAGATTATAACACTGATATCAATAAAAATATTTTTCATGTTGGGACCTCAAACAGAAGGATGCTTCTGATTCACACTATGTTCAAATCACAGCAAAACAACCATGTAATTTAATAGGAAAGAAAATAAACCCCCTAATTCAATGATACTCAGTTTACTATTGAAAAGACAAAAAAAAAAAACCTTAAATTACCCTAATTTTCTACTTTACAATTTTCCACTTAATTTTATGTTCCTTTGGCCACCAGTGAGTATGTGTTCTTCCTTTCATTCTTCTCAGACAGTAAACTTCTTGAGAGGGAGGGTCATGTCTCATGCTTTCTTTGTGTCCTGCCTGACTACTAAATGATCCTGGAATAGGTTAGATGGGAGGCAGTTCAGCACAAGGATGAAAGGTGTCAGCTTTGTGTTGTTCAAACACAAATCCCAGCTCTGTTACACACCAGCTTAAAATTACTTCATACCTCTAAGACTCAGTTCCTCATTCATAAAATGGGCATAATAGTAATGACCTTGCAGGACTGTTATGAGGCTTAACTGGGATAATATTTGGAGATGACTTCAATGTCCAGCAGATGGTAAACTTTTAGCGAAGTAGCAGTTCTCACAATTGGGTAAAGACTTTTAAAAAAAAAAAACACTAATCATAGATACAGAAACTAACCATAGATACAGCCTGAAGAGTGTTTAATGTAATGATTCCCAAACTCAGCTGGGGAGCATGTTAAAAAAAATAATGATTTTTCGACCCCTGTCTCTAAACTATTGAATCTCCCTAGGTGAGTCTTAACATAACCTGCAGCCTAGCACCGATCCTCTACAAACCACCAGGGTAAGGAAACCCAGATAATATGTCTGTAAAAATAACTGAAAAACACAAAAAGCTTTAAATGAACTGAGAACTTTAATGTAATTTAAGAGTCTAGGGGAAAGGGAGTTAGCCAATTAAAATGTTACTTTTGCTTTTGTCATAAAATTTCAGTGTGGGCAGCAACCTCAACATTGAGACAGCTCAATGAATATTAACCAACAACAAAACTGGTACCTCTTGAACGTCTTTCAAAGCCAAATATTTAGGTCTAACTTGAAGGTTCTCTTAATTGGTTGACCACTGAATTAGACAACTATACTTTTACATAGAAAATTATTTTCCTGCAAAAAGCAGTGTGTAGTATTGTCTTAGCCTTTCTCTATTTTACATAGGATTTCAATGGCTGTGATGTCTGTGGAGCCCTCCATTATAAATGGGCAAATTGGGCAAGCCCTAAAAACGTGCAGCCATCCTACTCTAGGCATAGATGGGGAGAAAAACAAACCCCTTTTCAGCCTTGATTCTCAGCCACTTAAAGCATTTACAAAGAGAAGCCCACTTTGGCTGCAGTTGAGAAAGCTATTAAGATTCCAAGCACCTTACAGTAATACAAGTACCTTGTATTTAGGTAGCACTTTTCCTTTCAAGAAAGTCCGTACACAGAACAGACATTAGCTCATGACTCCACATGCAAAGGATCAAGGCCTGAGATAATCATACCCTGGTTGGACTTGAAGAAACCCAGACTCGGGCAGAGAACTTGCCTAAGGTCCCCTGACATGTCACCAACTGCCAGAACATAGCCATGATCTCTCCTCACCCAATCCTGGCTCCACTCAGGCTCTCTACTGCACTGCTGGTAAAGTCCCTTTCCCAGTTTTTGTTTTTGTCTAACCCCCTCTAGCGCACTGTTAATTCAATTATTTCAAAGCTCCAAACTGTGAGGCGTGAAAGGGGGGAAAAAAAGAACTATTTTCAGAAAAATATATTAAAAGTGTGATTTATACCTTCTGGCTGTCCCTGGAAATCAAGTGTTTAAGTTCATGGGATTGAGGGACTCCTGGATTAGTGGAAATTATCTTAATCAGAGAGATAAATTTAAGAGGATTACTATCATCCTGCAAGACAGTAAGATGGTTTTGCTCCAGCCATATTAGCCTGGGCGTGTAGAATCTGGATGGCTGGCAATGTTCAAATACTTAATTCACCTGAAATTGCACCAGTTTAAAATGTTTCGCCTGTCTGGACTGGGTTTCCTGCACCATGTCATTACTGATAGCCTGGGGAGATCAATAATCAAAGTTAAATCGAGGAAAACATTAGCAGAGCATAAGTTGGGACGAGAATCTCTTCCCAGAGCCTTTTAGTTTAATTTCTCCCTCTTCTGAAACCCCACAGTATTTTATCTGTTCCACTCTTAAGAGACTTTGCACTTTGTAAGGTGATCTACAGTTTCTTTGGGGGTACATCTTTTTAATAAGATTGTATGCTTCTTGAGGCTGGGGATGAGATTTTACTTTCTTCTACGTTACTCACAGTATCTCACAGTATCAATGTTGCACCAAACTCATAGTAGGTAGTCAATAGACGTTTTCTGAATGCATAGGTGATATGATAGCTGCATGCTCCCTATATTATCACATTTATTCCTATAAGGTAGTGTAGTAGACTATAAAATGCCCACAATTTATTCCTCCCTGTATCCACATCTTTTTGTATCTCCTCCAATGAAGAGGTGGAGTGTATTTCTGTACCATTGAATCTAGACTTGCTTTGGCTAATAGCATGTGCCGAGATCACCTTGGCTCAGTCCAGATCAGAGAACCGCCTAACCAATCTTTTTTGATAATAGCTATAATAATAAATAATAGCTCATTTATTCTTCAGCTAAATAAATGCTCATTGTTTTAAGACACTATATTTTGGGGTAATTTGTTATATAGAATTATTTGTGGGTAATACATGTCCATTTACAGATGAGAACTCTAAGGCTCAATGAGGTTAAGAACTAATCTAAAGCCATAGATTGACAAAGCCAAGATTTGAAATCCAGTCTTTCTGATTGCAAAGCCCATAATCATTCCACTAAATAAGCTGACCAGATTTCAAAAATCCTTGTGCATTCAGAAATAAGTTTGAGAAACTGAAGGCAAAAGACAAATGGAGGGAGGAACTTACTTTCATTGTTGTGAAGCGCTACGGAGAACTGCCTATTAGAGTCATCTTAGTCTGACAGGGTCTTGTGTTGGCAGCTCATTTAATCAAATTTGAGAGAGGCAAAAGTACAGGAGGTCTCTTTCAAACAATGATCCGGGAAGAATGATATTCTCACATCCAAAAGTACAGAGTTCAGCTAATAACAACTGCTATTTAAGCTTGGTGAGTTTGTCATTCCCTAATCCAGTATGTATTTTTTCATTATCTTATTAGAAAAAAAAATAATTTTCCATGTAATTAATTTTGCAACTCCTTTTCATTAGCCATCAACCTGCCAAGACTGTTCTGGCTTTTACATCTGATGGAAACAGTTTGACTTGGTTGCCGGGTGTCAATATCTACATCCAAAATGAAATGGCATTCCACCTGCAGCTTTTATAAACAACCTAGCTGTTTGTCGCTGCCTGCATAGGAACTTTCACAAAAATGCAAGACCACCTTTGGATTTGCCAAAGATCTGCCCATATGTGGAAAGGGAGGGCTCTCCCTCCTCCCACAGCTATCAGCATTTCAGGAGGCCTTTCCAGTCAACTGCAATGAACAGGAACGACCAAAGCTACTGTGCACTTGATGGATGAGGCAGCCTGTCTGATCCTGTGTATCTCCTTCTGAGATGGGCAACTTGATCTCTGGCTGATAAGAGGATGCTCAGAGGTGGTGTATACTTTTCCCATATGGAATGTGGTCATCCATTTTCAGTCAGGGATGACGGAGGTATTTGGGGGAATTTGCTGTGGCTGGTGGAAGCACTTGGGAGAGAGAAGCAATGCAATGAGTTTCACTTTACTACCTCTCCCTTAAGTTCATGTCACCGTCCCACACTGTGAGCTATTCCACTAGGAGGACCCTCTTCTTCAGGCCTTTCCCCACAAGCCTTCTCCATTGTCTGCATTTTTTCTGACCTGCTGCTTCAAGGTCCTTGTAGTGTGAAGACCTTTTCAAAGTTTGACACAAAAATCTATAAGCCTTTAAAAAGGTAATAAATTTGACCGTATTAACCATTTATGACTAGTGTTCCATTATTGGAAGGCTAAGCACGTGAGAGTTATTGATATCCTACTGCTCAAGGTCCCCGCCGAGGTCTGATTGCAAAAATTCAAAAAATTGCTACTTAGGCATAAATGGGTTATTAATATCAAAAGACATATGTCAAACTAGGGAGACAAAATTATTGCAGCTCAAAAGGCAAAGGGCTACAATATAGTAAGCAAAATTTCCTACCAATCAGAAAGAAAAAAAATCCAAGGAGGAAATAGATAAGTGGACAAAGGATATGAGTGCACAATTTACAGATAAGGAAATGTAAGTGGTCTTTAAACATATCAAACATGATAACCTGACTGATAATATAAAAAATGTTATATAAAACTTCAATGAGATGTTATTTCTCCCCAATCAGATTGGAAATATGAAGAGTTTGATAACTCACTATACTGAAAGGGATATGAACAATCAGGAACCCTTATATCAAAAGCAGCATAAATTGGTACAACTTGACAATATCTATGAAAGTTTAAAATGTTAATAACTGTGTGTACATCAATTCCACTTCTAGGAATTTAATCTGACAGATGCCCTCAAACATACATGAAATGATATTGTTACAACATTTTCATGGCAGTATTGTCTATAATATAAAATGATTGGAAACAACCTACTTGTCCAGCAATAGCAGACTACCTAAATAAATTATGGCTATCCAAAATTCACAATGAAATACAATGCAGCTGTTATAAAAAAACAAGGAAACTGTATGCACTGTATTTGGAACAATCACCAAAATAAATCATTAGGTTTAAAAATAAAAGCAAAGTACTCATAGTGTGTATACAACAATATAATTTATGCAAAAACAAAAATGTGCTTGTGTGTTCTTATACACAGATACATATGGAATGTATAATATGCATTATGTATGCATACTCTTACATGTATAAATATACATCTTTATAAAATATCTATAAAAGAGATGCCCCAAAATTGGGAACAGTGTCTACACCAGAGAAGGGGAACTGGTGGTTTCAAGTCAGGGGCAAGCAGGATGTTTTACTGTACATCTTTTTGCACTCTTAAAATTCTATACCATGTGCAAAATGGGAGAATTTTTATTAAAAAGAGTTCAATTCTCAAAGATTCCTCTGTCAAATGACAAGTGTTTCTTCTGAGGTATGCCCGGAGTTTTACGGGACTCCATAGAAAGAGCACCTCATAAGAGCGAGTAGGAGGGCAACAGAAATGAACATCTCAGGTTGCCAAGGGATACTGACTTTTGAGTTGAGTTTTAAGGATGAGTAGACATTAGAAATGTAGACAAAAGATTTTTCTGCCCCAGGGAGCCATACTAATTTGGGGAACTGTAAACAGTCACTTAGGTATCGCTGCATGTCCATATTTGTATATTTTGAGTACTGATCTTTAAATCCTTCGTGTTGGACACTTATTAGGTATCTAATATTTGCTGACTCTGACTGGCAGGCAGAAAAAGACATGGGTTAAGAGATGCAGAATCTACCCTAATGGCTCACAAATTCATAAGGGGTAGTTGTGACAGTAATGAGCAGGAAGAAGAGGCAGGAAGAAGAGGAGGAGGAGAACTTCAGCAAAGTCTACACTCATTAGCAGAGCAATCATACTAATAACATGCTATCTATCCATGAGAGTTTGCAAAGCACATTTATACATTTTCACAAACATTTGCTGATGTGTTATTATCTTCATTTTGGTGGTGACAAAACCAAGGATTAGAGGGTGATGTGCCAAATGTCACTGCTAAAAAGATGCCAAATTAAACTTGAACCAATAGTTCTTTCCCCTGTTCACCAGTGGCTTCTGTTTAAACTACCAGTAACTCAAGCCTTTTACTAGGATGTGTCTATACAGTCCATCTCTTTAAGCACAAATACCCTGAGCAGAAGTCTGCATTAAATAATTAACCTGGCCTGACACGGTGGCTCACGCCTGTAATCCCAGCACTTTGAGAGGCCAAGGCGGGTGGATCATGAGGTCAGGAGTTCAAGACCATCCTGGCCAACATGGTGAAACCTCATCCCTACCAAAAATACAAAAATTAACTGGGCGTGGTGGTGTGTGCCTGTAATCCCAGCTACTCGGGAGGCTGAGGCAGGAGAATCGCTTGAACCAGGGAGTCGGAAGTTGCAGTGAGCCGAGATTGCACCACTGCACTCCACCAGCCTGGCGACAGAGCAAGACTCCATCTCAAAAAATAAATAAATAAATAAATATAATAATAATAATAATAATTAACCTATTCCACAGATATTTGTTCCATTCTCTGCTATTTAATGTATCACACAGTACTAACAGACTCTGACATATACAAGGGTTGTCGGGTTTTTTTAAGTTCATAAAATAAAAACATGTATCAAAAGAAATTCTTCCCAAAAGTTACAATGTTAAAATATAAGGTCAGGGATTTTGGTCACACTAGACAGACATTACTACAGGTGTTTACATTCTCCTTTCCTATTCGTCACATTATGTTCTCCACACTGAATCATGAAATGTGAGTGGTAGAGTTAGTCAAGCGAGACAGGTGACAGAAGAGAGAAGGGTCATTGCATTTCATGACAACCACATTAGTGATGTTATACTGGCTTCTACAACACCCTTAAAGGTTAATAGCTACCTTCTTTGTTGCAAAGACACCTCTAGGCCTTTCTTTCTTCTCCTTAAAGAAACCCAACAGCATTAACTTCTGATGTTTTCCAACTTCCCCAGGTGGCAGATCACAAATAATTAATGTAAGAAAAGTGAAGTCTACCACACAGATAAACCAAACATAGCCCAAATTAGACCTGGAAGACAACAGGCCCATATGGGTGAAGAAGACCTGCCTCTTTCTGTCTTTCCTTGGAAATTGGTTATTTTTCTACGCCACCAAGTAATGCCTTTGTTGGGGTCTCACCAGGCAGTGTGGCATCATTCCAAATGCATATATGGCAAACAGGCAAACTAAGAAGGGACCACTTTGCCTTGACTTTGCAAAATAAGATCTGCATATCAGCAATCTGGCAACTGCACATATCTGAAAAATGGCTGTGATCTATAATATTTTTACAGCTTGTCAGTGTTCTGAGTGGTTAATGTAGAAGTCACAAAACTCATGCCATAAAGCTCATGTATGTCCATCATAAGTAAATCTACCAGTCCTTTACTAAAGATAGGGCTTTTAGGCTGGGCACGGTGGCTCAGTCTATAATTCTAGCACTTTGGGAGGCCAAGTCAGAAGGATCTTTTGGGGCCAGGAGTTCAAGACCAGCTTAGATAGCATAGTGAGACCCTGACTCTACAAAAAAGCAAAACAAAACAAAACAAAACAAAAAACAAACAAACAAAAAACCCTGGCATGGTGTCATGCACCTGTGGTCCAAGCTATTCAGGAGCCTGAGGCAGGAGGATCACTTGAACCCAGGAGTTCAAGGTTATAGTGAGCTGTTATTGCACCATTGCACTCCAGTCTAATAAATAAACAATTTTTAAAAGACAGAGTTTTTCATTTATACATAGTTTTAATATGCCTTTCAACTATAATAGTGCCTTATATTAGGAGGATTCTGGGTACTCTATTAAAATGCCAAGAAATGAGTTACTCCTCCCTCTCCTTCACTTTTTGTTTTGTTTTTGTTCTATTTTTAAAGAAAGGAAGAGAATCTGGCTTTTACCTTTTTTTAATGTAAACACATAACATGTGTTTGGGAGGATAATACATGAGGAACTAGGTTTTCAAACACACAGTGGAGGAGCTGGGACAGAGCACCATTCAAATATTTTATCTTTGACAAAATTACAACTTCCCTTCTCAGGAATAGAGGTTTGGGATTTTTGTTTTTAAAGGTAAAAAGGTTCATAATAAAACTGAAAAGTCTTCTTGGATGTCAACGAGCTCATAAAGAAAAGACATTTAGATGAGTTAGGCATGTAAATCCAGAATTCTTTCAACTGCTTGGGAACTTTCAGAAACAGCACTGGTATTTCTAAGGCACTCTATTCACCCTCCTAAGGGCAAATTTAGAAACTGATAATTTCGCTTGGCATTGAAGAGTCCAGGAATTACAGGACAGGGTGGGGTGGAGTGAAGCCCTCCCTACACTTTCATGTCTGAAGACCCACGTTCAAAGTGCTCCTTGGAGTTCCAGCCAAAATACTCTCCCACTCTAGCCTTCTCTTCCTGGGCAAGTCTTTAGGTATTCCCTTCAGCAACAGAAAAGGCTCAAACTCTAGCCAATGCCCTCTGTGGTTTTTGTGATTGTGTCAGAAGACACAGCTCCATGTCTCAGAGCGAAACTGAATTTTATTTCAAAAGTACAGCCTTCATGCCTGCTGGGTGCTAGTGGGACCATGAGGAAGGTACACGGGAACAGGTAGTCCTTGGTCTCTCTTAAGGAGCTGACAGGAGAGAAAAAACAAAATGGAGAAAATTTGAAATTATAATTGATCCTAAACTCAATGAAAGCAAGTGCTTTAGACATCAAGCACTCTGAGCAATGAGGAAGGGGAGAGGTTGAGTAAGAGATGGAAGCCATGGCCAAGGGCTCAATGTGTTGAACTGATTGAGAGACGCATATCCATGCATCTGTTCTTTCATGTGGACATCACAGTTTGGCAGGAAAGCCAAAATAAGGGGAGAGATGGTGTGATTTCCAATTATCCTATTCTACTAGACTGTAGTCCAGAATTGACTGATATACATGATGAGAGATCTAGAAACCACATCATTTAAGAAACAGTTGAAGGAAACCAGAGTGTTCGACCAAAGCAAGAGAAGACTAGTGAATACTTGATAGCTGCCTTCAAATATCAGACAGGTGACATGTGGGAGGGGGATATTATTTATCATGTGACATTGTAAAGAGCAGAGTCAGGAATGATGAATTAAAGGCAACTGTTACACAAGCTACAGGAGTTACACCAAAGTAGGTTTTAATTCAAAATGAAGAAGTCAGTCTAACATCAGAGTAGCCCTAAATTTAATGGACTAATCAATGACCACGAAAAAAACGAGAGCAAATATTCACTGATAGCCTCCTATTTTCAGATGGTGAACTAAGTATTTTTACATGAATTTTCTCATTTCATCCTCATAATTTTATAAAATTAATATTATCCATTACCCACATTTTCCAAAAAAACCCCTCAGGCTCAGAGAGAATAAATAATTTGTTCAAATTCCCACACCTAGTATGTGGCTGAGCCAGGTTTCAAAGCCAAAGTCCATGCCATTACAACGCTAAAGAGTTTAAAAAAAAAAAAAAACAAAAACAGAAAATGACAAGTGTTGGCAAAAATGTGGAGAAACTGGAATGCTTATGCACTGCTCGTAGGAATGTAAAATGGTACAGCCACTGTGGAAAACAATATGGCAGTTCCACAAAAAATTAAAAATAAAATTTCCATGTAATCTAGGAATTCCACTTCTGGAATTGCTTTTGGGAATATATACACAAAAGAATTGAAAGTAGGGACTCAAATATGCACACCCATACTCATGGCAGCATTTATAACAACCAAAAGGTAGAAGCAACCCAAATGTATATTGACAGATGAATGGATAAACAAAATGTGCATGTGCATACAATGTAATATTATTCAGCCTTAAAAAGGAAGAAAATTCTAGCACATGCTCTAACATGGATGAATCTTGACAATTATGATAACTGAAATAGGCCAGTCACAAAGGACAAATACTATATGATTCCACTTAAATGTGGCACATAGACTAGTCAAAATCATAGGGACAGAAAGTAGAATGATGGTTGCCAGGAGGCAGAGGCAGGGTGGGGTGGAATCGAGAGTTAGTGTTTAATGGGTCAGAGTTCTAGTTGGAGGAGATGAAAAATTTCTGGCATTGGATGGTGGTAATGATTACACAACAATGTGAAATGTACTTAACGCAGCTGAACTGCACACCTAAAATGGTTAAAAAGTAATTTTATGTTACATATGTTTAACCACAATTTTTTCTGAAAAAGGAGTGAGTTGCCCATGGCTAAAAGTATTCTAGAAGAGACTAGATGTCCATATGTCAGAGATACCAAGGAAGAAGTTATTTTCCAAGAAGGGGCTGGATTAAATGAATTCTGAGATCTCTTCCGACTTTAAAATTGTATGACAAGATAAGCACTTCATCAATTACGGAAGTAAAAAATTGTTTTATTTTTCCATAAAAATACAGACTACCTTTTATCCTGGAGCTTCCCAGCCTGGACCCTGAGACAGCTGGGTCCTGGAGTTGATTTACAATCAGATTCTCTCATTGTTTGTAAAGCACATTTCCAGAAAACCATTTTCAGTTCCATTTTAATGAGGAACAATTTGTTATTTTTTTTGGAAACTCCTGACTTCCATTGTTATAGAAAAGATACAAGAAAAGAAAATCTAGGTCTTGCAGTTCAAGAATTAATGAAGGCCCTGAAACAATTATGCCTTAAATATACAGAGGTCTTCTTAATGTAAATAGACTGTATTTCACAGCAAATCTTCTTAGAATAAGGAATCCATTTCAGCATGACAGAGTGGGCAATGCAGCAGGGCTACAGTCTGTACTCAATTTGCTATTTTACTTCCATTGACGTTGACTAATGTACAAATAGCCTGGCTTAAAGGATCTGGGAAACACTAGGTCACAGTGTGAAATATATGCTAATATAGCACAATTTATATAAAAATAGAGGAATGTAAATAGCTAACTGAAGCCAGAGGTAGTTGCTCCAGCCAAGTGGCGACTGAGGAACATTGATAATGCAAAGAGAATGTTGTTCTCGTTAAAACTTCTGAGAACAATACCCTCAGGTTTTCTTCCAGCTTCAATGCAATGATAAATTAAAACTGAATTTCTGCTGCTCTCTGAAAGCATGCATGTGTCTCTGCATTATGATTAGAATGACATGTTTAAATAATCTAACTTAAAAGTCACTATGATACAAAGATTAACATTCCCAGATCCCACAATTGAGGAGCTAACAGTACAGTGAAGATAAGCTGACAGCCCATATACCTTGAAAAAAGACCAAGTGCGTTAAGTTGGCAGGCAGTGTGACAGAGTGGAATAAGCACGGGTTAAAGACAATTGCTGTTTATTTAGTGCTTATGGGTCAGGCATGAAGATTTCACATGCATTATCTCATTTAATCCTCATGATGTGGGTTAAGAACCAGTACAACATGGAATATAATTCAGGCATTAATAAATTCCACTGACATAATTCTGCAGCAAAACTATGGCTGAGTCATCTATTAGCCCATTCCTGGGGTCAGGCAGCCTCTACTTGTTTCTGTAGGCTCTAATTGCTTGGATCTGTGTGACAGCATTCAAGGGAAAAGAGCAGAGGCAGAAACAACAGAAAAGCTATTGATGGATTCTGGGTAATTGAGGCAAAAAACCCAAAATTTAAGACCTAAAGTTGAAGTTGAAAATTACATGTCATTTATTAGATGTTGTGGGTTTGGTTCTCTGCTGCTGCCCACCTCCCATGCCACAATCCCCCATCATATGGTCACACTTCTTTTCTTTCCTTTTTTCTTTTTTTTTTTTGAGACAGGGTCTCACTCTGTCACCCAGGCTGGAGTGAGTCAAATATGGCTTGTTGCCGCCATGACCTCCTGGGCTCAAGTGATCCTCCTGCCTTAGCCTTCAGAGTAATTGGGACCACAGGTACACACCACCAAGTCTGGCTAATTAAAAAAAAATTTTCTGTGTAGAGAGAGTCTCCACCATGTTGACTAGACTGATCTTGAATTCCTGGGCTCAAGGGATCCTCTCACCTCCACCTCCCAAAGTGTTGGGATTACAGGCGTGAGCCACCACGCCCAGCCTGGTGACACTTTTCTAAGAACTCCTGGGTTAGAACCTTTGCTGGGCATCTCCTGCACATATAATAAAGTTTGAAGTCCTCAGCAGAGCATGCTTTACAACCTCCTTTCCCATAATTCCAGCCATGCTAAATGACAGCTCACCATTCCAAACACACCTGCCCTTTCGATCCGTGATTCTCTTTCTTGGGATGCCCATTTTCATTCCTCTTCCCTTTCTTTCTATTCATCCTTTATGTCAAAATGAGAACAGGAATTATATCTGCTTTATATGCTACTGCAATCTCAGTGAAAGGAATATAGTTTGTATTGAATAAGTGTTTATTGACTATAGGAACAAGAGAAATACAGAAAGACATAAATGAATTTTTAAAAGGGAGGTAGAGGGAGGGCAAATTATCTCCTCTTGCTTATGGTCTTTGATTCTTCTAAGCAGACATCATTCCCTTCTCTGTGCTATGCAGAACCTAGTCATGCACCCCTCTATACCATTTTTCAAGTTTATCTGCATATTTCTAAGTTTTTTTCCATCTAGACTTTCAGTATCCCAAAAGCAAGGACTATGTCTATCTAGGTGGCCAGTGCTTTGCTCAGTGCCTGGCAGTGAACAAGAAATGATTGAACAGACCTTTCTGAAGGCCTTGTAACATCCCACTTAAAGCCAGCACTTGGATAGTCCAGGTTGAGTATCCCTTATCCAAAAATCTTGCAATTAGAAGTGTTTTAGATTTTGGATTTTTTCAGATTTTAGAATATTTGCATACAAACAATGAGATATCTTAGGGATGGGACCTAAATCTAAACACAAAATTTATTTTTTATACACACATTATACACATAGTATAAAGGTAATCTTACTTTATATATATATAAAATAATAATAATTATTATTTTTTAAAGAGACAGGGTCTTTCTGTGTTGCCCAGAGTGGTCTCAAACTCCTGGACTCAAGTGATTCTCCTGCCTCAGCCTCCCAAAGTGCTGGGATTACATACATGTGTGAACCACCATGCCTGGCCCCTATATTTTTAATAATTTTGTGTATGAAACAAAGTTTTGACTCCAACCCATCACATGAGGTCAGGTGTGGAATTTTCCACCTGTGGCATCATGTTGGTGCTCAAATGTTTTAGGTTTTGGAGCATTTAGAATTTTTTGATTAGGGATGGGCAATCGGTGGTGATTTGGAAATTCGAATTAACATTTGGATTAGGTTCCTGAAACTCAAATTTGGCAGGATAGGTAAACAAATATCTGACAAAACAATGTCTGAGGCAGAATGCTTTCTGTTGTGGAGAATCAGCCCAGTTTGTTGCATTGAAGCTCTTACTCCTTAGAAAAGCTCAAGAGGTTTTCACTCAGAAGCTGTTTATACGTACTTTTCACAAGCTTCGTTATCAGATTTCCTAGTCTGGAGTTGACTAGACACAACAAATTGAGATCAGGAAAGGAGATGGAGGCAGATAAACTGGGAACTACTCAGGAGAAAGTGCGGAGACCCAGGGACTCAAAAAATTTAACAGCTTAGAGCAATTAGTCCAGAGTTCAACACACCCTGGGTATGTAGTAATATATATGACAGCACCATCCAAAAACTCACAATGAAGTCCAAGCAGTATTGTGAAAAGACAGCCCTCCTTCGGAAGACAGAGGTGCGTGGGTAATCCATTAGGAAAGATTTCCATTAAACAACAAACTGTTTGGCATTTAATGAGAAATGCTTCGATTAGTTGGAAAATTCACTTGGGTGGAACAGTTAATGAGCTGACAATGCCAGATAAATAATGTGTTACTATGGAAACCAAAGAGACTTCATATTGTATATCTGTCCATGTTCAGCTATCCAACGCATGGAATAGGACCAAAAGAAACACCAGAATGAAAATACATATTGAGTCAGGATCCTAAATGCAATTCCAGGAGACTGCATTCCCAGGCATCCCCAAATCAACTTCTAAAGGCTGCACGAGCCCTTAAATGGCACTCTGCAAAGAACTCTTTTGAGAGCTTGTGTTTGGTACAAAGAAGGTCAACATAAAGTTAATAGTAGCAGCTAGCTTGCACAGCCTAATAACATTTACAGGACTAGTATCTAATGTGCAATTAGCCAGGGACATTTCCCTGCCTGAGCCACAAAGCCATCACTATGCACTTAATATAATCCTATTCCACGTGGCACCCTCCCAAGGATGGACAAACCACAAGCTTTAAATGTGAATGGCTGTGGTCTGGCTTGTGGGGTAGAGGAGACAAATATTTTATTGGGGGAGGGCAGTATACAGGCACCAGTGCTCTGTTTCTCCTTGACCAGACCCCTTCCACTGCACAGTCTCCCTTATAAGCTTTCTTAAATTCAAGTTTCCCAGAGAAGTCTGGGTACGCTTCAGGAGAAAATATTACCAACATTCCTAGCTCCTACCATTCAGCCACCTTCTCATTCTTCCTTATTTAGAGCCCATTTTGTCCCAGGCAATAAGCTAGGTAATTCCACATAGATTATCTCATTTCTGTGGCAAAACTAGGAAAGGCATGTTTCAACTTGGTCTTCATGAACTATCAGGCACATAGAAAAAAAGTACAGTATGTTAATAAACAGGTCGAGGTGTGTTTAGAAAGGGTTATGTGTGCCTTGCTAAGAGAAAGGAAGGGAAGTAACATTTAGTAAGTACTCACTGTAAGCCACACCAGGTGTGGGGTACTTTGCGTCCCTTTGCATCTTATTTGATCTGGCAAGGAAGCATTATTTAGTAGATAAGGAAACTGTGGCTCTGAGAAATTTACCTTATCTCAAAATCATTCAGCTCATTGATGACAGAGCCAAGATTCAGATCTGTGCCTGTTAGGTTCTGAAGTCAAAACTTACTCCACTCAACCGCAATATTAAAGAATGAGGACATTGTCCTTTTGGACAATGAGGCGCTAAAGGCAGTTTTAATGCTGTGAACTGATGTGATGTCATCCTAAATCAACCCAGTTAGAAACCAGACCATTCTGGAGGGATTGCAGGGTACCAGCCACACTCCTGCCTTACCGAATGTTTCTAAAACCTTAAAATCTGGTTCAAAGCAGCTTCAAGAATAGCCCTAAGTGGGCTGAGTAACACTGACTCACTCCAGAACCCTGAAAAGGTGTGGAAAGTCCAGCCTGAAGTTTCTCAGCCATCACTTCTAGAGGGGTCCCGCTTCCCCTATTGCCCATCTCTCAGCAGCATAGGCACAGCTGAAACACTAGACAGTCCTCCCCATTCTCAAGACCAATCAGATCCAGGGCAGAGGACTTGCTGCTAGCTGCCAGGCTTTGGCAACTTGGGAAAGTAGTAAAGAATAAAAAAGTCTTAAAGAGCAATTCAGATGATCACACTGAGTCTTCCGGACTTCCGTTTCCATATCTGTAAAATGCGGAGGGGGAGAGTGAGAAAATCTCTCCCTGAGAGTTGTTATGATGATTAAAGAGATAATGTATATAAAGTATGGAGCATCATACCTGGCACATTGGAGGACCTTAGTTATTACAGCTGAAGTCAGTTTCTTTACCATTTTATTCTTATGTTGTTTGCAAATATTTTGTGTGCTTAAGAAAGCATAATAATAGCATGAGGTAACATTTACAGAGTACATACTATATATGGCAGGTGCAGTTCCAATTGCTCATTTAATCATCACAACAGCCTTTACAAGGTCGGTGCTATTACTACTCCCATTTTACCAACAAGAAAACTAAAGCACAGACAGATTAAATTATTTTCCAGGTTATATATCTAGTAGACCAGGAGTCTGGTTGGATAGCCAGTGTTCTTCACACTACTCCACTGGTTAAAATTACTGCTATTATTTTCTGTTATTATTATTACCGCTCCCTTTAGTACCAAAGGGATTCCCATTCAACTCCTTGAAAGCTACTCTTAGGAATATTCTAATGTATTGAAAGCATATATCTTAAACTCCCAGAGTCTGTAAGGGCATTTAATTATTTGACACTTAATGCGGTCTCTTCAATTTAACTTGACTATTTAAAGACCACTTGAGCTTGCTCCAAGTTTGCTGAGCCTACCCAGAAAACAAAACCTTACTAATGGCTTTGGTTTTGTGGACTTGATAAACATTCTTGGAATGATGAAAGGATCACATATGGTGTTATCTTATTGAATAATGGTTTGGTGTGTCTTCTCTTAAATGAAATGTTTGAGCAGTGTTTTTGTAGGCCCGTGATACATTAGAATAATACCATATATTTACATAGCGCTTTGCAATTTTCAAAGTGCTTTCCCAATTACTGTCTTATTTGATCCTCACCGCAGGCTTGCAAAGCAAGCAGGGCAACTGTTATTACCATCCCCATTTTATAGGCAATGTGGTCAAGTAGAGAGTAAGCCAGGCTTTGAAGGAACACAAAATAGCATTCTGTTCTCTGCTCCTCAATGTTCTAGCTGGGCGACCTTGAACTCGTTTCTTAACCTTTCCAAGCTTCAGTTTCTTCATCTGCCAATTGGGGATAATAATTTGTAAGGTTCTGCAGAGGATCAAATGAGATCATCTACATAAAGCAACTAGAATGGTGCTTGTTGCCAATTATTAGTAGTAGTATTTTATTATTTATTTTATTTTTATTTTTTATATTATTTGTTACTAGGACAAAACAGCCTTAAAAAGAGAAAACAAAAAGGGAGGCAAGCGAGAGCAACAAGCATTAACAACAAATTGGGCTGAGTGGGCTTGATTCACTTTTGAGCACTGCTTGCAAAAAGAAGAAGGGAGTATGTGACTCCAGTTGGATGGACTTTGAAGAGTATCAGAGTAAGAGAAACTAATATGGACTCACTGTGACAGCCCAGGAATCCCCTTTTCTATGCCAGGACTTCTGCTCTCTAGGAGCAAACTTAAACCGCTAGGCCAGGCCATCCTTCTTCTCCTGCCTTCCCAACACATCCTCCTACCCATGTGGACCAGCTGAACCTTCCAGCCCAGCCAAAGGATCCCAGGACACCAGCTCTCAAGACATCATGAAGCAGCCTTGACTCACTGCAGTCTGGCAGGATCCATGTCCTGATATATAATAGAATGCACTCCCTTCTTACCTGAGGGGATATTTCATAAGATAACATAGGCTTTCTCTCCAGGCAAGAAGAGAGAACAACCTCATCAAGGAAACCCTGCCCTTAAAATGGGCACCAATCTGGGCCTTGGGGACATTCCACTTAGCCCCACCTGGGAAGCTTCAGCCTTCCTGGGCTTCCACCCCAATGCCACCCTGTCTCAGGACAGACTTGGCTACTGCATTTGGGATGGAACCACTGTGAGGACAGGGCAGGAGCTGAGGAGGCTGTTAGACTGGGTCATTTTCTGGCTCTATTCTTGGCTAAGTTGCTTAACCTGTTTGACTTTGGTCTCTCTGCCAGCAAAATGCAAGGTTGTGTGAAAATGGAATGAGATCACGGATGCCAACCTTCAAGCACTGTACCTCCTACAGAGTAGGTAAACAAATGGTGGGGACAGATTTCATTATTACTATTACTACCGTTGTTGTTATGAACAACATCAAACTGATTCAGGTTTCTCCAATCTGGCAGCATGAGTGATTCAGACAAAGGTATATTTTTTCTTCCAGTAATTCCCAGAATCAAAAGTCTTATCTGTGCTCCTTGCACAAAGTGCTAAGAGGATCAGAACAGCTTTATGGAGCTTTTCCGTCTGTGCTGTCTCCTGAAAACTTAGCCTGCAGAGCTATGTAATGGAGAGGATTAGGTTTGTGGCAAGTACAGCCCCAGAGACAAGTGCCCTTGGAGGGGCAAGTGCTCCTTGGCCCTTTTACACAGGCCCAGTGTGACTAGGGCCATCCCTACCTCCTTCCCTTCCACAGCCATGTGGCTAAGGCCATCTTCCATCCCCTGTGGCTAAACCCAAGCCCTATTTTCTAAGGTTAACATAAACCATTGAGATGCCTGTAGACAGATGGAAAAGAAGGAGATTGAAAGCAACCTTGCAGATAACAGAGGAGGTATATGTCTATCCAGGCCTGACCTGACAATTACCTTGCTCCCAAAATGATGCCATTTACAGAAGGTTTAGCTAATGATAGGTATAAAGCCAATGGTAGTACTTTTCTAAAGTAAGTCCTCAAACTCGGAAAGCAGGATGTTTGGAGAATTTCTTCCCTGGTCCCAGGCAGGAGCACAAAAATGAACAGCAGTAATTTACATTCACACAGGCCTTAAATCACTGTATTGTGTGGATCAAATATCTCAATGAGGTGGGGTCATGACAATGTCACTGAAGAGAAGAATCTACATCAAGAATATCCATGGCGTCTCATTTCCTCAAGAGATCACCCACTACCTTCATAACCCTGGGCTAGTTCCTTGAACCCCTCAGGCCTCAAATTCCTCCAATCTGGCAGCATGAGTTAGATGGATAAGGTACCTCATCCATATAACAGAAAAATCAATACCAAATATATATATATATATGTTATATATTTTTTATAAATATATTTTTTTCTCATAAAGTTGGATCCTTAGTGCACGGAGTTGACTTAATCACTCTCCTCTGTTCATAGCACATTATCATCATTGGTCCATGAAAGACCTCTCTCTCCTTCTCATTTATTCCCTTTAATCCACATTACTTTCCTATACCACATGCAGCTATTCCACAGTGTTTGATGTGTATGCTTTTGTTCCCAAATAGTCTGGCAGATGTGCATTGTTGTTTTGTGCATATGTATTTTATTTTCATAACTAGAATTGTGTTTTAGATCTTTCTATTTGTTACCTTTTTCACCAAGCACTACGTTTTCAGATTCATCCATGTGGTTTTGAGCATATCTACTCCATCATTTCTAACTGCTGTATACTATTTATGATGGCCTTTCATCATGTGCCCTTTCCAGGCCACTGAGTCATTCCTTGCCCAGCTCTGTGCCCCTAAGGCTGATCTCTACAGACACATCACCCAGAGCCCCATGCCCACTGGCTTCTGGTTGTGTTTGACCAATGAGGGACACCCAAAGAAGACTGAAGGCCAGAAGAAAGAGGTCGGGTTTCAGGCTACCACCCTGGCCCCTCACCTATCCCTCCCTCTCTGCCTTATTGAGCATTTGGCAGTAGGTCTATTCCTTTATGGCCACAGCTTCTGGCAGGATGGCCCTCTTCTATGGCTCCAGTCTCACTGGATTCCAATTGCATCATTCTCTCCCCTTACCCTTCAAGCCTAGTTCCTAGTCCCTGGGTGCCTGTCTCTGCTGATTCCTTAACTTTGTTTACCATCGTAAGCAGCACCTTCATTAAATTCTTTTCAGTTGAACTCTTCTGAGCATACCATCTCTTTCTTCTTTGGAAGTTTATTTGATACAGTACCCCCGAGTCAGCAGCCATTAAATTTTACCTATATAATTTCACAGGGATGGTGCAATGGTTAGTTTTATGCATCAACTTGGCTGGGCCCAGATATGTGGTCAAACATTATTCTTGACATTTCTATGAGAGTGCTTTAGGATGAGATTAAAATGTAAATGGGTAGGTTCTGAATAAAGATTGCCCTCCATAATGTGGGTGGTCCTCATCTAATCAGTTAAAGGCCTGAATAGAACAAAAGGCTGACCTCCCCAGCGCAAGAGGGAATTACTCCAGCAGATGGCCTTCAGACTTGAACTACAACATTCACTCTTTCCCAGGTCTTCGGCCTGACAGCCTTTGGACTTGAAACTACAGCATCGGCCCTTTCCTGGTCTCCAACCTGCCAGCGCACCCCACAGACTTCAGATTTTCCAGGCTCCATAAGTGCATGAGCCAATTCCTGGTAATAAATCTCTTTATATATATTGGTTCTGTTTCTCTGGAGAACCTTGACTAATACAGATGTGTGTTCAGATTGTCTCCAATTCCCAGCTATCACCAACAATGCTGTGATGAACATGCTTATACATGTTCTCTTATAGAACCATATGAGGATTTCTTTGATTTATATAACCAGAAGTGAAATTTCTGGATCATAGAAGGATATAGCTACTTTTAATTTTACAAAGCATAACGCTATAACAAAACTACAACATGTTACAATTATTTACAAAGTGTTTACCATGTGCTGCCCACTATATTTGGGAATTGCAGACAGAATAATCTACAAAATAAATGTGATCCCAGCCCATACTGAATTTTCAGCAGAAAAGAACATAAATGATCTGTCACACAGGAAGTGTTCAATAAAAGTATAATTATTGTCAAAACCAAAATTATCCACACCACACAGCTTACTGAATACATTAATATGACTACCTTAATGACCATGACTTTACTCTTACAGAAAATTATTGTCTAGGAAGATAAAAGTTGTAAACAATCTCCTGAAACAAATCATTTAATAAACATCAAACTGATAACTTTTCCATAGATAACATGAATTTCCCGTTTACTTTCCTCTTCTCCTTCCCGGATGCAGAAATAAAAGAGGTCATTTGAGATTAAATCAAAATTCCTGGGTTCTAATCTTAGTTGGGCTACTAACCAGATAACCTCTAGTGTGCACCCGCCATGGATGGACAAATAACCTCCAAGGCCTCAGTAGTCTCATGGATAAAAGGAGGGGCCTGTTGTTGATGGTCCCTAAGGCACTCCCAACACTAAATAGTACGAAAATCTGTGCAGACTATCGTGATCAACAAAATTGGCAGTTTCTTAGGAGGTTGAACTTAAGTGCTCTTATAAAGATCTAAGATATGGAATAGAAGATACAAATATTTTCCTTCTACAAAAAAGGTAAAACATTTTGGTATAGATGTGCATGCCACCACTATTCAGCCTGAGGGGATGATGTGGATCATACTAAGTCAAATTGTGTCTCTCTGGCTCTATGCATTTCCTGAAGTAACATCAGAATTTTGATTCTTAAAGTTGGCCACTTTTCTCCCTCTGAAAAGTGAAACAGGAACAAGCAAGGCACAATCACATGGTGATGACGAGGCACCACAGAGGAAGATGCTTAAGTATGCCATAGCATTTGCCATGTGCCTGGCACTGTTCTAAGCTGCATGAACTTCTCTGATTTTTAGAATAATCCTACAAGGTCAGTACTATAATCATTTCCATTTTACTGATGAGGAAATTCAGTGCAGACAGGTAATTTTCCAGAGCTGCTGAGTGACAGCCAACTCACTACAGGTTGAGCATCCCTAACCCAAAAATCCAAAATCCAAAATGCTCCAAAACCCAAAACTTTTGGAGCGCCAACATGAAACCACAGGTGAAAAATTCCACACCCGACTTCATGTGATAGGTCACAGTCAAAATGCAGTCAAAATTTTGTTTCAGGCACAAAATTACTAAAAAATATTGTATAAATATTCAAGCTATGTGTGTAAGGTGTTGATATGGTTTGCCTGTGTCCTCACCCAAATCTCATCTTGAACTGTAGTTCCCATAATTCCCCATGTGTCATGGGAGGGACCCAATGGGAGGTAAATGAATCATGGGGGGCAATTACCTCCATGCTGTTCTCGTGATAGTGAGTGAGTTCCCATGAGATCTGATGGTTTTATAAGGGGCTTTCCCCCCACTTCACTCTCATTCTTCTCCTTGCTGCCATTATGTGAAGAAGAACATGTTTGCTTTCCCTTCTGCCATGATTCTAAGTTTCCTGAGGCTTCCCCAGATATGCGGAACTGTGAGTCAATTAAATCTCTTTTCTTTATAAATTACCCAGTCTGGGGTATGTCTTTATTAGCAGTGTGAGAATGGACTAATATAGGTGTATATGAAACATAATGAATTTTGTGTTTAGACCCATGTCCTGTGTCCTAGATATCTCACCATATATATGCAAATATTCCAAAATCCAAAAAATTCTGAACTCCAAAACACTTCTGGCCCAAGATTTTTGGATAAGGGATACTCAACCTGTAGTTTCATTTTCCTATATCCATTTGAAGGTGCTAATGAGCAATATGACCAAGTGACTGACAAAAGGAGGAAGAAAAAAGATGACACCGACAAACCAGGGATCTAGATTCTCCTTATGCTAGAAATTTCTCCAAAATGGTGGAAAGTTGGTTATGGTTTTATAGTACATAACAGTGTATATCTAGTTAATGAATGATGTTGACACTGGACTAGAAAGATGTGGACCACATTAGGTCAAATTATGTTTCTCTGGCATTACCTGGAGCAATATTGGAATTTTGATTCCTAAAGTTGGCCAATTTTCTCCCTCTGAGCATCAACAGTTTTCTGAAATCACCACTTTCATGCTTAAACATATAGAGAGATGGCTGTGGGGTAGCAGAAAGCAGAGTGCAAAAAGCATTATGAGATTTGCATTCAAGCCTAAATGCAATCCTTTCCTGGCTGTGCTTCCTCAGGTCGGCCTTTCCTACTTTTCTGTGGTTAAGTTTCTTCACTGGGAATGTAAGAGAATTAGACAAGATCACCCAACCAGAACTCACACTCCATGACATTACCTTTTGCTAGCTTTACCACTAGTGTATCACAGGGGTATCTAGTTTTTGTGCATGCTGTTAGTTAACTTAAAAATGCATGTCTTGGCTCTCTAAAGGACTGTAAATTCCTTGAGGGCAAAAGCTCTACCATAGACTTTGTTTTTGAAACCATATAAAATACATTTTTTCAAATTCCCCACAGCACTATTAGCCCAGTGAATGATCAAAAATACTTTCCAAATGAATGAATGTACCCACGAAAGTCGTGATTTACTCTTCAGCCAACAAATGCCGTCTGTTTTAGCAATCCCCAGCATGAATTTTGGAAAATGCAGGGTGCTGGATGTAGACTGAAATGATGGGAGCCTCTCTCCCCTCTCCCAATCACAGGTCTCTAATATTGACAAGATGTCACCCGCCAAGGAAGTGCCTGAAAGAGCTCAGCTTTAGCAGATTGTATAGCATAAACCTCAGACAGGATCACGGGAGCTCAAAGCCAGGGAGAAATTACATAACGCTCAGAAATTTGCTTTGGCACAGGGTGGGGACACTGTGGCACCGCTTCGTGTGTGTTCAGCAATTTCAGCATCCCATGATTTTTCTGTTTTATACTTCCGGGCATGAAAAAGAAAGGTTTCCGCATAACTGCTTAACTGGAAGACAGCTGACCCAAAGAAAAGTTGATTTCTGAGAGCTCATCCAGGCAGCTAATTATGCCATCTCAGTTATTAATTCAGTTTTTTAAAGACTGAAGAGCTCCCATATAAAAAAAATCCAGGTTTCATTGCTATTTCTAAGGCAGAAAGAAATAGACATAACTTAATCATGAATCTCTTCAGTCCAGTGCCAGCATGATTCTATTAACAAGATATATCGTACCATCGAACTATAGTACTATAAAAACATAATCAACTTTTATTCGTTTGGGAGATATTTTGAGCTTGAAGAGAATCCAAATTCCTTGCTCCAGTATCCTCTTTTTTCCTCTTCCTTCTGCCAGCCATTTGGTTTTACTGCTCGTTAGCACCTCCAAAGAACGTGAGAAGATGAAACCTGTAAGTTGGGCCACTGTAGAGCAGTTCTGGCCAATTGCCTACTGGGCAAAAGTGATATTTAATCTATGCTCTGACTGTTCTCAGTTTATTATAGATAATTTAAAAAAAGCTCCAATACAAAGACGTTGGGAGAAAACCTGTAAGTCTTTGAGTGCAATCCCACTTTACAGATTATAAAACTGAGGCACAATGAGGCAAAATGTCTTGTCAGAGATCACATCGATAGCTAAAGGCAGAGGTGGAACCCAAGTTCTGCACTGTCCCCCTCATACCTCAGTAAATGTAGTGAAAACATAACTCAGAGAAAGATATGAGAAATAAGAGTTGGTAGCCGGTGGTGATGGTGTGCACCTATATAGTTCTAGCTACTCAGGAGGCTGAGGCAGGAGGATTGCTTGAGCCCAGGAGTGTGCGGTTACAGTGGGCTACGATCATACCACTGCACTCCAGCCTGGGCAACAGCGCAAGATCCTATCTCTAAAAACAATAAAAAAGAAAAAAAAGGGTTTACATTTCTAACAAGTTTTAAAGGAGATTCAAGTAATGTCCACATTAAAAACTCATATTGGAGGCTGAGGCAGAAGAATTGCTTGAACCTGGGAAGCGAAGGTTGCATTGAGCTGAGATTGCGCCACTGCACTCCAGCCTGCGTGACAGGGGACTCTGTCTCAAAACAACAACAATGAAAAACACCTCATATTGAATTAATACTTCAGAAAGATTAGAGTAATATTTATATTCAATAATATTTCTTGACCACCTATTAAGTGTTCTTTTATTTTTTTTCTCATATGCTTTTCACCACAGCCTAGCTGAATTTGTTTTAATATTTCCATTTTGCTAAGAATGAAGCTAAAACTCAGAGAGATAGAGATTTGCTCAAGGCCACACAGCTAGTAAGAATTTAATTCAAGGTTTAAACCCAAATTCTTTGACTCAGTACAGAGCTTTTCCACTCATCTCAATGCTTTGCAAACTTGAATTTTCCCCATTCTACCCTCACAATGTTTGTTACCAGAATTAGTATTTATTTAATATTTCCCTTTAAATTGATTCACTATTTTTATTTAAATACATTTAGCCTTTACTTAAGCAATAATGTTGATGAACTTATGAGTGTTTAGTGGGTTTATTACACATATGAGTTTTATATGTAAGTTAAACACATAACTTTGAAATCTTTTTTAAAAAATGTCTCCGTGTAGCACCCAAAATAATTGCAAACAGTGATATCTACTCCACACTTAGAAAAACCAGTGTCTCATAGGCATGTTGTAAGAAATAAATACATAGCACTTAGAATACTTAGGGTTCTGTGTTCATTATTATCATTAGTTACAGGTTTCTAATCTTCACATATATCAGAATCTGCTGTGATTCTTGTTAAGATGCATATTCCCAGACCCCACCCCTAGATCTGGGATGAAGTTCAGGGATTGGGTTTTTTTTAACAAACATCCAGCAAGTCTGTTGCTGATGCCCCTAAAATTGTATTTTGAGCCACCCTGTGTCCCAATATTGGGGACTCTATGACTAGTCCCTGAAGCAGGAGTCACTTAGCACAACTATCTCCAGTCATATTTTACATGAGTGTTCTATTAATTTATAGTCACCAAATCACAAAGCTGAAGAGAAAATTCCAAACAGATTGTCACGGATTCTGTTTTCTGAGGTCTTCTTTACAAATCTCTATCTTCCCACTGGGACTGGGTAGAGGTATGGAGAGGGTAGATAAGTTCACTCTCTGCAGGCATCGCATTATCGTGGGTGGAACTTCCCAAAGCAGCAGTCATAAATATGCTCTGGGCAGCCCAGGGGGAGCGTTTGATCTTCTGCCCAGAGATCTCTGCTTGTCATCTGCTCAACCTCATTCATCGCAATAAAGACAAGGAGCTAAATTAGAGGGTGAGATCCAGTGTCGAGGATCTCTGCGAAGGAGACAGGGCAGTCACCACCCCTGACAGCAGGGAAAGAACGGGAGACAAGCTAGGAGGGCAGGGGCAAAGAGGTGGAGTATTGCTGCAAAGCCAAGACAGGCCTGCAGGTGGGTGAGACCCACATGGGGGCTAACAAGGAGAAGGAGAGAAGCAGCAGCCTGCCCTTCCTGAGCACTGGCTCCCTGCCTCAGAAGCGTGGGCACCACTGGCTGCATGGTTGGCTCAATCCTCAGCATTTCAAGGAGGTTAGTGGTAACCATGAGCCATGTATTGTTTAGCTGTTCAATTAAAAAATAAAAACAAATTAGTTGGCAACATTGACTATAAAGAAACTGTATAGTAAGTCTGGACTTCCAGCTTTTCTTGAAAAAATGGAAAATCTCAAAACACTAGGCCCATATTCCAACATGGCAATGATTAACTGGAATTAAGTTGTGGTCGCTTCCATTAGACAGTATTGATGTCCAGTTAGCAAGAGTCCCCATTACTTTTCAGTGGGTCATGCCCAACCTTCTTAACTCATTTTTACCTGCCCTGGTTGGGATTTGAGCTTATGAATCGTATGCCACCCACCTTACTAAGTAAAACAAAAATGTCCACATCCCTTCTTTCCTTCTTTTCTTCCACAAATATCTATGTTTGCTTAATGCTAGTACCCAAGACCTAACTAACACCTCATAGATACAATAAATGTAAGTTGAATAAATAAATAAAAAAACCTTACTGAGCCTAAAGCTGTGCTAGGCACTGCAGGGAGATACAAACTTGAGCAAGACATGACATAAGACTTCAAGGAGGGAGCCTGGGGCAGAGAAAAAATGCACCAAAGTTGGAGTCTGACTTAACTTTGCCTAAAACTTTGTGTTTTAGGCAAATCACGTAACCTCTCTGAGCCCTGGGTTCCTCATCGGAAAAGTGAGGATGAAAATGCTACATTCCTCATGGGGCTGTTTTAAGGTCTAAATAAAAGGATGGATGTGAAAACTTTAAGTATTTGAGAGCCCAGGTTAGATGGCAAATTCCTATAAGCACAACAAATATAGAAAGGGAAAACAGGCATGAGACGTAGGCATAGTGCAAAGGAAAAGAACACAGCCAGTAGAGTGCTAAGAAAAAACTTCAGGAATGAAATGGCTTTTAATCTGGGCCTCTTTAGGATTAGGTCTTACTCAGATAGGGTGAGAAAATTCTAAGCAAAAGAAAGGGTAAGTGTGGAACGGTATACAGTGGAAAGGTGGGTTTGATCAAGGCTGGAGAATAGCCCATGAATGCCAGGCTAGGGTCTGAGAACCTGATAACACACAATATACTGCTCTCCAACTGCTGGCATGAGCAAGACCGAGGACAAGGGCTTTATCATCTGCTGACTTTCCTGGAGCCTGAGCCAACTCCTCCTACTCATACCCATCAGGTAGATAAAAGGCCGTGATTCCGGTGACCACACACACTGCCAGACAGACCATTCCAGATCCTCCCTTTATAAGCATCCCCATTAGATTGTAGACAATGAAGGGCTTTAAACCAATCTGGGCAGCAATCTTTAAACTTGGCCCAACTTTTACAAGATTTATGAAAACCTTTCAAGTGGGGTTTTGCAGATGATTTATTTTTATCTTTCTGAGTAATACATATATATATTAAAGCCCATAATGAGATGAAAGAACTGGTAGGTATCTACCAGATATCTACAGCTCAATCAGTAGTTGAGCTAACCTGGTACTTAATCAAAGCACTCTAAGACCAGCTTGAGTAAATATTAACAAGATTATTTTAATTACAAAAATACTAATCAAAAAGTGGACTAAGCACACTTAGTGCTTATTGTGGGCCAAGCCTTGTTCTAAGTGTGTTACACATATATTAACTCCTTTAATCCTTATAATAGCTTATGGGTTAAGTAATATTATTAATATCCTCCTTGTATAAATGAGGAAAGTGAGGCCTAAGGGGTTTAAATAATTTGCCCAAGGTCATATACCTAATGAGTGAAAGGGTTGTGGTTTGCTCTCAGGTAGTCAGAATTCAGAGTCCACTTTTTAGCCACTGTGCTATACTGTCTCTCATGAACAGCATGAACATCTATCTAGGAAATAAGGATGTGATCACAGAGGGCTTAGAGGGGACTGACCCCCATCTGTACTGGCTGGGTCCTCCAGCAACCAGGGATACTGTCTGAGTGAGAGGAAGCCCTGCAATTGCAAATGCCTTATTAGCCAGGCTCGCTTTTGCTTTTGACAACCAGAGAAACATAGAAGGTTAGAGCTAAAGATTTTTTAGAGTTCATAGAGGGAGGCAGCAAGGGTGGTGACCATGGAATCAGACTGCCTGCATTGGTTCCACCACTTCTGCTCTGTGCCCTGAAGCTGGTTGCTTAACTTCTCTGGATCTCAGCTTTCTCATCTGTACAATGGAAATAATTATACTTTGCTCATAGCGTTGTTGGGAGGATCAAAATAATTCATGTAAAGTAGTTAGAAGGCGCCTGGCAGAAGACGCTGTCAGTGAATGTTAACTATTATTCTTACTTAGGCATTTTTCTCCTTTCTAATCAGAATCTTAGACAGCAGCCCATGTATGATTCCTTTTATACCAATGTATTTTTTTAAGTGCGGTTGATCTTAGGGTTCAGTGGCATGAACTACACAATGTGAGTTTGCCAGAGAGGTTGAAGAGCTTCCTAAAGGAAGCAAGAGTTATAACCAGAGTTTGGTCCAAGGAAGGACCAAGAGAACAAAACAATTGGTGTGTTATTATTATTACTGTGTAACCTTACTTTTATGTCCAGACTAATGTCATCCGGAGAAACAAAAATTTATCTTTTAATCAATATTTATTAAGTACCTACAATTACATATTACTGGGCTAGATTCTAGAAACACAAAAAGTGGTGGCCTCTGCCCTCACCAAGCCCATGGTCTTCTGGTGATAGCAAGGAGACCAAGCAGTGTCTTAATGGTGATGATGGAGGAGGTACAGGGTCTATGGCAACAGGAAGTAGAGGTGTCCAACCTAGACTTGGGAATTCGATAAAGATTTCCTGGAGGAAGTAGTGTCTGATTCAATATCTAAAGAATGAAATGGGGTGGTTCAGATAAATGAGGGAAGGAGTGGGGGAGGAAGACGCAAGGGAGAGAACATTCTAAACAGAGGTAACAGCATGCATGAAGATATAAAGGTCATAAGGTAAAATGAGTATGATATGGATAAAAGAAAGTAATGATTTATGACTAAAGTCTTAAGATTTGAGGAAAAAGAGGGCAGGTAATTAGACTGGAGAACTCAGGAGTGCCATATTAAAGAGAAAGGGCAGTGGGCAGCCAGGCAGGAGGCACTGTGCAGAGGAGTCATGTGATCAGAGTTACAAGGAGACAGATTCATCTGTCTGGAATGTGAAAGGGAGAAAGACAGGTGGCAGGGAAACCTCAAGAG
This sequence comes from Homo sapiens, assembly GCF_000001405.40. Classification (NCBI taxonomy): domain Eukaryota; kingdom Metazoa; phylum Chordata; class Mammalia; order Primates; family Hominidae; genus Homo; species Homo sapiens. Next base: position 63,969,767 of record NC_000001.11, on the reverse strand, counting down.
AGGTAGTGGTTAGATTAAAAAGAAGGGGACTGAAATGAATGAGATCAACACGGGAGGGGGAATCCACAGAACTGGACGGTTCATCACACATGGAGGGGTGGAAAACACATGGAAGAGCGGAGATTTCTGGCTCGGACACTGGATGGACAATGGGGCCATTCATGGGGACAGGAAACACAGGAGAAGCCAGTTTGCAGGGAAGAGAAGTGGAGATGACACCAAACTCAGTTTTGAACAAGCCAACTTATACACAGTTGTTAGACTGCCAAGGGGAACTATCCAGCTGACTACCAGTGCTATGAGTCCATAGCTCAGGAGGGCACCCCAGCCTAGACTTATAGATGGCCAATCCTTCCTCAGTAAGCAGTATCTGCAAGGACAGGAGAGCCTGAAACTCTCAAGTGAGATTGCACAATGTGAGAGAAGGCCTGAGACCAAACTGGGAAGAACCAAAGAATTCAAGGAAAAGACAAAGAAAACAAGAGTTGCAACGAAGTGAAATATCTTGTCTGCATCTCCTTCCAACCCCAATGGGCATTAATCTTTATGACAGCAAGTCTTCCATCTTCTTCATTCTTTTATTCCCAGCACCTGGCACAAAAAGCAGCAACTCAGTAAATATTTTGTGAGTGAATGAGTAAACTGTCCAAGGTCACACAATCAGAAACTGGCATAACTACAGTAGTCTGGATGATTTCAGATAGGATTTCTTCTCCCACACCCCCCTGCAGGCTTAGAGAATCCAGGATTTGGAGTAAAGTGATACTGAGGGTTTGCTGCATTAATAGCATTCCAAGGAAGCTCCTATTTAATGCTCTCCATCACAAAACACTTAGTGGGAAATTAAATTCATTCATTTTATTATTTCCTGGGTCTGCACTCCCTTCTATAAACATTGAACTCTGTGTTGAACAAATTCCTGCACATTTAGACATATGCTGGCTGTGCTGCTGTGGTCATTGGCAGAAAAGTTTACAGGGTGACCTTCTCTTTCCGCCTTTAACCGTAGTGCCATGGACATGGAGCCCAGCCAGACAGTCCAACAGATGCTATAGTTAGGACCTTTCAAAGAAGGTCCTGATGCCAAGCATGAAACTAGTGGGTGTATACAATAAACTCGGGGGCAGAATAGTTTGATCCATCTCACTGTTTTCTGTCAAGGTATTTCCCACGCAGTGAAGAAACCTGCATTGACATTTTTGGTGTTTATTACCAGGATTGTCTATATTTCAGATGAGGTTTGAACTTTTAAATATAATTTTTCTCATACGAAAAATAATACTCATTGTAAAAAAAAACAGAAAGAGAAGTGTTAATAAGAGAATAAAAATATTTCATGATCCACTATCCAGTAATAACCATTATCATTTGGGGTTATTTCCTCTACTTTTTATATCTACTGTTCTAAATAGCTGAGGTGGAACAAAATATCTTTGTATATGGCTCTTTAGTATAAATATTCTTATCAAGTTTATATAATCATTCTCCTATTGCTGAGCATTTTATTTTGTATTCTGCTTGTCAGTACTGTAAATAAAATTGTTATAGTCACTTTATCCATAAATCGTTATCTACATTCCAGGCTATTTCGCTAGAACATATTCCTAAAAGTGGATGACTAGCTTCGGATACAACTATTTAACATTCTTGGATCTGACAGAAAAAATTCTTACCATCTATCTGTAAATTATAAACAGATGCAGAAGTATGCACAGGCATATGCACACAGACAACCCCACCAGTTTCCATAGGCCTTAAAGGAAACAAAATGTAAGAAGGAATTTGTGTATCTATTGTAAGAAGAACTTCCCAAACTAATTTCACTTTCCAGGATAAAAAACATGTGTAAAACTATACTTCATCCTCACATGAATGTTTATGCATAAAGTGTTCCAGCACACCACCAGTCAACAGAAACCCAAATGCCCCAAGGTGACATCAAGTTTCAGAGCCAGGAGGAACTCAGGAGATCCTAGAGTCCAAGCTCCCCCTCCAATTCTATGATTGAGGAAGCTGGGGCCCTGAGGGCAAACTCTGATTTTATCACTGACTTTAGTGATAAAGTCACACAAATAGTACATGGCAGAATTAGGACTGGGGCAGGTCACTTTAGAGCAGTTCAGTGCCAACGGAACATCTTCTAAATGCCAGGTACTGTATTCGATGCTGGAAATAGAGGTGAACCCAACAGGGTTGATGATGGTGGTAGGGATAGAGGAGGAGAACTCCTAAGATGAGTGGAGGCCAGGGGTGGTGGCATGCACCTGTAGTCCCAGCTACTCAGGAGACTGAGGCAGGAGGATCGATGGAGCCTAGGAGTTCAAAGGCCAGCCTGAGCATCATAGCGAGAATCCATTTCCAAATTTAAAAAAGTAAGAGGAGCCAGTAAAGGAAACTGTGTATTTTTTTTATGTTATAGGATAGTATCTTTAATATGTCACCCTTCACCTTGTATGCAGGAATGTTTTTTCTCAGTCTGGGTTCTCATGATGTCATTTCTCCAGAAGGAATGAAAAATTCTTATACTTATTCCCACAATTGGATACAGAATCTATCCAACAAGTTGCATAAAATGATGGAATAATAACAACCACCACAATTGCTAGCATTTATTGAGTGCTTATTATGTGCCAAGCACCATTCTAAATCTTTTACTTACAGTAATTCCTTTCATTTGAGCTTCTCCTAAATCATATCAAGTCCCCTTAAGAACTAATTTTAGAAAATCCCAAACCTGGTGGGCTCAAATAACTAAATTTGATTGAGTTTAAGAGTCCAGTCTGATGAGGCAGCACCTAACCAAAGTAGAATGCAAGCATATAAGCAGAGGAAATAAGGGTCATTGAAAAACAAGAGTGAAGGCCTCCTAGTAAGGTGATATCATTTGGTACAGGAAATTGATCTGAAGTAAGAGCTTTTCAAGCGATTGGTTCAATGCTTGGTCATTTTCCAGTAAAGAAGATGAGCCTCACCATATGCAATGCCAGTTCCCTCAGTTGAAAGGAAAGCTAAAACTTGACTGCCCTGAAACAGTATTTTCAGAGGCAGCCAAACAAACAGAAAAAGTAATTACAAAAAGACAAAACAAAGAAACAGGAAGCTCTAAGTTAAGACTGCTTAGTTGAGATGGGACAGAACTGTACTTAACAGCCTGAATGAGAGTTGAGGGTAAAACATTTGGGCATAATTCCATAAGAGACCCATTCAGCCTTTCCTTAACTTCTGTTGTAAAAACTCACCTTAGACTAGGTAACACTTTGTAGTTTCCAGATAGATCATACTTCTAGTACCAGATTACCCAGCAGGAAATTATACAAACCTTGCCATCTGTTTATCTCTGTACAAAACTCAAAAGCGTCCATCTACAATGAATGGTTCTCATTAAAAGCCATGGTGGTGACTATGTCGACATGCCGAGCTGGGATGTGCCCTGCCATCTGTGAGGAATCCACGCGGGAGACCCAGGAGGCACAGCCAACACTCCAGGAAGGGGATTCCGACTGTCGCTTTGACAGCTCTGAGTAACTGAACCAAGAGAGCGGCATCTCCAATTGCTGAGCATATTATGCCTGTCTCCTTGTTTGACAACTTCCGAGGGAACTAACTGGTTTTAACCACATTGGCGAAATTACATGATAGAACATAAAGATAAGAATGATAACGAACCATGAGTGGCAGGTGTTCAGCATTTGCCCTGTGTCAGGCACTACACCCAAGCTCTAACATCGGATTTAATCCTCATAACAATCCTACAAGGGGTTACTATCAGTAACAGTCCTATCCCCACTTTAAAGGGGAATAAACTGAGGCTTAGAGAGGTTTAGTGACTTGTATAAGATCACACAGTTAGTGAATAGAGGAGCCAGGTTTACCTGACTCCACAGTCCTTGCGGTATTCATTGATAGCACCACTGCCTCCCATGACGTTTATTTAGTTCAAGATCACCCCAAGCTTGTTCGTTACTTTGTCAACTAATCTGAAACTAAATAGTCTCCAAAAAAGGGCTATCCTCTTTAAAGCAATAAATCTCATCAAAACTGAGTCCCTAGACCAGGAAATAAAAGTGTAGAATTATACTGATTGAGGTGATAACAGCACAATAGAATAAAATAATGCTTTAAACACTTTCAATTCTCGGAGGCAACAACATGCAACTACGCAAGTCCCTGGTGGAAAGAGCCCTTCCACTGTCTTTATGGGATTTTGGAAACTCAGGGTTTAATTTTTCTTCCTTTAAAGAAAATATTACAAATTGTGGTCAGTTTGCTAAGACAGGTTTAACAAGTTGGTTTTTTTCCTAAGCAAATGTAATGTCTGGGGAGATGTTAAATGCAGAAACACTATTACTAAAGTTTCCAACGACAACACTCTTCATCGTAGTAACCAGTTAGTACTGGCAACTTTTGCCATGAGCAAGTGCCGAGAAGCAAGGTGGTCTCACTCTTCTGGTCCAGCCTCAATGAGGATGGATTGTAAATACACACATCTAAAGTAACCAAAGAAGGCGGGCCAGTTTAGTGTGGAGCTTTGGAGTCATATAGAGCTGGATTTGAGCTCTGCCATTTACCAGCTGTGTTAACGTTGGGCAAATTTCTTAACTTCTCTGAATCTCAGTTTTTTCATCTGTAAAATACAGATGATGATACTTCATGGAGTTCTTAGAATGAAATGATAGTATGTAAAGTGCATGCCATATTTAAAAGTGTTCAACAAACAATCATAATACTAGAACTTTCTTTTTATTTCCTTGTACCTGTTGAGAGATAAGGCCATAAGGAAAGTTGAACACAGACTTCACACCTAAGCAAACTCTTAGCACATCCCTTGCCTAGGTTTTCAACTGCGAAGCATCTTAAGGCCCAGCTTAGAAACTCATCCTCAGTTCTCAAAAAGTTGCTGAAGCTTCAGGTCATGCCTCTGGCCCACATAACCAGGTGCTCAGACACAGTAGGTGAAATGTGACAGCACACATCCAGAAACCAAGAATCACAACTTAAATCAGACCACCACGTGTTAATATCAGCACATGGTGTGCCATCAAAACTGCCCCACTGCTGAGGGTATGGGCTTTCTTTGAAAAGCCCAACTAATTTCATACAAACTGATAAAGTGGCATATTAATCTACTATCACCTCAGAATTAGGAAGGGAAATAAATTCGTCAGAACCCTCGAAGATCAACTGTAAGCTCCGAGTGGGGAAGGGAATGTGATTTATTTATTTTTGTTTATTTTTGTTTTCACTACTCCTGGCACAGTTCTAGACATACAATAAGATTTGTATAAATATTTGATGAAGAATTGGTGGAATGGGTAAGTTGAATTCAGACTGCTATGTCAGTTTTTATATAAACACACATATACATATGTAGGTATATGTATGAAGAAAGAGGATAGAATTGATTTTATTTATCCCAGGGAAGCCAACAAGACACTGAACTCTTGCTATGAAACCCAACCCAAAGCAGGTATAGAAACACAGTGCAGTTTGGGCGAATTCCATTTAATAAGCATTTGCTGTGTGCCTGCTAAGGGAAGTGGGATCTGGTAGCAAAGAGCTGTGAACTCTGTCAGAAGACTTAGGTGGCTATATGCCCCTAAAGAAATCAAATAATACCTCTGAATCTCAGTTTCCTCACTTGTCAAATAAGGATGATCATATCTTACAGAGTAGCTGTTAAAGTCAAAAGAGATTACATACCTGAACACTTCCTAAGTGTCCCAGTTAGGACTAGGCTCAGCTACATGTATCCAAAAAGTTAAAATTAAAGTAAGTAGTATAAATGGAAGTGTGTCTTTTGCTCAAAAAAATATAAGACTGATACAGTAGCTTCACGGTCAGAAAAGGCCAGATTTCTTCTATCTTACTGCTCTGCCATCCTTAGAAAGACGGATGCTGGTACCCCAGGCAGTGCGTCTGCATTCTAGACAGCAGGAAGGATGGAGAGGAGAGCAGCGGGGAGGGGCTGAAGGTTCTTCCTCTTCACCTTTTAGGAGTCTTTCTTGGGGTTCCAGAAAACACTTCTACTTGGATCTTCTTGGTGAGGACTTAGTCATATGACCACACCTATCCGTAAAGGAGCCTGGGAAATGTAGCTTTTCTTACACTGGAAAGCAAAGTACTCATCTACAAATCAGAATTCTTTTTTTTCTTCCTTTCTTTTTGTTTTGTTTTTTTTTTTGTTTTGTTTTGTTTTTTTGAGACAGAGTCTTGCTCTGTCACCCAGGCTGGAGTGCATTGGCAGGATATGGGCTCACTGCAACTTCCACCTCCCAGGTTCAAGCGATTCTCTTGCCTCAGCCTCCCAAGTAGCTGGGATTACAGGTGTGCACCACCATGCCTGGCTAATTTTTGTATTTTTTAGTAGAGATGGGGTTTCACCATGTTGGTCAGGCTGGTATCAAACTCCCGACCTCAGGTGATCCACCCACCTCGGCCTCCTAAAGTGTTGGGATTAAAGGCATGAGCCACTGCGCCCAGCCCAGAATTATTTTTCTAAAAGAGAAATAGATATTAGGAGAAAAAAAATAGCACTCTTTGTCACATATGGCACATTAAGTTACTATCATGAAATAATTTATTAATTAAAGCACTTGTTAAGAAAACAGTATTAAAGTTCAAACCTTACTAGGTATCAGATACTGATATAGAGATTAAGGGTGTAAAGATAACAGATGTCATCTATAACTGAGAAACTCACTGTCTAGTGTACACCAGGCACTATCGTCTATCTAGTCAACCAACCCGAACAAGAAGGAAGTCCTAATACTTCTCATATCTGTCCCTTCTTCTCCAATCTCTACCCTATATGTCCAAGTTCCAGCCTTCACCTGGTCTTGAGAACCATCTTGCCTGGTCTACTGAACAGCTCCTGAATTTTCTCCTTCCCCTCAGAGGTGCCCTTCACGCAGTTACCAGTCGGCCTCCTGCTTAAAATCCACGGGTGTATCCCATCACATCCAGATGGAACCCACATTCCTTCACTTGCTATACACTGTGTGGCCCCACTGACCTCACCTAGCATCATCTCCCATCAGACCCACCTTTGACTTTCCCACAGGTAGCTCAGCCTCCATCGTGACACTCTCCACTCCCGGCTCTGCTCACATTTGACCCTGCCTGAGGCACTCTCCCCGCTCCCTCATCTGATGGATGTCTGATCATTATTTGAGATGCAGTTAAATCATCACCAACTCCAGGGAGGCTTTTCTCAGTCCTCTTCTCCTCCTTCTGCAGTTAGGGGCAGACACCTACCCTCTCCCACTCCCTTAGCAGTTCTGTACTTACATCTCCAGGTACTTAACATCTCCAGATTGCAGTGAACCATTTGTCATTTTTCTTTTCTAGCTTATGTCTTTCATCTCCGTATTCTCAGTGCTTGGCACATTGTAATAACATTCATTTCTTCGTTCACTTATTCAAGAGGAGCTCTGTTAACAAGTTAGATCCATCTCCTATTCTTACAGACCTTATAATCTTTTTAAAAATAATTTTATTTCATTTATTTTTTGAGACAGTCTCACTCTGTCACCCAAGGTGGAGTCCAGTGGTGCAATCTCAGCTCACAGCAACCTCTGCCTCCTGGGCTCAAGCAATCCTTGAACCTCAGCCTCCCAAGTAGCTGGGACTATAGATGCACCCTAACATGCCCAGATAACTTTTGTATTTTTAGTAGACATGGGGTTTTGCCATGTTGCCCAGGCTGGTCTTGAACTCCTGGGCTCAACGGATCCTCCTGCCTGGGCCTCTCAAAGTGCTGGGTAATTTTATTTTTTAAATTTTTAAATGACACATAATAATTGTACATATTTATGAGATAAATGTCCTATTTCAATATATGTACACAATGCATAGTGATCAAATCAGGGTAGTTGGAATATCCATCATCTTAAACATTTGTCATTTATTTGGGTTTGGAACATTCAGTTTCTCTCTTCTAGTTATTTTGAAATGTACACTAAGCTGTTCTTAACTATGATCACCCTACTGTGCTGTCGAAAACTAGAACTTATTCCTCCTATCTAACCGTAATTTCATATCCATTAACTGTAATTTCATATCCCTCTCCACTCTCCCCTACCCTTCCCAGCCTCTGGTAACCACGATTCTACTCTCTGCTTCTAAGAGATCAACTTTTTTTAGCTTCCACATATGAGTGAGAACATGCGGTATTTGTCTTTCTGTGCTTGGCATATTCTACTTAATATAATGTCCTCCAGGCTCACCCATGTTGCCACAAATGACAAGATTTGATTATATTTACGTCTGAGTAATATTCCATTGTGTATATGTACCACATTTTCATTATTCATTCATCCATTGATGGACACTTAGGTTGATTCCATATTATGACTACTGTGAATACTGCAGCAATAAACATAGGAATGCAGACATCTCTTTAATGTACTGATTTTGTTTCCTTTGGATATGTACCCAGTAACAGGATTATTGGATCATATGGAAGTTCTAGTTTTAGTTTTGTGAGGAATCTCCATACTGTTTTCCATAATGGCTGTACTAATTTATATCTCCACCAACAGTGTATGGGTTCCCCGTTTTCCACATCCTTGCCAGTATTTGTTGTTTTTTTGTTCCAGACCTTATAATATTAAAGGAGCTTAAGGGGAGTTTAAAAAAAAAGAGGGAATGTCAAAAAGGAGGAAAGGATGAATGGAGGGAAGAAGGAAAGGGAAAAAGAGAAAGAAAAAAGAAAGGAAAGGTAAGAAAGAAAAGAAAATGCTAGTTCAGCCCTCTGGTACATCAAATTGCTTATCCTCATGACAGTCCCTAAAACATTTGAAAGCTGTTGTCATAGTCATGTTAATTCTCCTGTTTCCTAATTTAAAAAATATTTTCAGACTCCCTCCTCAACACATTCTCTAATACCACTTCTACACTTACTCTCTTCTTTCAAAATCACCTTACTTTCCAAGGTTGGTTCTCCTAATAATAAACATTTCTCCTCAAAAACCTAATCCTTTTTGTATTTTTTTAGAAAAATGAAATTTAAGCATATCAGTAATTGGCAATGAATGGAAAGGCTGAGAGTTCAAAGTTTTAAATCAGCCTTTTGAGGGGCTCTATAACACAGGACCCTTTTAAGGAGCCTTGACAGGAATGTTAATTACTTAAGCAAAGTCCGGCATGACACACACTTACACAAGTGTCTGGTCAAACTTGAGCAACAAATGTAACCTGAGGTCTCCGGCTCATCTTTCTGCTAAACAGAGCTCCAGGATTCAAACAGGATTAGTGCCAAGGACCTGTTCCTATTCAAAAATAAACCATTATAGAAAGCCCAGCATTTTATTCAAGTGGCTGATGATGTCTCATGAGTCCCTTCAGCTGCACAAACTAAGACCTTCTCCCTTGACGGTCTTGACCACAGAGCTGCTGTTGGGAACTTTAATATAACAGCAATTCCAAGCATGCTCGTGCTTCGACGAAGTAAGGAGATACCTTCATCACAACACGGCTGTGGGAAGGTCTCCCGTTCCCAAAAGATCTCCCCACCAGAGGGAAAATTCTTTTATTCTCTCTGTAGATCTAAGTACTGAAAGTTGTCATTCATTCTCTTTCATTCAACAATGAGTAACAACGTTTCTTTTAGATGTAAGAGGTTGTGTGGTAAATTTACTGTCCTGCCCTGGAAAAGTGCAGGGTCTACCTGGGGGAAATGGGCTTGTGTGTTAACTCTGATGACCCAGTGTGATACATGCTGTCACAGCAGTGCATTTGGGGGACTCTGTGACATCAAAAGCGGATAGTGATGCTAAGGGATTAGAGAGGCCTTCTCGTGGGAGGTGATGCTCAAAATGGGTCATTTAAAATGAGCAGAGAACGCTGGGAATGGGCTGCAGAAGAAGTGAAGGGATGAGGAGGACACTCCAGGTTGAAGGGGCTGCTGGTGCAAGTGTCTGGACTTATTGAAGGACATGAAGAATCCAAGGCAGGGGATTTGGCACAGCTGGAGGGTAAGGACTTGGAAGGGTAAGGAGGGCAATGGGAACTGGAGCTGGAATGGGAAGCCAGTGAATCCTAGCTCCTTAGCTCATGTTGATTCGGGTAGCAAGCCGGCTGTCTAACTGTGCCCAGCAAAGATGGTGCACACAACAGATAAGTTTTGAAGAAGAGGTTGAGAAAAAGAAACTTTAAACATGTGATATGCTTCTACATTATGGCCAAATGCTACACTGGGGTTCCCTGATCATTCAGGAGGCAAGATCCTTAGAAGGAAGGAGGAAGAAACCCAGACGATGGGGGAGGGTGAGGAAATCAACTGAAGCCATTGCACATCTCTGCTCTGAGTAGCAACTATTACCCATATGTCAGCACTCGGTGAAAGGAGAAATCCAAACCATGGATCAAATCACAAGAGACAGTTACTGCTAGCTGTCTACCCAGTATCATCTTGATATGGTTTGGCTGTGTCCCCACCCAAATCTTATCTTGTTCCCCTAATCCCCACGTGTCATTGGAGGGACCTAGTGGGACGTAATTGAATCATGGGGGTGGTTACCCTCCTGCTCTTCTCATGACAGTGAGTGAGTTCTCACAAGATCTGATGGTTTTATAAGGGGCTTTTCCCCCTTTTGTTCATTCTTCTTCTCCTTGCTGCTTGTGAAGAAGGACATGTTTGCTTCCCCTTCAGTCATGATTGTAAGTTTCCTGAGGCCTCCTAAGCCATGCTGAACTGTGAGTCAATTAAATCTCTTTCCTTTATAAATTACCGAGTCTCGGGTATGTCTTTATTAGCAGTGTGAGAACAGACTAATACACAACTCTTCCCTTATTCTTTACTAACAGATCTCTAGTTTTATTCAGGATGGCACTGTGCCTAGGTACAGGTAGATGTGGGCATGTGACCAAGTTCTGTTCAGTGAGATGCAAAAAGAAGTGTTATGTGGGATGCTGTGAAAGCTCCTAAAAAGGCAGACAGATAGCTGACACATGCTTCATTTGTCCTTTACCCTTTTACTTTTCCCTGCCTGGAATGTTGATGTGATGGATGGAGTGCCAGCAGCTATTTTGTGGTCCTAAGGGTAAAAACTACATACTACGGACATAGGTGTAGCAGAAAGATATGATTTCATAGATCCACTATATGAGCATTGGACTGCCACCTACATCCAGACCTCTTTTATGTAAGAGGATAAAACTTTAAATTGTGGAAGCTACCATATTCAGGATTTATCCTAACTGATCAACCACGTAATTTGACCCTCCTTCCCTTCCTCTTGGCAAAGAGAAATAATTTACAATTCTTTCTAAATATGTTCTCCTCTCACTTGGGACTCAGAGTATGCACTTAAGGAAGACATATGCACCTGGGGAATTGAAAATTTAACTGCCATTATTGCTGCTTCTTCCCCCGAAACCATAATCCTATGTTCTCGTTGTCAAATTGTTAAGCAAAGGATTACAGGCATACAGGAGGCATGGAGAGTATCTGCGGGACTCACAAAAAAGAATAAGTTAACTGTCATACTATTGATTGTACACTAGGTGACAAGTAAGGAAATTTGCAAAGGAAGAGGAAAGAAAACATAGGCAGAGGGCATAAAGTATTTTTCAGACATACTTGCATAATAATAAATAATTCATGTCAGTAAGAAAATGAGTAAATAAAATTTGATATAGCTATATGACAAAATTCTATACAGCTGTTAGAAAGAATGAGGAATTGTGGTAAGTGCTGCAATGGAAAGGTCATTAAGAGTTATTGAGGCAGGGTGCAGTGGCTCATGCCTGTAGTCCCAGCACTTTGAGAGGCCGAGGCAGGCAGATTATGAGATCAGAAGTTTGAGACCAGCCTGGCCAACATGGTGAAACCCCATCTCTACTAAAGATACAAAAAATTAGCTGGGTGTGGTGGCATGAGCCTATAATCCCAGCTACTCGGGAGGCTGAGGCAGGAGAATCATTTGAACCCCGGAGGCGGAAGTTGCAGTGAGCTGAGATTGCACCATTGCACTCCAGCCTGGGCAACAGGGTGAGACTCTGTCTCCAAAAAAAAAAAAAACAAAAAACAAACAAAAAAAGGGTTATCAATTGGTTAAAGAGCAAGTTACAAAACACTATGTAGACAAACGTTAGATGAATGAATGGCCAGATCAACTGACAGACAGACTGACAGACTTCATGCAGTGGAGATCATGTTTTGAAGATATGCAACCCATGTGCTTTCCATTCCCTTCCCAGCAGCCACTCTCCCACTCCCTCAGGGAAGGTGGGACAATGAGGGCAGGAGGAGAATAGGATGCAAGGGGGGGTCCTCATCCTCTGTTGTTGGGGCAACAGGAGAAGGAAAAAGAAGAGGTTTGCTTGTTGGCATCATGGATTCGCATCTCCCACATGGGAATGAAATTCCAGAAAGATGAAGAGGGTCAGAGTTATGTTTGTTAAGAGAAAGCTGCTTGGAGCATGTACCCTACTTCCCACTAGGAATTCCTCGGGGGACAGAGGGACCCCCATACCCAAAGATCCTGCAGTTGCATGAAATTACAACGACATAGTAACACTGGCAGTTGAGCACATTCAGGCTGCAGGAAGGTACTCCAAGGCTACCACTGTTCTCAGGAAAATGCAGAAGGAGCCGATGGTGATAGGAGATGTTTGCTACATTTGTCATTGCATATAATCTCTACCAGGAGAACTGCCTACAAGTTCACCAGCCATAGACTTCCTTAACAGACACCAGCCCAAGACGCCCAGCCAGACCTGAAGCAGAGGATGTCAAGTCCAGATGCCAGGGCTTAAATTCAACTCTATTACCCACTTCTATTGGCCCTCCCCAACTAGGAAGGAGGTAGCACTTGGGGAAAAGTAGTTAATTAATAAAATAGATGCTACATTTTCTTAGCATATCTGCAAGGTAGTGTTTTCAACTCCATTACATTAAAGTTTCAGAAGGATATCCAAGTAACCATTTTGAAGTTTAAGAAATAGGACTGAGAATTAGGGGAAAAGTGGGAGAAGACTTATTTCTTTATACTCTTCAGTCAGGTTCGAATTCTTTCACTACAGGCATCTATTGCTTTCAAAATATTTAAAAACTTAAGTTTTAAAAATGTCTTTCTCAACAGAGTTGGTTCCACAAGCATTTTCCACAAGGCATCACAATGTTTGTGAGTGATTCACAAAGTAAATCAATGCCAGTATTAAGGACCCCTCAGACACACTGAATTAGTGGGAATTAAGGGAATTTGGGCCACTGCCTTGGGTCCAGCTGATAATAAATAACAGCCAATGTTTCTTAAATGCTTACAATGTGCTATGTACTATGTCAAGCCCTTCACCTGCGTTAACTCACTCACTCCTCAATGACCCTACGAGTTAGCTTCCAGGGCTTGGGTAAGAATCTGGGATTGTTGCTCTTGGGGCCACTGGTTCCATCCACTTTCCTCTTCAGCTTCCTGAGGGCTGAGCTCTGCTGATCAGTGACTCCCTGGCCTCTTTAGAAATGAGCTCTGCTGGGACTGATCAGCTGAGGAGGACCAGCCACCCAGCTAGAGCGATACAGAAGAAATGTATTCAGAGACAGGGACTCACTGTGGGACTCAGACTAGTTGCCCACTCAATGCCTGTGAAACATCCGTGACAGTTCCTTTTCCTAACATCCAGTGTGTGTGTAAGCTCAGAGGCCTCAAACCCATCTCATCTGATCTCCAGACTGCACATGCTCTAACAGGGCTGGGAGCACCAGAACTACCACCACCTACATGGGCCTCATCCCCATGGGCTGAGGCCAGCAGAGCGAGTCACCAGGTGCAGGGAGTGCTGCAGCTGCCCTTCTGCCTTCTCTTCCCATATAAGTACTCAACGGACACATCTTTGCAGAGATAATTATGGGTCACGCACAAAGGCCTAGGACTCAGATGGCCTTCAAAACTAGGCTCAGAGGCCTTCTAGCCGAGAGAGCCCCTGAGTCACACTTGCTTGGCAATGTACTTGGGATAACGGTAAAAATGGAAACTGCTACGGTGGTGGGGGAAAGCTAGAGGGTGGAAGGAAGGATCCTGGAAGGCCATGCCATTCCCAGTTTCATTCCAGGTCTATTAAGGATTGTGAGCTGTGCTAAGTTCTCTTCTGGTCCTGGGGGATAAATGAAACTTTGGCATTTTTAGTTTCCCTTCAAAAGAAGAAGAATAAGAAGAAAAGAAACACAAAAACAGGAAGCAGCTGGATTTATTTCTCCAACTTTGATTTACGCCCCCTTTCAGCTCAAAATCATTATTTTTAAATTAATAATTTAACTGTCTCTCCTGAGAAAAACGAGGGATAACTTATCTGTTCTTAAAAAGAAAATAAGTCCAAAGGGCAAAGAATCTGCCCCCTTTGAAATAATTCTCTCCAGAAAAGCTATAAATAAGATTTCTGATTCAAAATTGAGATAAGGTTATCTGAGGGAGATGGGGAAAAAAACTGCCAAAGAAAAAATTTATGCTTATATTAGCAAACTCCCCAAAAGGATTAGGTCCTTGTAGTTAAGAGGATTTTTTTAAAGCTTCTTCCTAATTAGGAAAAAAAGTAAAATTAATATCTGTAAACCCCTTCAGACATTTGAACTTAATTTCACGTAACCTGGCTGGCCCTTGGAGTTTCCAAGGTCCTTGTGTTTGCCAAACCTCTCTAGCCTAATCCACGTCCACTGCCTCTAATTGTCTATGCCTTAACCTCTGCAGTCCAGACTTTGCTTGTCACCACCCAATATGTTACTAATCACCAAATGGAATTCTCTTGCATTTTGCAGGATCAGACACAGCTAACCACTGCTCCATCCCACAACCCACACCATCCCATTTTGCCTACTTGTCTATCTTCCATGTTTTTCGTTAACTTCTTAGGTCTTTCTCCATTGCCATAATGGAATCCAACTAATTACAGTCGTCCCTTGGTATCTTGGGGGATTGGTTCCAGGACCCCCAACAGATACCAAAATCCAAGGATGATCAAGTCCCTGACATAAAATGGCATACTATTTGGACATCACCTATGCACACGCTCCCATATACTTTAAGTCATCTCCAGGTTACTTATAATACATAATACAATGTTAATTTCATGTAAATAGCTGTTATACTGTATTGTTTAGGAAGTAATGACAAGAAAAAAATGCCTGTACAGACACAATGTTTTTTCCAATAATTTTGATCCCAGGTTGGTTGAATCCATGGATGCAAAAACCCATGGATACTGAGGGCAGACCATACTTCTGTCACACTCTTTTTCTCCATGTTCTCATCCAATCTCAGGTCTTTATTTAACACTGCTTATGGCAGAGATTGCTAGCTGTCCTGAATATCTGTTCTTCCCTCTTCCAAAATAATAGAACTGTAGCTAAGAATCAGGCCTCTTGGAATAAAGTATACATTGTCCAGCCTCCCTTGCAGCTAGGTGTGACCATATGACCAAGTCTGGCCTGCAGAATGTGAGAAGTTGGGTTTGCAGTATCTAGGTTGTGCCCTCAAATGAGCTGGGTGTGCCCTCACTTTTTCCCATCTCCCCCTCCCTGGGAGTGGAATGTAGGCACACTGACGTGCCACCTTGGCCCATTCAAATGAGGGCTACCAATTAGTAAAAGTGGAGCAAAAGGACAAGGATCCAAAGCCCTGCATGGATTACTCTGACATCTCTCTTACATATGTCACTGTTATCTGGGAGTCTTTGTTATAGCAACCAAGTTTGTATCCTGACTAGTATGCCATCACAGTGATATTAAAATCAATGTGTCTGCTTAGCCCAGGTCTCACTCCTGCAAACCACTGTATTCTCCAAATCTAGAGACTCTCTCCACTTGGCTGCTGCCCCAGATTCAACCTAAAGTGTGACTCCTTCCCCAGTCTACTTTCTTCCCAATTTTCCTTCTTGTTTGGGCATCTAGTTCCACATTTTCTCTGCTGAAGACCTTCATATTATCTTCACATTATCATCTTATCCTTCAGGACCCAAGTCCTATTCAAGATGTTCTTCCAAGCCTCTCAAAACTATCTCCTGCCCTACAAACCTCACCCTTGCCCTAATGAAGGCCCTTACTGTGGGAAATCTGTGCTGCCACAGTAACAACTTTCTGCCTACAGTACTCTCCATCTACTGCAACCCAGTAGGCGCCACCATTTATTGAGCACCTACTAGGTGCCAAGCACTGGGTTGGACACTGTATGCACATTCTCTCTAATCACAAGCACCACTAGGGTAGGCATGTTACAACAGTCCCCCTTTATCCACAGTTTCACTTTCTACTGTTTCAGTTACATGTGGTACAGTATAACAATCTTTTGAGAGAGAGGGATCATGACTGTATTCACACGACTTTTATTACGGTATATTAATATAATTGTCCTATCTTACTAGTTATTATTGTTGTCATAGGTACACATGTGTAGGAAACATAGTAAATATAGGGCTCAGTGTTATCCATGGTTTTTGGCATCCAGTGGGCATCTTGGAACATATCCCACACAGATAAGAGGGGACTGCTGGTATTATTATTCTATAGACAAGGAAACTGAGGTTCTAAGAGATTAAATAAAAGCTGCCCAAGATGACACAAGTAGTAAGTGGTAGGAACAGAGTGTGAACACAGGAATATACAAGTTCCATTCTGCCACTTGGCACATTGGAGTATTCATAAACAATTGCTAAGTGGATGAATGGATGAATGAGTGAATGCCTCCCCACACTCACTCTTGACCACCTTTCTAAATCACACCTTTCATTATGTAATTTTCATTCTCCCAGGACAGAGCCAAGGATTAATGCCCCATAATTTTCATTGATCCCCATCCCCTTAGTAACCCCAAATAGGATACCATCCAAGTAAAAACAGTGTGTTTGCTATGCAGTGTAGCTTTAGGGCAAGACCTCAAAACTTTACCACTGCCCTTTCCCAAAACCACCCTCAAGTAAATACACAACCTAGGTAAAATCTTTTGCTTGCTAGCTCTAAGACAGATCCTCTACCCCTTCCATCACCCCTACCCTCCACCTGAGAGCTATCCTTAAATTGCTCCTAGACAGAAATTTTGGAGTCCCCACTATTCTCAGGGCACTCAGGTATTCACATTAGTAAATATCAAATTCCCCTGGCCTGGCTTCAAGGCTCTCCATGCTTCAGGCAAAGGTACCTTTGCAACCTCATCCCCAGCACTCTCCCTCAGAGAACTCCAGCTCCAGGCAGCACTGGTCTGTCAAAGGCCCTCAGACAGGTTACCTTTCCTAGCTCCATGCCTGGGGCCCTGCAGTGGCTGCCACTGGCCTTCTTTCTATGCTGAACTCTGCCCACTGGATACTTCCAGGCCCATCTTAAAGTCAGCTGTGAGGCCTCTGATGTCCCATGCTCTCTCCTTCCCTAGACTTCTAGAGCACTGGCTGTCCAAAGGCTGCCCACAGCTCATAGAATGAAATCCAAATTCCTTACCTAGGTCCTCCATCACCTAGTTCTGCTTTTCTCAATTTCTAGGACCTTCCTCGAAAAGGCCCAGCATGTTCCTGTTTGGGGGCCTTTCTATTTGCTATTCCACCACCTGGAGTATTCTTCCCCCATATGGCCCACTCTCTCACCTCCTCCAGATCTCAGCTCAGACCAGAACTGTGAGAGCCCTTCCTTTCCCATCCCTTACAAAACAGCTACACTTTACCACCCCATCGTACCCTAACCCTATATCCCCCCTTGACCTATTTCATTTTTAACCATTGTCACCTGGGACATTATATAGGTATTTGTTTATTTTCTGTTTCTCTTTACTAGAATGGATGCTCCACTAGGACAGGGACCTTATTTTTTTCATAGTAGTGCCTGGCACTCAGTAAATTGATATTTAATAAATGAACCAATGAATGAATGAATCTACTATTAAACTCCATCTTAAGCACAGCTCGTCTACACCAATTTTCTTTTTTCTTAAGGCTCTTAGACTACACCAAGCTTGTTCCCTACTTCAGCATATTTGTACTTCTGGTTCTCAGGGGCAGATCCAGGTTTTATGGGGTCTAAAGCTTCTATAACTAGGTGTGGGTAGGCAGAGTGGGCAGCATGTGGGCTGGTGGTGAGGGGGGGGTGTCTTTAAGAGAAATTACAAATGCAAAATAGCTAAGGCCCCTCCTAGGCCCCTGGAGAGGCATAAAGGGTGGAGCCCAGAACGTCATCTTCATGGCTCCCTGGGAAATCCTCCCACACACATTCCTATTCCCTTTGCCTCTGTGTGAGAGATCATTCTCTCTCAGGTCTCCTGATGGCACCTGCTGTGCCAGCCAGGCCTCCGTTCAAAGTTGTCCCCTCCTCAGAGACGAGTTCTCCCCAGCCCCCCTCTTTTACCCTATTTTCCTCATATCACTTTCATTGACTGACATGATCTGTATTAGTATTTCATTTAGTTGCTTATTATCTGTCTTTACCACAAGAACGTCAGCTCTTAAGGGACTTTGGTGCAACAGTGTAGGGTGCCTGGAACAATGCCTGCCTCATAGTCATGCTCTAAAAAGCTTTGCTGCAAAAGAAAACAAGCCCAACAGCCACCTCCCACATTCTCTGAAAACCCAAATGATAAATTAGATCCTGGTAAAGAAATTAACTGTCCTCTTTACCTCCCTTCTCTGTGACCTCTGAGGTGAGCCATGGTCATTCTTTTGCTAACAACCACAGACAAGGAACCACTTACTGGCTCTTGCAGAGCTCCTTCTACTTCAGCCAATCCCCAAAGAGAACTTCCTGCTCCTAAAGGATGAAAAGTTCAGGGCTTTATTTCACATGTTATTTTTGAATTTGCTAGGATTTTCTAGTAAATGTAGTAAAGAGTATTGTTCGATGAAGGTTTTTGGTTGTATTTTCATCATCCTTTCCCATGATGAGTGGTAATCTCACCTGTGTAGGTGTATAGCTTTGATGAAATTTCAATGTCATTTTCTGCTCCCTTCACTGTGGTATCAAAATAGTTTAACTCTTGCAGGGAATCTCTCATGTATTCCCCTTAAAAGTGTTTGATAGCTCACTGGCTCCCAAATCTGGCTGCCCTTGCATTCACCTGTGGTGCTTGTTAAAAACAAACATTTGGGGAACTTGCCCTAGGTCTGTCAGAGGCCTTGGAACCAGAGTGACTCCATCTTGAATAGGCATTGGGTAAAATGAGGCTGAAAGCTCCTGCCCTGTATTCCCAGGAGGTTAAGCATTCAGAGTCACAGGATGACATTGGAGGTTGGCACAAAATACAGGTCACAAAAACCCTGCTACTAAAACAGGATGCAGTAAAGAAGGCAGCCAAAACCAAGATGGCGATGAAAGTGACCTCTGGTCGTCCTCACTGGTCATTATATGTGAATTATAATGCATTACCATACTTAAACTCCCACCAGCACCACAGCAGTTTACAAATGCCATGGCAACATCTGGAAGTTACCCTATATGGTCTGAAAGGAAGAATTCCCAGAAAACTCATGAATAATCCACCCCTAATATATCATATGATCAAGAAATAACCGTTAAAAACAGCCAAACAGCAGCCCTGGGGCTGCTCTGCCTATGGAGTGGTCATTCTTTTATTCCTTTAATTTCCTAATAAACTTGCTTTCACTTTAATCTGTGGACTTGCCTCGAATTCTGTCTTGCGCAAGATCCAAGAATCCTCTCATGGGGCCTGGATTGGGGCTGCTTTCTGGTAACTGGTCCACTTAATCAGAATCTCCAGAGGCTATCAGGACATTCCCTGTGTTTAACAAGCACCTCAGGTGATTCTGATGTTTAGCCAACTTTGGAAACTGCGGTGATTCTAACAGATTTGGATGAGAAAGGAATCTTCAAGATACTTACAAAACGAAGGTCAAGACAACTGGACCAACCCAGAAAACACAAGTATGTTTACGAATGTCGTCTAATGAAAAATGAAAACATTCACCCCACCTCCACCCCACACAAACCATTTTCCTTGATTTGTACAAGTTAGGGCACTGGCTGGACAGGGGCATTCAAGAAGGAAAAACTACTGAAGTCTCAAGTTCCCGGGCTACCCCCTTTGAGAAACTTAAGCATGTCTGAAAATGGCATGAAACCTTTTCAATTTTGAGACAATCAAGCAGGAGACTGAAGGAGTAAATTACTAAGCCCTTTGCACCTGGAGGAATTATGGCACTTTCCAGACACATTCTGTGAATGTGGGCCAGCTCCTGGAGGAGTGAAGCAGAAAGAAAATAGCACCCGTAAAAAGGAAACCCTCCAGGTAAGCTTGGGAAAGCTGCTGGAACACTCTAAGCCTCTGTTTCTTAATTCACAAAATGGGCAGAAAACCAGGCTATCTCACAGAATGAAATAAGTTCAGGTTTCTACAGAAACATTATTCAAATGTGGCTGTTCTCCTGCCTATCCCAAGCCAGGCTCAAATCTTCCACCTTAATGGAAGCTTACCCCATTACCTCCACTCAGGCAAAAACCTTTCCTTCTCTGGGGGGTGGGGAATGGAGTGGGAAAAAAGAAAGTCATTGGTAAGAAGGTAAGGAGCAATAGGTAATCAGGAAAAATCACCTGATGAAATTGAATTCGGACCTGATTTCGTCTATTTTAGCCTTTCCTTTTTTCTTTTCCATGTCCCCGACTTGCCCTAACCCCTTTCTGTGCAAGCACTCACTCCTGCCTTCTTTATATGGAATGGTTCAGATGCCTGAGCGGGGCTTGAGGAAAGTACACCTGGCTCACTGCAGTTCTGCACAGCACACTGGAGCACATGTAGGGTAGCTCATTAAGCATATTGTACAATGTCACAGAACATATCATGAGTTATAATGTCATAGCAATGAAAAATTTACTGTGTGTCTTAGTTCAGGCTGGCATAACAGAATATCATAGACCGTGTGGCTTATACACAACAGAAACTTAAATCTCACAGTTTTGGAGCCTGGGAAGTCTAAGATCAAGGCACCAGCAGAGGCAGATTCAGAGTCCAGTAAGGCCTCGCTTCCTGGTTCATACAGGGCTTTCTTTTTGCTGTAAATCTCATGGCAGAAAGAATAAGGGAGCTTTCTGGGCCTTCTTTTATAAGGACACTAATCCAATTCAGAAGGGCTTTGTCCTCATGACCTAATCACCTTCCAAAGGCCCCATCTCCTAATACCATCATATTGGGGGTTAGGGTTTCAATATAAGAATCCGTGGCAGCAGAGAGTGGACACAAACATTCAGTCAGCATTATGTATGTTCACTGGTTTCCAAACTTCATGGCCATCTTCTTTACTGAACATCTACTAGGCATTAGGGTTGGTACTGGGAATATGGTGGTGAGCAAATGAGACAAAAATATCTGGCTTATACCCTCTGGAAGTATCAGATTTCCCATAATATTATCAATATCAGTTATCAGGAAAAGAAACTCTCTTCTTTCCATTGAACTTTATAGTTAAGTATAGCAATCTCCAAATGTTTGTAAATCAGTAAAAAAAAAAAAAAAATTGGACCACAAACCTCTATTATATATGTATATTTATTTATTCAGAACTTACATACATGAAGTTCTGTACTATTATAGTATCTATTGTAAAACATCTACATAAAATAGAAATGTGTAGAGGATAAGATAATTTCTTTTCATTGTTTGTTTGTTTTATTATCTCAGGGGATCAACTTGCACAGGTCTAGAACAGTGTGGACTGGCTAAATCAATTTTAAATTCCACGTCAGTAACTTACTACCTGTGTGACCTTGGCCAAGTGATCTAACGATTCTGTGCGGCAGTTTTCTCTGTAAAGTGGAGAAAACAGCAGTACCCAATGCAGTGTTACT
This sequence comes from Homo sapiens, assembly GCF_000001405.40. Taxonomy (NCBI): domain Eukaryota; kingdom Metazoa; phylum Chordata; class Mammalia; order Primates; family Hominidae; genus Homo; species Homo sapiens. Next base: position 63,948,004 of record NC_000001.11, on the reverse strand, counting down.
GACAGGGTAAAAATGAGATAATTTAGGTAAAGTATTTATTCCTGGCATATTATAAACACTCATAATGACAGCAACTATTAGCAACATAATATTATTATTACTAAGTGGTATCTGTTCACCAGCATGATTTCAGAAGACAGATTGTGTGTCTCCTAATATGAAATCCTAAAGGGTGGAGGATAGGCTTCATTGGTATCAGGTATCAGGAGGGCCAAGGGTTCAAGACCCAACTGGGGATCATATTCTCCACTGTAACAGATGCAGGTAGGACATTATGTCATGTGGTATATGTTCCCATTATAAATCTTCTTGCTTTAGCCCCCAGGAAGGTCTTCTAGCTGACACCAGCTCACACAGGTCTCAGCTATCACCTCCCGCCGGCCACCCCACCTCCTTCACAGTAAGCCCTCTTGGTTGATGGGGAGCCTGCAGTGGAGCTGGCTGGTACATACATTACAGGTTATTAAAGGGCATGGAAAAATGCTCAGGCTTCAATGCAGACCCAAGAGCAGTTTTCAAATTTCCCTGTTTGGATGGGAATGCTTTAACACTGAAGTATGTTTTCCTTGGCAGAGGTACCCTCCATTAGATGCAATTTCTTCCTGACATTTCAAGAATTGTTTTATGTCTGTGTTCTCTATAAGGAGTATCCATGGAGGTCAGAACGGAAATTATAGTTCTAAGAATGCCATATTAGCATAGATGGTAATGCATAAGCCCCAAGCTAAATATCCCCATTCTGGCTAGCCTGCCAGTGCGATGATTAACAAGTTGGGCTGCCATACAGGGGACTGTACTGGGCGCGCTCCCGGACTGCTGCTCCTGGGCCAACATGGGCAACGTGTGTTTAGTCTATCAGAGTATTTACTCAGGACGCCAATCACCGTGGAACCGAGACAGCAGTCTGAGAGAGGACTCCCTGAATCCCCTGGAGAACACGGGTCAGGAGAAGTAGATCTATTTTTTCACAAGATTCCTTTCCCAGCCTAATGTAGCCTCCACTGGCAGGAAGGATTTGGTATGCTGGTGAATCATGGTAGCTTCAGGCAAACCTGACTGTGAAAGGTATGGCTTCAGAAGGGTCAGAGGTCTGGTGAAGCCTTACTCCCTCCGTTAGGAGCCAGGCATGTGGTGGTATCCACCACCTCAACCCTTGACAAGATCACGTCTGGCATTAGGATATCCTTTGTACCAGTTTTTCTGTCTTGGATCCAACATGCCTTGAGGAAGCAAGGATGACCTGTGCCTGTCACAGATATACAGAGCCTGGATGTAGAAGAAAGAGGCCATGATTTAGAATCTAAATACCTGAATTCAAATCCTACCTCTGACCCTTAATAGTCATATAAATCATCTCACCCCTCTGAGCCTCTGTTACTTCCTTTATATAGTGGAAATTATATCTTTCTTCAAAGATTGCCTTAAAAATTACATGACAAAAACAAAAGTTGAGGTATATGCTCAATTAGTATATGTTGAAAATTGATTTAGCCATTCCACACTGTACCTATATATCAAAACATATGTTGTACACCACAAAAACATTTTTTTAACTTGAATACATTCGATTCTGTGCCACTGTCAAACAAAGTTAGAGGCAATATAGCATAAATTAAGCAGACACAAAACTGGTTAAACAGACATTGGGGAAAAACGCTGGGGGAGGTTTTCAGAGATAGTTATATCTGGAAGATGTTCTCTTCCTGCCCAAATTTATACCCAAACCTTCTAGTCCCCTTGGCAGTAAAGCAGAGAGGAGGAACCAATAGCTATTTGATTAGGTTGAATATTATAGTGTGTGTGTCCTGAGAGAGAACTATGAGCCTCAAGCACCTGCCCAGAGCCACACACCAGCCAACAGAAGCAGTACCAAGCCAGGGATAAAGAAATGTCACAGAGGATGTGTCTGGGCTATGACAGCCAAACTTTAATGAGTGCAGGAGAGAAGCTGAGAATTCTCTGTAGCTGAAACAAACTTACTTCTGATAGCACAATTGCCTAGGAGGACCAGGAAGCATGGAAGAAAAGATCCGGCAGAACAAGAGGGAGATGATTCCTCTATGATCTGGCCTGGGGGCTCCCCAGTTCTCCAAAGTAGAGGGACTAAAATTATCACTAGCACCATGTTGCAGCTAGAGCAACCTATGAACTGCACCTTCTTGTATTTTTGCTAAGAATCTATTTAGTAAACTATATGTAATTCAATTGACAATATGTCTTGAATTTGTTTAACAAATCTCATGTGAGGAATAAAGTATAATGTTTAAGATCTATCACTTCAGAGATTAGAATGCAGAAGAGAAGGCAAGGCTCTAAGTCACCCAATTAAGGGCCAAATAAGTGTAGAACCAGGACAACCCTGCTGGGTATGTTTGATGTAGCAAGTAAAGGTATAAAAGGGAGGGAGAGTGGGAAAGTCGATCCAGGCAACAGTAGACTGATTCTGGTACTAGAAGGAAACAACATTAAACAATGGGTGAGCCTGCTCCCCAGAAATAGGCCATCTCTTCATCAGTGTTTTTCAAACTATAGGTCAGGGGACTGTACAACAGATCATTAAATCAATTCCATGGCTCTGCACCCACATAAAATGAAAGAAATGAAATGGACTAGTTTAAACTGCAATGAAATGGAAAATAATAAAAAATATTAGAGTGAATCACACACAGAAAATATTGTTCCGTGAAAGCTGTATTTACATGGGACTGAGTGTATTTACATGTTATTGCATGTGTATACCGAGATATGATCTTTTTTAGTTTAACAGTCAAAAAAGTTTTAAGTCCACTGCCTTATAGACCCTTAACAAGTCTCCAAGTGACACCGTTTGAAAACTACAGAGGACCATACTAATGTGGGTCGTTTTAACCTTTTCCCATAATTTGCATTCTCAGGCCTTCCAATATATTATCGCCTGGATGTTCGATGATTTTCAACCCTTCTTCCACAATATAATCTCCTGGGATATAAAAAATTACCAAAGCCCAGGTCACCCTGGATTCTAACTGGTCTGGGTGGGGCCTGACAAAAGGTATTTTTTTAACACTTCCCCAGGTAATTTTAATATGCAAGAGAGGTTGAGAGACACTGAATTAGGTCATTTTATCCTTATAACACCCCTGTGGGAAAAGCAGAGAAGAGATGATTATCCCAACTTTTCAGACAAGGAAATTAAGGCCCAAGGCAATTAGGAGATTTGGCCAAGGATGTATCCATGATGTCAGTGTCAGAGCTGGGTGAGAAGCCAGGTCTCCTGACTCTGCATCCAGAGCACCCTCATCCCATGAACCACACTCACAATTTTATCCAACATCTTTCCATTTAAAACAAGGAGACCACTGAGAGGATAGAAGAAAAATGATTAGAATTTCAGCATTTCTTTGCACAATCATTCTCAGAAATGCATCAACAAATACAAGTTCCTCCTTACTGGAATAACGAAATAGACCACTTAAGTAAATCAAACCATTTGACATAGGCTAAGAGAGCTATTGATACTAGTTTGCCTGTCTCCAAGGAACAAAATACTGAAAGGCAAGGGCTTAAAATGAATGAAAATGTATCCAATGCACAATCAAATGAAAATGCTGTGGGCCCATGGCCAGGGATTATCTGCCGATTGGATCTCTTTCCGCACCCTAAATTTAACCAGCTGGGATTCTTTTTTTTCTTCTTCCTTTTTTTGTGAAGTGTCATCTTTTTCAACCTTCTGAAAGGAAGAGATTTTCCTTTTAATGGGAAATCTGTATTTCATCATAAAGATGAACACAACGTGCTTGGTTTAGCCAATCTCCTGGGAAGTAGGTTCTTTGTGTATCAAATGCTTGGCATAAAAGACTCACATTCCAGCAAGTTTATTTCAGGCATGAGAGACTAGAAGCATATATCTGTGGAATTTAAGGTATAATCTCACCTCCATTCCCAACATGCTAATAATACTTTATATTCCTAGATCATTCAACTGCTTTCACAAATCAATATAATCTCTAAATTTCCAAGCAATGAATGAAGTCTCCAAAATGCAATGAGTAAATGAAGGTGATGCTATGTTGTGTATGTGTGTGTATGTGTGTGTGCCTGTGTGCAGAAAAGACAGAGACGAAAGAATAAACTCTGGTATTTACAGTGATTATGTCTGAGCTGTATTATTGGTTTCTCTCTTTTCTTTTTGTTTGCATTATCATAACTTTTCTATAACAAATACTTAGTACTTTGCATCTTAGAAGAAAATTATTTTAATGGGAAAAGAACAATAATAAATCACAAGTGAAAATTAGGAATGCCTCTACCTATAATCAAATGACAAAGTCAAGGTTCTCTCTGCAAATGTGACCAGCCAGCTTGGTGGCGGGGAGCAGTTAACCACATGGCTCCACCTCCAGCCTGCAGAGACAGAGCTCTCACCCGGTATCTGCTCTGCTAATGCCAGCAGTTACCAGATGAGCTTTTTTCCCTTCCTGGGCCTGGGGAGAATGGCTCTCCAGGAAGGACTTGGAGACCACACTGGTGAGGGACCAGTGGAGCTGGGTTCCTCTACGGACTTCCTAAAGAGCAAGGCTGTGAAGCACAGGGGCTTGCCCTGAGCTGTATCCAAGCTGAGACCAATTGCTCTAACCTGGGAAGGGTAATTTGAGTTTGGGTGTCGGTGCCTGGGCTGAGGTTTAGCCTTCCCTTGGGCTTCACTCAAGGATTGCTACAGAGGAGCAACCATTCCCACAGTTCAACAAGCAGCCTTGGGATCATCTCTCAGGCTGAGTGAGTTGTGGCACAATGGGAGTCTGAAGTTTGAAAAGATAAAGGAATCCAGGAAGGAGGTGTCATCTGTGTACCTATTCATTCATTCAATATGTCCTGAGTAGCTCATAGGCATGGCTGCTGCACTTAATCTTTTTTTTTTTTTTTTTTTTTTTTAAAGACAGGGTTTTGCTCTGTTGCTCAGGCTGGAGTGCAGCGGTGGTGTAATCACAGCTTGCTGCAGTCTCTACCTCCTGGGCTCAAGTGATCCTCCCACTTCAGCCTCCTGAGTAGCTGGGACAATCGTCACGCTCCACCATGCCTGGCTAATTTTATTATTTTTTGTAGAGATAGAGTCTCACTGTATTGCCCAGGCTGCTCTCGAACTCCTGGGCTCATATGATCTTCTGGCCTCAGCTTCCCAATCTGCTGGAATTACAGGCATAAGCCACCATGCCAAGCCAACTTTATCATTTATTTTGCAGATTACACAAAATGCCCAGCGGTGGGGAAGAGTAGGAGGTAGAATATAGCTTCGTTGCCAAGCTGTGCCTCCTAAAAGAGAAATGTAACCCTCCAAGGACAGGGTGTCTTTTCTTCACATACTGGTATCTGCTGCACAGCTCTCCTCCCTGCAAAGCTTTTTCTAAAAGGAACCGCCTTTTTCTAAATTTCACCAAAGTGAGAGACGGGCTAGCAATGGCCCTACTCCTAAGGCCATGCATCATACAGAGCAATAAGGACACAAAGATGAAAATGGCGTGGCTCTTGCCCTTAAGAAAATCTAAGTGGAGGCACTTAAGTAAAATAAGTCATCACAAATATGAAAAAAAAATGGTACATAAAAATCATAATAGACACTAAAGAGGAGAAACACCTGGTTAAAAGTAGTATTAACATTATACACAAGGAAATGTTCAGAAGGAAAGATAAGAACAAAAAGACAAAGGAGAAGGAGAAGAATCATGACCATTTGTTAAATACCTCTTCTCTGCCAGGATTGTTTTTATCAAACATGGGAACCAAGGCTCAGAAAAGCTGAATGTAGAGACTGAAGAAAGAGTGAAGATTCTAGGTCAGGTCCTTTTAGTTGCAGAGCCCTTACACTTTCTAAACACTCTTTCCCACCATTCATTCTATAGACATTTATCAGGTCTGCACCAGACCGTGCCAGGCAGGGTGCTGGGCACAGGAGAAAAAGGTTTCACTGGAGGGCTCTGGCTGAGAGCATAAACTGAGAGTAGAATGCCTGAATTTGAATCTTCACTCTGCCTCCCCTTCTTGCCACGGTTTCCTCCTCTGTAAAATGGAGATAATTTTGTAAGGGTTAAATGAGATAACGCATGTAAAGTACTTAGAACAGTGTCTGGCACCCGGAGGCTCATGAGTACTATTCAAGCTGGAGTACTATGTAAGTGTCAGATATGATTATTACTTTTTAAGGCTAGCCAAGATGTTATTATTAATGGTACTGGTAGTAGTAGTATCATCTCCTCATGGTTTATAAACACAAGTGTCTAATACATAGAAGGGAACAAAGCCTTATGATCCATACAAAGCCCTGGAGGTATGGAAGGGTTTAGATGAAAATGTCACAGCTATGTCTACACATCTTTGCAGTTAGAATACCTGTCATGCACACAACCCTATAATGCAAAAAGAACTGATATTATGTTATCCCCACTTGAAAGGCAAGGAAACTGAGGGTTAGAAAGGCTCAGTGACTTGTCCAAAGTAAGACAGCTAAGTGGTGGCAGACAGCCGGGCTCCATTTATTTACTGTACTCCAATACTTAAAAAACCTTTTACTTTGAAATTATTTCAAACTTAGAGAACAATCCAGACAACGCCAGAGTAATCCAGACAACTCCTATATATCCTTTATCTACCCAGACTTGTGAATTTCAACATTTCAGCACAGCTGTATCATTCTGTGTGTGTATTTATTTTTTCTGAACTACAGATGAATAAGTTGCATATACCATATCCCTTTGCCCCTTAATATTTCAGTATGTATTTTTAAATATATGTGTATAATATTTATATATATCTAATCCAGAGGCCATATCCCAGTTTTTTCAATTGTTTCAATAATGTACTTCAGAGCATTTGTTTTTTCTACCCTCCAGCACAAAACCCAGTCCAGGGTTACCCATTGCATTTAGTGACCATGTCTCTTTAGTCTCCTTTAACTTAGAACAGTTCCTCAGCCTTTGCTTTTCATGACATTGGCCTATGACAAATACAGGACAGTTATTATGTGGAATGTTCTTCACTCAGTTTGCTTGATATTTCCTCCTGATTAAATTCGGGTTACGCAGTGTTGGTCAGAATACTACACAAATGATGCTGTGCCCTTCCCAGTGCATCACGTACCTGCATCTGGACACCTGGATGCCTTGTGATGTCCATCTGCTTCTCATTCATGATATTAACCTGATCATCTGGCTGAGATGTTGTCCATTTTTTCCACTGTATAGTTACCATTTGCCCAGTCTTAGCCAATAAGCAATATGTGGGGAGATACTTTAAACCCATACAAATATCCTGTTCCTTATCAACCCCTCTCTCTCTAGATTTAACATCCATTGATGATTTTTGCCCAACAATTCTAGGGTTGCAAAATGATGACTTTACAAATTCACTACTTCCTCCACATATATCACATGTCACATATGTCAGTTGGCATTACACTGTTAAGGAAGAGCCCTTTCCTTTCCTTCACATTATCTATCTATCTATCTATCTATCTATCTATCTATCTATCTATCTGTCTGTCTATCTATCTGTCTATCTATCTATCTACGTACTTACCTACCTGTCACCGAATAGACTTGTGGCTTCATATTTTATTCAATGCCTTATAATCCATTGCTGTCCTTATCTATTCCATCACTCAAAGTGTCCCAGATTTGGCCAGCAGAAGACCTTCAAGCTGGTTTCTCTCTGTCTTCTTGACATCACTGATCATGTTTGTATACTTTCTGGTACAACAAAGTGCTCCAGGCTTAATTTGTACCTTCCCTGCCCAAACCATGGAATTAGCCTTTTTACTTGAGGACCCCTGGTTCTTTAGAGTGGTCTGACACTCTTAACACTTCTCGGTCTGGCATGTAGCTGTTGCTCAAATGACTGAATGAATAAAAACCTGCCTTCCCTGTGTGGCTCATGAGTCACTACAGAGCCAGAAAATCATCATCCAACTCTTCCTAAAAGATGGATGGATCACAACAGTGCACTTTCAGACACTCCTGTATACAGGATACTCAGGTCCAACTCCTAACTTCCTCCCTTCCCACTCATGTTTCTTCCTTCACAAGAAAATGAGTGTAGAAACCCGTTGAATGAATTATCCTTGGTAACTGAGAAAGTACTTGGGGAAGTCAATCTCTCTAAACTTCAGGGATCCTTGTAGCAGGCTTGTCTGTGGTGACAGGTTTAGGAAAGAAAGCTGAATGCATTAACTCAAAACGTGCAGGAAAGAGAAGGAGAAATGGAGCCAACATTAAGTACTAGATCCTCCAAGGACATTCTTTCTAATCTTTGTAACACCCCTCCATGGTAGGTGTTTTCATCCCTAATTTTGCATGTTTCAGAGAGGTATAATGTTCCCTATTCGAGGTAACACAGCTGGCGAACTGTAAAATCAGAATCCAAATCCAAAGCACATACTTTGAAATATACTGTAGAAGCCCATTTGTATTTCGTTTAACTTACATTGTTTTTTGTGAATAACATTGTTTTTGATATGCCTGGAAATTTTTTCATTAAAATAGAATGTAGAATGTGTTCTCCAAAAGTATTTATTTAAGTTTTGTTTCTCTAGATTTCAGGAAAATAAGCAAAATTTTTACTTCTTAGGGGCTATATACCTGGCATACCACCCTCTCGAAAAAATAGTCCATACTCCTGTATTCCTTAACTTTGCTGCACATTAGGATCACCTAGGACCCTCAAAATATGCTCTCGTCCCCAAATATCTGATTTCATTGGCTTAAAGCTGACCTGGGCATGGGGATTTTTAAAAGATGCCTACACAATTCTAATGTGCAGCAAAGGTTGGAAACCACTGCCAGCCACAATGAAAAGAATCTGGGAAAGACAACTGCTTCTCAATTGGTTCAGAAACTTAAGGAGTGATTTGGGCATTCTGGAAATCAACCTGATCCTTCTTCCTTCAGACAATGACCCAGGGTATTATATGAAATGAATTTAAAGCAGAAATTTGCTCCTTAGTAAAATTCCAATTTTTATTTTTATTCATTTATTTATTGAGACAGGGTCTCCCTCCGTCACCCAAGCTGCAGTGCGGTGGCACAATCACTGCTCACTTCAGCCTCCACCTCCTGGGCCCCAGCAATCCTCTCACCTCAGCCTCCCAAGTAGCTGGGACTACAGGCATGTGCCACCACACCTATTTGTTTTATTTTGTTTTGTTGTAGAGACAGGGTCTCCCTATGTTGTTCAGGGTGGTGTTGACCTCCCAGGCTGAAGTGATCCTTCTGCCTTGGCCTCCCAAAGTGCTAGGTTTATGGGCACAAGCCACTGCACCCAGGCTAAATTCCAAATTTTAAAAATTAAAACAAAAAAATTACAAGGACAAACAAAAATTTGAAACCTACCTTAGTGAAAGATGTGATTAATATCATGGGCTTCACGGAGATTTCATTGAACAGCAATCCGATCAGTATTTGTGAAGCAACTCCCCCTGCAAGGCACTGGGAATACAGTGGGGAGCAAGTGGGCACACTCAGGCCTCAAGGGACCTTGAGTAAAAAGGTAATGGCCATAAATGGTGCTCAGTGTGGGGAAAGTCACTAAGGGGAGGTGCAGGGGGCTCTGGAGCACCAAGCCAGATACAGTCATCCTTCAGTATCATGGGAGATTAGTTCCAGGATCCCCTCAGATACCAAAATCTATGGATGCTCAAGACCGTGATATAAAATGGCTTAGTATTTGCATATAACCTATGCATATCCTCCTGTATACTTTAAATCATCTCCAGATTACTTATAATACCTAATAAAATGTAAGTGCTGTGTAAATAGATTCTATACTCTATTGTCTAGGGAATAATGAGAAGAAAAAATTCTGCTCATATAAAGCACAGACACATTTTTTTTCTGATATTTTCCATTTGACTTTGGTTGAATCCATGGATCCAGAACCCACGGATATGGGAGGCCAACTCTATATTCTCTGGGGGATATCAAAGAAGGCTTCCCTGAGGATGTAAAATCTCAGCTGAGACTGGAAACAGAAGAGGGAGCCAGGATTTGGAAGGAGGGCTAGGGAGAATCTGGTGGTGTTTAGGCAGAAGAGCACTGTAGTAGACCAACTGTGAACCTTCTGAATGTGTGATCAAGTCTAAATGCCTGTCTACACGGGCTCTACAGCAACAGGAAATATATTAACACTGGAACAAGTAACTAATCAACATCTACAGACTCAGTAGTTTCCTCCTTTGCAATCCATGTCACATGAACACTAAAAACACACTAATGAAATATTAACTTCCTCTATGACATATTTCTTCTTGCCTCTAGGTTCAGAAAACTCTCATTTCCCAAAACCACCTGCACCTTCAGGCTCTGATTTACAACTGTACTGCCAATGTGGCTCCTTCCTTTCTCTATTCAACGTTAGGACCACTCACTTCTCTGAGCCAGCCATGCCCAAGATGGCTATCCAGAGCAGCTTGCACTAGAAGATGAGATGTGGTCACCACACATGTATAAATGATTCAGCCATATAATTAAAAAAAAAAACAACTTCAATGACATCTGCAGAAGTTAGAAGGATGTCTGCGCTCTAAAGTGGGCAATAGAGATTATGCAATGAACTCACTGCAGAATGTAGAAGGGTCCATCTTGCAGTGTTGGTACCTGAAAGGGCATTCCTAGAGTGGAAGAAGAGCAAGTCCACAAACCTGCTGAAGTTCAGATCTCAATTCAGAACAGGGAGTGGCAATGGGTCTGGGATGGCAGTAAAAGGACGGCCCAGGGCCACTGAACATTCCATCCAGAAGCACTGCCGGCTCACTGAGAAGTGCAAAGCATTGTGCTAAACCTCAGTCACTAAGAGATAGAAAGATGAATGAGACATGACCCCTGGCCTGGAGGAGCTTATAGTCAAGTGAAGGAAGCCGAAAATTAATAACATCTTGGCCCAATTCCTTGGCCAATTATCAGACATCTCCTAATTGATATGTTTCTCAACCATATCATTGGCTTCTAGCTCTAAAAACTATCAAAGCTCCAGACAGGAAACACACTGGACACATAATAAAAACTGGGCTATTGATGAGATAAAGTTGTCTACTGGCTGATTGCCTCATTGAGTCAACAAATGGCCCTGTGTTTGGTAATGGCAATATGAAGAGGCCTAAATCAGAGACGGCCCCTGCCCTCAGGGAATTTATATTCACCACTGTACATTTGCTCAGTACTTTGCAAATGTTCAGAGGACTCTTATACATAGAACTTCATTTGTTCCTGATAGCAACTTTACAAGGAGCTAAGGAAAGTGCTCAGAAGGGTAACATCACCTGCCCCAGATCTCTAGCTAAAAATGGCATCGGCAGGATGTGTTATTCCAAGGCCAGTTCCCAGATCACTACATTGTGTGGTGTGTGACTTGAATGTAGACAAGGAAGGAAAGAAGGAAGAAGAAATATAATGGTGTCAAGTTAAATTTCTTTCTCTCCAATTAACTTCAACTTTCCCATAACATGCGTTAAAAAATAATTCTTAACTTAGTCATATATTCCTTAAATGCTGGAAGGTTAGCATTCCAGCAAAACCTTCAAGCATTTAAGGTAAGGGTGTTTTAGAAAACAGTCATTATTCCCCCCAAAGCATGCATTTTTTATGAAATACCACAATGACTGTTCTGTGGGAGAAGAGGAGAGACTTCAGAAAGCAGCTGAATCTAAGGTCTCCACCTTTTCACTTTAGAGCACCCCTTGCTTAGCTTTGATAAACCAAGGCAGAAAACGAATAGATTGCAAGTGCTCCGTGATAATGTGTTTGGAACCAATAGATCTTCTTCACTTATTTCTGGACAATAAGAGGTCAGCTGGAAAGCACCAATAGTAGAGTTCTTCATAGCAACTCATGACATAAAAGACAACTAATGGTAAGGCTGAAGGCATTAATCCTTTCTCCATAACGGTCTTTCAATCAGCAGGTAATGCCACTGGGATGCCAGTGTGTACTTAAATGGACTTTCCCATTTTATTCCTGGTTAATCTCCCTTTCACCCTCTCAGAAATGCCAGCAACATCCAACTTGGGATTTTTACCAAAGCTTTCATAATTTGAAGGACTTTTTTTTCTCCTTTACATTTGAAACCACAGCTACCTCATAAATAACTCCTTTTATCACAAGTGTGGATGTTCCTGTAATGCTACCTGCAATATGTCAAACGTTTCAAAAGTTATCTAATGTGCTAGACAGAAACTGCTTTTGACCTCTGGGTTAACCAAAGTTAACCAACAAATGTGACTGCTTTAAAGGCTCCTTCCTGCTCCAGCTGCTGTTTCAAGCTATAAATTACTGCCACTCAGGGCAGTGACAAGACAGGGTAGCAGGACTTTTTCTGACACTGTACAGTTTGTGATTAAATATAGTCTTGGTTTCCTTTCTCAGTAATCAAGTATGTGGACATTATATATAATCCTAAGAGGCCTTCTTGGTAAACTACCCACAGAATTTAAAAACCATGTGGTAAATGATTAGAGGGAGGTTGTGTTTTAATAACTTTTTGGGGTTTCCGTTAGAGAAATTTGATTTTACTTAGTTCAGCACACCTAGGCCTGATCTGTGCCACCCTCTACAATTAACCTGACCATTTCACTCTGTCTCTGACTTCCCATTAGCTGTACCTTGGCACAGGCTGTGCCCTCTGCTGGTAAACAGGACCTGGTCCTCAGCAGTTGCAGAACTGCATCTTAGCTCATCTGATGCTGACCAATGATCTCCTGGGCTTGCAGAACTAAGCTATAAGCATAAAGTTCATACAGCTCCCTCCATTCTGTTTTCCTAACCAAAGGCTGAAAATTAACTCTTGCTGTCCAGGAGCAGGGACATTAGTTTTTGTTTCTTTGGTGGTGGTGTTGGCAGGGGAGGGAGGTTGGGCAATGAATTACTGAACCATATTTTACACTGCAACAAAAAACCAACAGGCTACTTTTCAACATTTGGTTTACAATCATTCTCCCCTCTACCCAAAAAAAAAAAAAAAAAATTCTCCCAAATCAAACAGAGCTGGAGATGGATGGCAGATTGCTAAATTCTTGCAGAGTCAAAATGTAAAAGAAGCATGATAAATTGTTACTTGGCTCCCTCATCCTTCCTTTGAAAAAATAATTTACAATGTGGGATGGGTTAACTCCCCTTCACATCATCTAAATCCTCAGAAAATCTATGGCAGGCTCAGTCTGAAAGGCCAATTTGACCCCACAGACCTGTCTCTTACAGGATCTTCTCAGGCCCAGACATTAGACGTAAGCTGTCTGTCCCTCAAGACCCTGATATCTCAAAAGCCAAAATTGTAAAATATACTTTTTTAAAAAAAGGAAACCCTGACAAAGCCAACCCAAATGTTTTCTTTCTGTTAAATTTAAATAAGTGTTAAATTAGATTCCGCCTTGCAGTCCTTGCAAGTCCAAGTCACGGGGTAAGAATTTGGTAAACAGTTTTATCTGTCAAAACCATCCCACAGGATCCATTTAGGAAATAAATGAAGTTGAGGGTAAAATGTGGCCTTTGTGTCAATGATAGCACCTAATATTTGTTATATGCTTACTACAGGAGCCAGGTACTATGCTGAAGATTGTATGGGTCTGATACCATTTTGATCCACACAGCAAGTCCATGAGGTTGGTGTCACCAGCATCATGCCCATCTAACAGATGAGCAAACTGAGCCTTAATGAGTGTAAGTCTCTTGTCCAAAGTCACACAGAGGGTGACTGGTATGGCTCGGTTCAAACCAGGGGGGTCTAGCTCAGAGCCAGGCCCTTACTGGGAAGCTCAAGGCCTCTTGCTCCATACCGGCCACCCAGGTCCATACCAGTGGAGTTCACCTACAGGATCTTGACCTCGTTCTTATCATCAAATCCCTTATGTTCACCATAGGGGATTTACCATGAGGGATGTTTATCACTGCTTTATTGCTCTCCCTGACATACCTCCTCACCACCACCAACAACCCAAACTGAATCCTGCACCTGCAAAGCAGCAGCTAGCTGGAGGCCAAATCTGAGACAGAGCCCAGCTCCCAAGCCTTGGTGCTCCCATCAGCCCTCACCCTGCTTCTCTGTACTTCCTTATTCACTGTGGCTCATTGTGCAGAAGCTGTACTGACCCCACATCCAGACACGAAGGTGCGGAACTTGCTCTGGGTCTTGTATGTTCAGTCCAGGCAGAGGGCATGTCTCACCTGGGATGTGTATGTTCAACACTGCATGACATTTGCTGGTGGGAACACAGGCTTTATAGTCACAGCTCTGCCTACAGATCCCAACTTCACCAATTAGCTGGGTGACCTTGGTTTTCTCATTGAACCTCTCAAGGCCCTAATTTCTTCATTTAAATTACAGGCATAGTAAAGATTTTCAGAATTGTTGCAATTAGATAAAACGTACAAAGCAGTTGGTGTTCAATAAATGTTAGTATCTCTGCCCAAGAAATGGCAAGATCTTAATGGTCTCTTAACCCTTCTGCGATGGAGTTAGAAAACTTACGAAAGAGAGCAAAGCAACCATGCTTATTCATTCAGCAAATACTTATTGAGCACCTATTATATGCCAGACATTTGATTGAGGGTTTCATACTCCTACTGGGCTATTTAAGCCCACTTCTGGGGATGTAAAGGGACACTGATTAAGCTCCTGCCTAGTACCATGCAAGTAACATGGAGAATCTCAATGACTGTCACAACCATCTGAGGCCAGAATTATTAACCCTGTTTTACATATAAGGAAATGAAACGCACTGTGAAAGGTCCAGAAGCTTGGCCAAGGTCCCACAGCTATAAGATGCAGCAGGCACCACTACTATGCTGCCCTGTCTCTCAAGTTCCATCAGATGCCAGATGGATAATCCTTTCTCAGGACTCTTGGTCATTTTCCATTTGATCCCTCCACAGTGTTTAATTTAGGGAAAATTAAAAAGAGGGTCAGTTCTTATAATTTTCAACACAAGTCAATTAAGGCTGGCAAGATCCCTGGGCTCAATCTCAGGCCTTGCAACTGGGAAGGGAAGAGGCATCTTTCAGGACTCTTGGCAATTATTACAGAGATAAAGGGCTGTCAGACAGGTGGGCAAAGAAGGCTCAGAACTGTCACCACCCACTCTACCAGCTCTGGCCCTACACCTGCCATTCTACCACCCAGTTCCAGTCTTCAAGCTCCAGGTAAAAATCAGTGGAATGAATACCAAGCAAGCTGGGAGAATACCCATACACTGCCTCTCCTCTACAGCAAGAGCAACAGGATCAGCTGGATGCAGGTTCAAATCCTGCCTCTGTCACTTACTGGCTAAAGGAGTCACCTACCTCCTCTGGGACTGTTTTCCCTTCTATAAAGCAGGGAAAATAATGATAGATCATGATAACATCACTTGAGGACATCTGAGAATCAGGTAAGGTAATGTGTGTAAACTGCAGTTCCTTCTAAATGGGAAGAACCATCAGGGGCATCATTCTTCCTTGGCTTTGGGGGCAGTAGAAATGCTACCGACCAAGCCAGGATGGTAGAGAATTTACATGATGATGACTCTCATTGGTAGGCCTCACTTCTCATACAGCACCCAACAGCCTTTTTCTAGTTCAGAAGATGGGCTGAAGGAAGGGAGGCCGGGCTATTCTTGCCGAGACCTGAGTGCTGCCTTTTTTCCTCATTTTCCACCCAAGCAGAGGTCCCCTCTTTCTGCACACAATGGGACTCCATCAACCCACTTCCTCTCCATTCCCACTCAGCTGGGGCCCCCATAGGCCAGCCAAGAATCCTATCTATCACCCCTGCACCTTTTCCACCTCTTCCTCCCATGCCAGGCAACCTCCCCTTCACTCATTCTCCTCAGGTCTATTGAGCATCTTGCTACAGGCCAGTAACTGAGGTTAATAATACTGGCTTTATGTATTCGATGGCTCAGTGCCAGCCCCTGAGCTAGGTACTTTATAAATATTATCTAATTTAATCCTCACTGCAAGCATGTAAGGTAGGCATTATTATGAGTACATAATATGAGTATAGCAGTTTCCCCTCATCCAAAGGGGGTACGTTCCTAGACCCCAGTGGATGCCTGAAATCATGTATAGTACAGAACCCTATATATACAATTTTCCCCTATACACACATACCTGTGATAAAGTATCATTTATAAATTAGGAACAGTAAGAGATTAACAATAATAACTAATAATAAAACAGAACATAGTAATATGCCAGCATCACTACTCTTGCACTTTGAGGCCATTATTAAATAAAATAAGAGTTACTCAAACACAAGCACTGTGATACCAAGATGAGTATACACTGTGAGGATCTATCTGATAACCCAGATGGCTATGAAGTGACTAATAGGCTCTAGAAATTGTAGACAGCTTAGATACGCAGGACAAAGGAAGGATGCAGGTCCCAGGCAGAACTAAGCAGGAAGGCGTGAGATTTCACCATACTACTTGGGACAGCATGTAATTTTAAACCTAGAAGTTGTTTATTTCTGGAATCTTCCATTTAATATTTTTGGACCACAGTTGACTGAGGGTAACTGAAACCCTGGAAAGCAAAACCTTGGATAAAGGAAGACTACTGTACTCGAGGTTCTGAGATGTGGTCACTGGCCCACTGCCACAGAGAAGCTGGGATTCGAACCCATTTTGTCTGACCTCAGAGCTACGTACACCTCTTTCCACTGTTCTACACAACCTCTAAGCACTTCTGCTTATATTGTCTGTGATTTACTTTATTTTACTTTATGTTTTGAGACAGAGTCTCACTCTGTCACCCAGGTTGGAGTATGGTAGCGCCATCTCGGCTCACTGCAACCTCCGCCTCCCAGGTTCAAGTGATTCTCGTGCCTCAGCCTCCAGAGTAGCTGGGATTACAGGCACCCACCACCATGCCCAGCTAATTTTTGTCTTTTTAGTGGAGATGGGGTTTTGCTATGCTGACCAGACTGGTCTCAAACTCCTGACCTCAACTGATCCGCCTTTCTTGGCCTCCCCAGGTGTTGGGATCACAGGCGTAAGCTGAGCCACTGCATCCGGCCTTCTGTGATTTACTTTAAAGCTCTTGAGTACTGATATTGAGATGAACATGTGTGTTTCTAAGTTAAATTTAATCTAACTCTGAGGATGGATAGTTAACATTTGTGTAGCCTAAATAGGGACCTACATCCCTGCCATAGTTATTAACATTTCAAGTACACTAATTAGGAATTCACACATGTGAATAGAAGTTGGTAAGAATATAAAGGAGGAAACTGTAACCACTTCACATATTGCTATCTAAATCTGCATTTGAGGAGTCATTAATGAGGATCAGTTAATATGGGGCATTAGAAATAATTTTTCATTCATAAAATGAGCGATGGTCAGGAAATATGATTGGCTTACAACATCATATGGGCATCTCCACTCTAGCATGAACAAGAGGAGTCGTACCTAGGTCCAAACTTCTGTAAGGTCTTGTGTGTCCCACCCAGTAAGTCTACCACCTGATGCAGCTGGAAGACTGGCCAACCCTGATATCAGAATATTATGCTTGTCTTATCCTGAATTTTTTATGCAAGGATGGTTCATGGGGCTCAAGGACAGAAAGAAGGAATTACTTGGAGCCTAAAGAAAAGAGATTTACGATGATTTTTATGCTTGCTGGCTAATAAATGCTTGTACTTGTGAATAATTTAGCCTATGACTTGCTTTCATTGTAACTTGGGTTGCTGGGGAGGAAATGTGGTTCCCAAACCCACCAGAAAGAACCTGACCACTGTTGAACAGATAATGACTTTAGTCAGTTCACAGCAGAGTCCAATAAGCCGGAATCCCTGCCTTTAAAGTAAGAGAGAGGAGAACCCATTAAACAATGAAAACACATGGACTCAGGGAAGGGAACATCACACACTGGGGCCTGTCAGCGGGTGGGGGGCTAGAGGAGGGATAGCATTAGGAGAAATATCTAATGTAGATGACGGGTTCATGGGTGCAGCAAACAACCATGGCATGTGTATACTTATGTAACAAACCTGCACGTTCTGCACATGTATCCCAGAACTTAAATAATAATAATAATAAAAAAAAGTCCTAACACTCTGTCTACAGACTCACAGTGAGAGGCAGATTAATCTAGTTGTTAAGAGACCAGGTTCTGGGCCAGATTGCTGGATCTGAATTCTAGCATGAGTTACCCAAAACCTCCTTGTGCCTCTAGTCTCTTCATTTATAATCTGTTAATTATACTTCCTCCTAAGGCAGGATGATCACATGAGCTACTGAAGGAAAAAGCATACTGAACAAAAGAAAGCCTTTAGTAAATGTTAGTTATCATTACAGCAGAGAAGGAATAAGAACTGCTTTTCAAGAGGTACTCAGTGTTAGCTATTATTATTTACCATTTACATTTATTTACCATTTTGACCAATAAGCATACACTGCATCCCCAAGTACTAGAAGCTATGGAGATAAATAAGAACTATATAACATCCCTCTAGGCTGCTTTTCCATGGTCTCTGCCCTCAAGGGGCTCCTAATCTAATATGTGAGTCAGAGAAGCAGACAATCACATCTCCAATAAGGTAAAAGGCAAAGTTTTATGAAAGCAACCGAGAGAGAGAGAGAGAGAACTGAAACTCTGCTAGGAGAACTCTGGGAAAGCTTCCTAGGGGAGGTGATATTTGAGATGGGATTTAAAGAATAAATGGGATTTGGCCAGGGTAAACATGCTCACACATACGTGTCTATTTCCCAGCTTGCTTGTAACATTGCAAAATTCCCCAAGGTCAGGAATCATGACTTATCACACCAGCAATCCCAGTCCTCTACAGGATAGATGTCCAATATTCAGTGCTTACTGATGGGCAAAGGAAGCAAACATTATATTAAACAAGAAAAGGGAAGAAAGAGAAAACACACAGCAAAGCGGATTGTGGAGTCTGGAAAGGGTGGAAGCCCCATATCCCTGAGGCAGGAAGTGTCAATCTGCCTATTTGTGTGTTTGCTAGTATAAACTGTAACGGCTCTTTAAATACTAATCCTTTTCATCTGGGATGCCCCAGCTGGGTTAAATTTCCAAACCTCTCCCTCTGACTTTTATGAGCTTCGGCCTGTAACAGGGCCTGACAGAGGGCACACTGTGTCCTTTCATTGTTAGGATAAGGTAAAGAGCAGTCCGCAGCACAGCCCAGATCTTGGCCTCTCTAGAGGGTTATCCCAAGGACTCACTGAGCACTAAGTGCCAGGCACTGTTCTAAGAGCTTTATTTGTATTAACCCATTTATTCCTTGAAACAATTCTAGTAGGTAGATGCCATTAACATCCTTATTTTACAGATGAGAACAGGGAAGCTAGTCTTGTGATGACAAAGTCCCACAGCTAGTAATGGCAGAATTAGGATTCAAACACCACAGCCATGACCTAGGAGAGACTGAGAGCAGGTTTTTCAGGATGCAAGCCTATATAAGCTAAGTCTTATCACCACATTAGTGAAAGGTGTGCTATGTTTATAATTTGAGAATTTTGTGGGATACTGGGCATATCTGCTCCTCTTACCCTAATAACCATATTAGCGTCTTGCGTCTGCATAGGAGGCACTTCTGCCACGCCTGCTGTAAAATGACTAAGTTGCTAATAAAAGTAATGCTTCTCACTGTGACTGGTGCCAACCCCAGTCTCTGAGTGCCAATGGCCTCTTGGCTTTTCCCACCAACTTTTCTGGATGGCTCTAAGCAGACAAACCACCCAGACTGCTGCAAATGTTACTTGGAGAAGAGCACATGCCAGGAGCAACAAGAAAAGGGCCCACCCTCATTGCAGTTGGAGCTTTCCTAAGTAAATCCGTCCTCCAAAATAAGTTAATTACTCCTACCCAGGATTCTTATGGAGCTTGCGATTGCCAAGTGCTTCAAGATCAATTTCATGAGCATTTCCCCGACTCCCTGTATAAGATGGAATTGGCCATTTGACAAACGGTTTTGGTGACTTCCATGAGGACAAGGATGCAGGTACTCAGAGCAGCCTCACGGTTCAAAACCACGCAGTTGCCAGCATGCCAAATCATTAGGCTGGCTGGCAAAAAAAAAAAAAAAAAGGGAACCCCTTACATTTTGGTTTCTCACTTGTCAGTGGATCGCAAAGGACTATGGATAGTGAGATATTTTGTTAGGATTGAAAAGAGCATCAACCAAATTTTAACTCCTAAAAATCCAGAACAGGCCTAGTCGTTGAGGAAACAAAAGAAGCAAGATGGAATGTCCTGAAACTTAAATTCCTCATGATTGCAATGGAGTGGGTACACCTCTAGTTGTCTGAAAAGGGATGGGGCTTTGAGTCATGGATACATGGGCCTAACCCACCAATTACTAGTGGTGTGAATATGAACAATTCACCTTATTTCCATGAGCCACAGGTTCCTCGTCTAAAATGAGGATATCAACATCCCCCCAGGACTGCTGCTAGTTCAGAGAGGCTACTCTATTTTTTTTTTTTTTTTAAGAAAAAGAGGGAATCCTCTCTAACTCATTTTATGAGGCCAGCATCATTCTGATACCAAAGCCAGGCAGAGACACAACAAAAAAAGAGAATTTTAGACCAATATCCTTGATGAACATTGATGCAAAAATCCTCAATAAAATACTGGCAAAACAAATCCAGCAGCACATCAAAAAGCTTATCCACCATGATCAAGTGGGCTTCATCCCTGGGATGCAAGGCTGGTTCAATATACGCAAATCAATAAATGTAATCCAGCATATAAACAGAGCCAAAGACAAAAACCACATGATTATCTCAATAGATGCAGAAAAAGCCTTTGACAAAATTCAACAACCCTTCATGCTAAAAACTCTCAATAAATTAGGTATTGATGGGACGTATTTCAAAATAATAAGAGCTATCTATGACAAAACCACAGCCAATATCATACTGAATGGACAAAAACTGGAAGCATTCCCTTTGAAAACTGGCACAAGACAGGGATGCCCTCTCTCACCACTCCTATTCAACATAGTGTTGGAAGTTCTGGCCAGGGCAATCAGGCAGGAGAAGGAAATAAAGGGTATTCAATTAGGAAAAGAGGAAGTCAAATTGTCCCTGTTTGCAGACGACATGATTGTATATCTAGAAAACCCCATTGTCTCAGCCCAAAATCTCCTTAAGCTGATAAGCAACTTCAGCAAAGTCTCAGGATACAAAATCAATGTACAAAAATCACAAGCATTCTTATACATCAACAACAGACAAACAGAGAGCCAAATCATGACTGAACTCCCATTCACAATTGCTTCAAAGAGAATAAAATACCTAGGAATCCAACTTACAAGGGATGTGAAGGACCTCTTCAAGGAGAACTACAAACCACTGCTCAAGGAAATAAAAGAGGATACAAACAAATGGAAGAACATTCCATGCTCATGGGTAGGAAGAATCAATATCATGAAAATGGCCATACTGCCCAAGGTAATTTACAGATTCAATGCCATCCCCATCAAGCTACCAATGCCTTTCTTCACAGAATTGGAAAAAACTACTTTAAAGTTCATATGGAACCAAAAAAGAGCCCGCATCGCCAAGTCAATCCTAAGCTGAAAGAACAAAGCTGGAGGCATCACACTACCTGACTTCAAACTATACTACAAGGCTACAGTAACAGCATGGTACTGGTACCAAAACAGAGATATAGATCAATGGAACAGAACAGAGCCCTCAGAAATAACGCCACATATCTACAACTATCTGATCTTTGACAAACCTGAGAAAAACAAGCAATGGGGAAAGGATTCCCTATTTAATAAATGGTGCTGGGAAAACTGGCTAGCCATATGTAGAAAGCTGAAACTGGATCCCTTCCTTACACCTTATACAAAAATCAATTCAAGATGGATTAAAGACTTAAACGTTAGACCTAAAACCATAAAAACCCTAGAAGAAAACCTAGGCATTACCATTCAGGACTTAGGCATGGACAAGGACTTCATGTCTAAAACACCAAAAGCAATGGCAACAAAAGACAAAATTGACAAATGGGATCTAATTAAACTAAAGAGCTTCTGCACAGCAAAAGAAACTGCCATCAGAGTGAACAGGCAACCTACAGAATGGGAGAAAATTTTCGCAACCTACTCATCTGACAAAGGGCTAATATCCAGAATCTACAATGAACTCAAACAAATTTACAAGAAAAAAACAAACAACCCCATCAAAAAGTGGGCGATGGACATGAACAGACACTTCTCAAAAGAAGACATTTATGCAGCCAAAAAACACATGAAAAAATGCTCATCATCACTGGCCATCAGAGAAATGCAAATCAAAACCACAATGAGATACCATCTCACACCAGTTAGAATGGCAATCATTAAAAAGTCAGGAAACAACAGGTGCTGGAGAGGATGTGGAGAAATAGGAAAACTTTTACACTGTTGGTGGGACTGTAAACTAGTTCAACCATTGTGGAAGTCAGTGTGGCGATTCCTCAGGGATCTAGAACTGGAAATACCATTTGGCCCAGCCATCCCATTACTGGGTATATACCCAAAGGACTATAAATCATGCTGCTATAAAGACACATGCACACGTATGTTTATTGCGGCATTATTCACGATAGCAAAAACTTGGAACCAACCCAAATGTCCAACAATGATAGACTGGATTAAGAAAATGTGGCACATATACACCATGGAATACTATGCAGCCATAAAAAATGATGAGTTCATGTCCTTTGTAGGGACATGGATGAAATTGGAAATCATCATTCTCAGTAAACTATCGCAAGAACAAAAAACCAGACACCGCATATTCTCACTCATAGGTGAGAATTGAACAATGAGATCACATGGACACAGGAAGGGGAATATCACACTCTGGGGACTGTTGTGGGGTGGGGGGAAGGGGGAGGGATAGCATTGGGAGATATACCTAATGCTAGATGATGAGTTAGTGGGTGCAGCGCACCAGCATGGCACATGTATACATATGTAACTAACCTGCACAATGTGCACATGTACCCTAAAACTTAAAGTATAATAATAAAAAAATAAAAAATAAAAAATAAAGAAAGAAAAAGGTGTCATCTGGGTGGAGGAAGTTTTTTCTTAAAAAAAAAAAAAAAAAAAAAAAAGCATCCCCTTTGCTGGTCCAATCCGCAAAACCTTCCACCGTTCTCAAGGGCTGATGAGAAAATGTGGACAGGGTCAGGCATTCTCCAGATTTAGATTAGATGTCACTCCTTTAGAGATGACTCCCTGATCCTCCAGAAGAGGGCCTCCTACAAAATGCTCCCAGGCCCTCCTGTGCTGCTCTCTTGTTAAATACTTGTTTCAATGGAAAATTCTTGCACTCAGTGCCAGTCTTCACTGTCAAACTTTAAGCTCGGTAAAGGCAGAGCCAGGTCTTTCATGGTTAGTTGCTATGAGCCCAGAGTTCAGCACATAGAGCAGCACACAGTGAGCTCTTTTCAAATAACTGAACGAGTGAATGAAAGTATCGGGAGGCAGTAGGCTGTATGAGATGGTCTCTCACCATACCGCAATGCTCTGAAGACGAGTGATTCTTCCACCCACCCCTTCCCATCAGGCCTGTCCATGGCCACTGGATCCCAAACCTCGGCTTGAATATAGACATTGAAAGACTTCCCTCTTATTTTTAAAAATTCATTTCTACTTATTTTTAATATATAATAAAAAATGTATTCATTCAATCAATCAATATTTGCTGAGTGCCTCTTATACAGCAGACACTGGTTAGAACTAGTGCTGTAACCCTGGCCAGAGTTACCTTCTAGTGGGTGGAGATAAACTGTCAACAAATACATGAGAAAACTTCAAGTAGTGCTGAGTACATGAAGAAAATTAAAACACTGTAATGTGTTAGAAAGTCACTGGGGGAGAGAATGTGGTGAGTTTCTACGGAGAGGTCAGGTGGTTCTCTAAATGAAAACCTAAACCCATGCTATCTGCATCTGGAATAACCTGCACAAAGTGAACTGTTAACCAGATACCAGAGGTTGCTAGCTTTATAGTCTTATGAAATGGAAGAACCCCGTGTTTAGAGCTACAAAATTTCCAGCTATGCAAAGATCTTGGAGAATAGCATTCCAGGCAAAGGGGACAAACAGCACATGCAAAGGTCCTCAGGCCCCCTGGTTTTGGTGCATCCAAGGAAGAAAAAGAAGGCCGTCATGACCGAGGCACAGTGAGCTGGGTATCGAGGGGCATCCAGTGGAGGTGGGTAAGTGGGCAGGGACCACAGCAGGTGGCAGTTTGCAGGGTAAGGGGTACAGATTGATTCAAAGTGCAATTGGAAACCGCTGAAGAGTTTTACAAAAGCGAATGAATGATCTGGTTTATATTTTAATAAAATCACTCTAGATGCTCTGTCAAGTGGGAGTACAAGCAGAAGACCAGGTAAGAAGCTAGTATAGTAATCTAGGCTAGAGGTGAAGCTGATTTAGACTAAGGTGGTAGCTAGACACAATATAGATAGGCTTAAGGCATAATTTAGAAGTGTCAGAATTTGTGATGACTTCTGAGAGGAGAGGGAAAGAGAAAAATTAAGGATGATGTAATCCAGAAGAAAGTAAGCTACAACAATCCTCTTTGCCTGGGTACCTACTGTGATCTGGCACCACTGGCTCAATTAACCCTCACAACTCAGAGAACGGAGTACTATCCTTATTCCCACTTGCAGGTGAAAAACTGAGACTCAAAGACATTGAGTAACCAGCCCAAACCAACAGGACCTTGCGTCTCCAGTGTCAATCACCTTTTCAAGATTCCACATGGCCTGGGATCCTGTTCCAGAGTTACAAGGAAGTTTGCAGAAAGTTTTGGGGGGGAACCCAGCACTCTGTGGGTATATTAAATGCTTTCTGAGCCAAGAGGGGCTGAAGTGCCACGCTGGGAAGCCCAAGGGCAGGTGTCACACGCAATCTGTTTTACATCAGTCGCCCAGGGTTATTTCAGCCCCGTGATCTCACATGCCCCGTGACATGATGGGATGTGACAGGGCCAACCCAGGAGGCCCTACCAACAGCACAGGAAGCTGGCAGTTGTTTTCATTATTACTATCATTAGAATCAAGTAGCTCTTTTCCACTGAGAGCCACTGCTAATTTCTTAGCCGGATGGTCACTAACACTGGTTAATCCATGTAATACAGGGGAATATGGAAACAACCCTCAGAGTTGGAGCTGGAAAAACCAAGACTAAAGTCCACTTAGTCCTAAACACTTGGAATAGTTAGGCTGTGTATAAGTCTCTTAACCCTCTAAGTCTCTAGTTTCCTCTTCTCTAAAATATGGGTAACAAAACCATCAACATCACAGCACTACATGAGGATTACCTGGATAAGCTGTGTTAAAGCTCATCATCATCATCATCAATACTAAAAAGAAAAAGCCTGCTGTCTTCAGTTGCCGCTCTCCTCTATTCCTAGGAAAAGTGAGCTGTAGAACTCTTTATGAAATTCTGCAAATTAAGAATTCAAAGAATTCTGGAACAATTCTCCAATTCTGTTGCAAAGAGACGGATGTTTGGCACAAAATCCTGGGCTTCGACATAAACTCATGCTATCTACCTCTGGAATAACCTGCACAAAGTGAACTGTTAACCAGATACCAGAGGTTGCTAACTTTATAGTCTTATGAAAAGGAGAGAATCACGTGTTTTGACCTACTAAATTGAAAAGACTTACCTTTTACAAAGAGAAACAAAACCAAACCCCAGGCAAGTGAGCCTGTCTGAGCTTTAGGTGCCTCATCTATGAAATTGGAACAATTTCATAATTCAGACTACCTTCCTCCTAGGAGTGTTGTGAAGATTAAGTAAAATAACTCACATAAAATACTCAGTAAATGTTATGTCCCTCACTTCCACTCCCCAGCCCAGAGACTTTCTTTATTCTTAATGGGTTCAGTGCAAGAAGGACAAGCTGTGATAGTCTAGGGGTTTCTATTGGTAAAGAAAAGGCTGAAGTGGGCTGCTCTGAAACAGCATGAAGCCAGAAGCTCTATGCATCTCCTGAATACAGAATAGGCTGAGAAGCATAACAAGCCCTCAGAGAGACATAAACCAAAGTGGGAGCTCCTGAGATACCCCCTCTTTCCTGCCTACTGCTGAAGACAGACTCTATATTTTTTAATTATAAAAATGCACATTTGCAGTGTTTCTTTGGTTTTCCCAAGAGCTTTTGTGCATCCTGTCTCACTTCTGCAGTCCTGGGTGGGCAGAGCAGATGTTTACCAGTCTGCTTTGTAGATGAGGATATCGGGACACTGAAAGGCTCAGTGATTAAACTAGGTCACATAGCAAGTCTGTAAATGAGCCCTGATGAGAACACAGGTTTCCTGACTTCTAGCCTCCCACCCCACCCGCCCCACCCCACTCTCTCTGCCGCACCTTATCAGTCATGTTCCTAGGATAGCGTACATTCTTCCTTTAACTTTAAGGTGTGTTAGCATTGTAAACCGTGCCATTGGGCCTTAAGGTTCCAAGCTCTTAGATTCCTTTGGTGCACATGGTAGCGACAACAACCATAATGATCATGTTAAACTGGGGCCTGGGGCCAAATCCAGGCCTACTGCCTCTTCTGGTGTGAAAGTGACAATATGTTCCTGTCTTATCCTGCTTGTATTTCCTCTGCCATTTACTTGGTTCTCTAAGATCTTGCTACTTCAAGAGGTCACCTGGATGTGCAGCGTCGCCACCCCCATGAGCTTGTTAGAAATGCAAACTCGCAGGCTCCACCACAGCACTTTCAAATCGGAATCTGCATTTTACCATGATTCCCAGGCGATCCAAACGCACGCTGAATTTAATAAGCACTGCCCTGAAGAACTCAAAATGTGTTCAATAAACCGTCAACACAGAACATGGAAGGTGATAAAACACCCATACTGGCAGTTCAGAGGTGATTACCGAGTTACTTCGATTGTCCTTTAATCATGGTGTCTGGCACACAGTAAGCACTACATAAACATTTTTAGAACTAATTGCTGATTCATTATTTAATAATTTAGTCCGTTTGTAGGGTCTGTTCATCACCCTTCTCTCCTACTGCTCCCTCTTCTGGAGAGTTAAATGAATTTGGACATGTAAAGCACTGAGAACAGTGTCTCCCACAGAGTAAATGCCCAACAAGTGTCCAACATTCTTACTAACAGGCCATGAAGGTAGCTGCCTTCCTAACTGACCACTTTGGCTGTAAGAAGGAATGTGTAACACGGGCCACCTTGGGGCTTTGTGGGAATGCCACTTGGTTAAAGGAATGCAAACTTATCTTAAGAAATAGACACTCTGAAGCATACTTTGTAATGCATAAAAAAATTATTCCAGTGGATTCCAGGGAAATGATTAAGTGTCCAGGAGAGGTGGGCTGACAGATTATCAGTGTTGGTATGTAAACTATGTTTGGCAGAGTAGCGAAAAGCAAAGCACTTCCTCATATCTGTATCTGCCTCTCGTCTTGCTTTTGATTTGAAGATAAGAGACTCTGGAGTAATGAATCATGGTGGTGGAGAATGGCGTGATGGACAGGCCTCCTGAATCCGGTCAGACAGACACTTCTGTTTCAAAGGTAGCCTTAAGCATTAATGAGCCTTCACTTGCTAACCACTCCACCCTCTTGCCTTGTTCTTTGCCACTACACTGACTTTGCTCTTACCATTAAACCATACCTATGAGACGCCTTCCTGCTATTCTTTCCTTACCCATCCTTTGAAAAACCAGCTCAAATAAATCCCTCCTCCCATCACCAGTGCTTCAGCCTGAGGTCTTTCCTTCCTCACTTATTTGGCAGCTGGGTGCTGTTTTGTTGTTTAATTTTTTTTCCATTTAATTTTCCAAGTTACACCAAATATTCCACCAAAGCAGGGATTGCATCTGATATTTCTTTGAACTTTCCCATCCTGCCCAACAATGTTTCTCACACTGAACAGGGTCTTGGCATTTATGGGTTTACTGAGCTATTTTTACAAACAGATAAAAGAAAGACAGGAGATTACAGATGGATTTCCCATCACTTTTAATAAAAATAACTGCATTTCTATAACATGAGAAACAAAAGCAGCTTTCAGCATTTTCAGCTGCATTTAAGCTACATTTATTTTGCCTCTGCTAAGCGGATATTTGGTAGTTTTCCCGGATAGTTGAACCACCTTATTTTCTGCTGATTCCTATTACTATCAGATCATAAGAAGGCATATTCTGAGACGAAGCTTTAAGTTATAGATCACTGTGCATCGCTAATAATTAGTCAATACTCAATAAGTGCTGACAGCTGTGCTAAATGCTTTAGGTGCATTAATCATGACAGCATGATGACGGCGGCACTATTATGATCCCCAATTGAACAAAGAAACAGGCTCTGGAAGAGTAATTTACTCAAGGTCAGAAAGACAGGAAGTAGCAAGGCCAATGGAAACCAATATCTCGTCTTCCAAAAGAACCCAGATGCTTACCCATTATGCTCTGCTGTCTCTGTGTAAGTTTCCTCTATCTTGCTGAAACAATAAAAAGATTATCTAATAAATTAATATAGTTATCTAGTGCAAAAAAAAAAAAAAAAAGCCAATTCAATGAACACTGCTCATAGGAAAACTCTACCTTTAGGGGAATTCAGCCCAGGCTATAAAACACATTCTCTGGGCTGATTTTTGGCATAAAATGTCAAGGACAAAATAAATTTTTTGCTGATTAAAAGAAAAACCTCTCGGTAGCGGCCATTAAATTTTACAGCTGAAGAAAGAGGGCATTCATCGGCATTGGCTCTTTTTGGTCCTTAATCATAATGCCTAAGCTCCTATTAGTTTTAGAAAAACAAAAAGGAATTTTTTTCTCAATGTGTCAATATAATGCACTCCTTCCCAAAACAATGTTAAATAAAAATGAGGCATTTTTTTAAAATGCTTGAAGAGAACCAGTCCTACCCTTTGACCCTGTGCATTGAACCATCATTTCAAAGATGTTTCAAAGCATTTTAGTCCTGTTATTTACCCTCTAGATATTCCTGTCTTTTGGAAGATTTGTCAGTTTTTTAGAAAATCTCAAGATATGCATTAACATTCATTAATACTGAACTTTCAAGGCTAACTGGTTTTATTTGCTTAGCAAACTTATCTTTTTAAAAAGATGAATGGTTAAAGGTATTTCCTCATGCTGGTCATTGTCTCGCGGAGACAGCACTGCCCACCGATTTTGGGACCCAGATGAGGTCTCAGGACACTCTTCAGAGCCTAGGGCTAGCTATGGAACTGTTCCACGCACTCAGCCTCATGCCTCACTACTTGTGTGGGCAGCATTTGGCCCTCTCTCTATTTACACAAACTCCCTAACGGTCTCTGGCACCACTGACGTCTCAGAGGGAGGCACAGTATATAGAGTGTTTCACAAGAAAATTTTTAAACAAAAGGAATTAAAGAAAAGCCCTGTTTAATAGTAAGTTTTTACCAAGCTCCTAAATTCTCGAGAGCATGTGAAATATTAACTTTCCCCAAATGGGAGCACAGAGCTTGCCTTGTTTCAATTCATAGTGTTGGGTCACAAACGCTCTAGAGAGTACCACGCCCCGTTCTTAAGAACCTACTGAGATTCTTCATAAAGAGTGGTTTAAAAAGCAAAGGGTCTGGGCTCAGACAGACCTGCGTTCAAATTCTGGTTTTGACACTTTCCAAGTCTCAGGTACTTCATCTATAAGGTGGAGATCATAGTGGTAACTACTTCATTGCTTTGTTGTGAGATTCCTGTCGTATGATGTGCTGCTCATACCAAGCATTCAGTGCGTCGTGCTGGGTGGAATATAGTCAGCCTTCCACTATTCTGACTCAGGGAGGGACGCTTTGGCAGAAAGTACAACATGGTGAATCTCTAACATAAATTCCTAAAACTTCTCCTGTTCCAGGCACCCAAACGCAATCTGGGTCTAGCTTGGTTTACGGCAGGTGCCGGGGCACCCGAGTCAGGGCTAACAACAAGCATGGCCTCAAGGGGGCACTAGACAAGAGTCTGCGAGATGGCAGGTAGTGGTGACTCCTCACTTTGGAACAACAGTTGTCTCCCCAGAGCTGGCTTTCTCATCCTCTCTGCCCATCACTAGGATGGGAGAGCAGCATTAAGAAATTAGCCACCACCCTACTGCCTTCAGAAGCTCCTAGATAATCCCAAGACAGCCATTTTGCTCACCCACATCACTGAGCCTGCAGAGGCCCTGTCATTATGCCACGTGCTTTCCACAAAACAACATTTGCCTCCACCAGGGGCAGGTGGCAACTCCTTAACTGTCCAATACTTTCCCCTCTACCAACCACAGTCATTTCCTGTGGCCAGGGCTCTCCCCACGTGGTCTGCAGCTCCATCTGCCACATCTCCATTTTCCTGGACAGTCACTCTTGATTTCTCATCATATACTCCTTTTGGATAAAGTAAAATGCTGATTGAGAAGCAAAAATGATTTAATTTTTTATAATTTTGCATCGGTTTCCATGAAACAATAGATCATACAAATCTGATTTGAGTCTAGCAATAGGGGATTGGTTGAATAAAATGATGGCAAATTAAATTTAGTGGATGCTTAATCCTGTTTACCATACTATTAAGGGAAAATCATATTATTTTATAGAATAGAAAAAAAATTTTAAAGTATATGCCAAAAAATGGAAAGTGGCTTTTCTTTGGTTGTAGAACTGTGATTGCTTTTTTTCTTCCTGTTTGCTTATTTGCATCTTCTGATGTATCTGTGATACATTTAATAATTAATTTCTTAAACAAATACCCTTTGAGTACCTGCCAGGTGTCAGGCTTAGACTGAGTGCCAGAATTACCCTCATGGAATTCACAGTCCAGTGGAAGAGGAGACATTCATCAGGTAATCACACAAATGTATAATTATAAACTGGGACAGGAGCCACAGGGAAAGTATGGTGCCCAGTGACCAATGTAAGAGGTCACCTGATGTCTTCTGCTGTGAGGTTGGGTTCAGGGACAGTGTCCGTAAAGAAATAATATGTAATGTTGACTTAAGGAAAGAAGAATTGAAAGCTGAAGGGGAAGGGAGCAGAAGGGCTCACACGCAGAGGACAGCAAAGGCCCTGAGGCTGGACCCTGCACAGTAACAGTCTAGGAACTGAAAGTAGGCCTGAGCAACTGCAGAGAGAATGGTGAGACTTGAGCAAAAGGTAGGCCAGGGCTTTATAGGAGAAATTGAGGGTTTTGCTCTTTACCCTTAATGCAGTGAGTAACTTCAATGCAGGAGAGTAAAATGATCCACTTTAGCCATGAGATCACTGGCACCCTGGGCCACTGTCTCACTTCCCCCTACTCTGTCAATAGCCAAGGAGTCTCAGATGCAGGCCAGGTGGAAGCAGAGGTCTCACATCAGGAGGTGGGACCTTTGAGCTGATCAGAGCACTATGTTGTCTCTAAGGACTGTTCAGGAACAAAGTGTACAGTCTATGCCT
Organism: Homo sapiens; assembly: GCF_000001405.40. NCBI lineage: Eukaryota > Metazoa > Chordata > Mammalia > Primates > Hominidae > Homo > Homo sapiens. The sequence continues at coordinate 63,916,602 of NC_000001.11, read as the reverse complement.
GGGCAAAGGCAAATTACACTGGCACAATGTTCAAAACTCTATTTTATCTCAAAACCTGTAACCAGTGCTTCAGAGAACAAATGGCAGGTGTATTTACATTAAACATGAAACTCATTCAATCTTGTATTTGTGAAGCATGGGGCTCTTTTATTCCTGGTTTCACAGGGGTTTTGTAGTCTGTTATCTCCTATTACCATGTTATTAGGCTTTTCCTCAATCCCTACCACTCCCTTAACCCCTACTCCTTTCAAACTTTCTCCACAAGTATGTGCCACTTGGTTTTCCACCTTGATGAGCCCTTCTTGAGAAGGCGCCTGGCCCGATGAATGCTCTTTGTATCCTCTTGCCTTCAACAATGGTAGCCAGATCAGATGGATCATTTTGCAGTTATTGTTCATGCGAAGAGGAAACTTACAAAAATCTGCAAGGGCTGCCTATTCCTTAAATGACCTCAGAGCCAGAGGATATTTCAAGGGAAGAAAAATAGGGTAGAAATGTTTGTTTTCAGCTATAAGCTTTGGGAGTAGCATAAATAGCATGTTCTGGAGGTCAAGTATGTATAGGGATAAAACAACTGAACCATTCTAGAGTGTCTAGAGAGGTGCCAGGAACAGATTCATGTTTCCCAGAGGGACACTGCAGTGGCCCAGGGGAAAGTTTACATGTATACTTGTAGATGGGGGATCCCACACAGGAGATACTGGGTCTCCGGAGTGGGAGAATTATTCCCTGGGTAGGACTGATGCATCCATTACAAGATATTTAGTATATTTGGTTCAGGGAGCACCAAGTGCCAATTGTAGCACACCCCCCCGGCTTCACATGCATCCACCCCACCCCACCCCCTGCCAATCTTTCTGGCAAAATCAAAAATGCTTCCAAACCCAGGGAAGCAGTACTACTCTGTGTGAGAAGTTCTGTATAAGCATAGCTATCCCTAAATGCAGGCTAGCAACCATCTCCCATCATAAAAGACCAAGGATAGGGGGCAGAGGGTGGGAGATGTTGTGGGCTCTAAGTCCTTGGTAATAGTCATATGATTAAGATAGCCTTAGTCTCATACCCTTCTCTCCATTGCACTCTTCTTATACTCCACTAAGCATTTATTCATGTAGTTTCTGCCATTCCCTATTCTCTAAGTCTGCTATAAAAACCCTGCCCACTCCTCAAGGTGCAGGGAAGGAAAGCTCTCTCCACAAAGCCTCTTTATTGCTCTCCAAACACTTTTTATGTGCACCCTTCTTAGAGCCTGTATCCCACCTTAGACTATACACCAGGGGGCAGTGACTGCCTTATCTCCATCCCAGATTAGAAGCTTTAACAGCAAAGACCAGGTCTCCCTCACGTCTGCATTGCCCACAGGCCCAGAAAAATGGTGACATGGGTTGAGATGGTGGAGTCAGAACTGGGTTTAATGTAACTTTGCCACTTACTATTTAATGTGACCATGGGCAGCCCACTTCTTAACCTCTTAGAGACTCAGTTTTTGTATGTTTAAAAGAAAGATGACTATAATACCTACCTTCAAATGGTTGTTGTGAGGATTTGATGAGAAAATACCAAGCACGATGTATTCAATAAAGGGTAGCTATGAACACAGTGGTACAGTGCTTTGCAATTAACCACTGACTTTCACACATATTGTCTTGTATGATCCTGTGCCAGTGAACTCAGGAGGCTCTCCCAGACCCCATCTGCTCTCCCAAGCTGTGAGCATCAATTCTAACAGTGTCCATCAGCCAAGGTGCATGGAAGCAACAGAGAAGAGAGACTGATTCTGCCTTGGGGAGAGATGAAGCAGAAATGGGGGTGGAGGGGTACAGATTTAAACCAATTTTTTAAAATGGCTGATTACACTGATCACTTCTGAACTGGTTCTTGAAGGAGGGTTTAGAGTTTGCCAAGCAGAGAAGAGGGTTCCAACGGTCATGTGTACACAAAAGATTTGGTGTTTGGCCAGGTTAATAGAACAATCTGGAAAGATAAATTGGGATCAGACTTTAGACTGCCCAAGAGTCATCCGAAGGGATTTGAACTGTCTTCTTCCTACCTCGACTTACAGGTTCTCAGCTTTGCATAACAGCTCCCAACTCTTCCTCCTGGAGGCCTGCTGATTACCGGCATGAGCTGAAATACTGGGGACAGCCACAGCCTGAACTCAGCAGCACCCTGCAGCATGCTACTTTCTCTCTCCTCCTGCCTTCCTCTCCCTAGGAAGTGAAACCACACAATAAACCAGGCACGCAGGGTTCCTGTCCCTCCACTTTCCTAGACTGGGCCACACTTGATCATTCTTGAAGTCATCACAACCCTGCGGGTCTGTACTTGAAATTTCACATATAATTTGTCACAGCTAGAAAGCCTGTTTCTAATAAAACATTTTCCTCTTTGCTTCACCTTCTGAATACTCAAGTTCAGCTCAGGTTCTGGTTATTCAGCCAGTGCTGAAAAGGAGAAAGCAAGAGCTAGTGAAGTCTAACAATTTATTTTTTTTAATCTTAAAACTTTAAAAACAAAAACAAAAACACTAATGCGGCTTCCCAAACTTAGCCATCTCTTTTATACACCTAACCTAGAGCTCCTGACACAGGCATAGGAACTTCTGATATTTGTTCACAGAAGAAACAACCAGAACCTTCCCTGAATTTGAGGCTGCACTGCTAGGGAAGGCTCCCCGGGAGAGGCTGGCATTCACAGAGCCACCGTGTGAGGACGGCGTTTTAAACTGCAGACAATAAAGTGCTCATCATGTGTAAAAAGCCATTAAAAACCTCCAGTGCGAATCACCTTGGTCATGCCATCCTCCCGAGTTTATTATTGTCTTTCCCCTGCTCTTATCCAAACAGCCTGGACAGCTTGTTTATGGAGGGCTCTAGAGCAGCCTCGTAGCAAGGGAGGTGATGACAGAATCACGGGGTGTTGTGGCCACACTGAGCGCAGCTAAGAAAATCTCAGGGGGAGGCCGTGGGACAGGCAAGGGAATGCCTTTCAGTCCAAAATAAGCCTGTCCAGAAAGGTACAGCTGGTTGATGAATAGTTGCTCAATGAATACATGTAGAATGAATAATGAAAGAACCACCTGAATCTTACGGCAACTAGTGAAAGGTATCAGCAAGAAAGAAGCCAAATTCTTCCCAAAATACACAGCATACCCCCAATTTTATCCCTCCTCCTCCCAAGAAATCTGTTTTTGTTTCCAAGGTTGAGTACAGAGATCACACTCACTGAGAACTTTTGTTTAAAATATTTAAGATTTATTTTTCTCCCAGAAAAAATATAGAAATATATTTATAGAAATACAGAAGAAAATATAGAAATATAGAAAAAAACCTTGCAACCCAAAGGGCAATGTATATTACACATGTCTATTCTACATTAATATATCCATATTTTGTGTTTCTTTCATAAAATTTGAGATCTGGTTAGAGATAGTTTTGTTTCCTACATTTACACACTATACCCTTTATCAAGCATAGAAAAATCCAGAAGCTAAATTTTCTTCACCTACCAGAAGTAAAACCACACTGCATTCCTGAAGGTGGAGCCTTTTTTTTTTCCTAGAGATACAACAGCTTTTAAAGAGAGGGGGAAAATAAAAATAAATGGTCCCCAAGTAAAGACAGGGAAGATGTGGTGTCACTATCAGCAACCCCCGCCAAGTTTGCCCATTTCTTATCTGAAGCGCTTCTCCTCACACCCAAAGTTAATTTGTTTTGTTAATCCCAACTAAGATAAAGGATATCTGTGTCTCCCCATGACTGCTGGAAGATTTCTCCTCCTCTGCCCTTCCGTGGCCACAGTCCAACTCAAAAGAACAGGGAGAAGAGAAGCACAAGTATCAGATGAGAACAGCCCGTATCATTCCCTCCCTTTAAAATGTCCACAGCCTTCCTCAAACTAAAACAAGGCAACCCAGCCTCTTAGCCCAACAGTGTCAAGGATACAACTCCGGCTGAATGTTCTGCTTAACTGTCTCTCCCCAGCCCTATAACATAAGATGCCAGTCACAGCCAACATCATACCATTGTATTTTTGCATTGCTTTGCCTTTGTACATGTTATCTATCCTTCCTACCCCTCCTGAAGAACTCCTAACTCATCCAAGATCCGACCTAAATGGCAATAGCTCTGCCTTTCTCCACTTCCCTCAGACAGACCCCTATGCTCTCAGAGCGTTTTGTAAATGCTGCATTTAGAGTGGTTTCTCCTTGCATTATAATAAACTTTATCTTCCCTCAATAGAGTATGAAACCCTGAGAGTAGAGATCAGGACCATGTCTTCTGTTTTTTGTTTTTTTTTTTTTTTGAGATAGGGTCTCACTCTGTTGAACAGGCTGGAGTACAATGGTACCATCATGGCTTGCTGCAGCCTTGAATTTCTGGGTTCAAGTGATCTTCCCACCTCAGCCTCCAGAGTTGCTGGAACTATAGACACATGCCACCATGCTCAGCTAGCTAGTATTTTTTTTTTTTTTTTTTGTAAAGATGGGGATCTCACTCTGTTTCTCAGGTTGGTCTCAAACTTCTGGGCTCAAGTGAGCCTTCCACCTTGGTCTTCCAAAGTGCTGGGATTACAGGTGGCAGCCACTGTCCCTGACCCAGGATCACATCTTAATTCGCCTTTGTATACCCACACAGCACCTCCACACACACGTGGCAGGTGATGGGGTTTCCAGAAAGTTTGCTGAATGAGTAGAAAATCCACTGTCATTTTCACGGCCAAAGCCTGACACCTACAGCTTGAGAAGGAAGGAATTCCTTCCCCATGCCCCTCAGCATATCTCTTGTACAGGTCCAAGTGTTCCTATTAATGCTTTGTGGCTTAAACTTTTTATTCCTTCAGTTTTTTGTTTCTTCTCTTCCCTGGAACAAGAGTCTTAGTGATTTCACTAGTACAAACAACGTAATGACACAATACTACAACCAACAGTATCTACTATCTACAGCGGTCCTTAACCTTTTTGGCACTGAGGACCAGTTTCATGAAAGACAGTTTTTCTATGGACCAGGGTTGGGGGTGGGGGGGATGGTTTCGGGATCTATTCCATCTCAGATCATCAGGCATTAGTTAGATTCTCATAAGGATCACACAACCTAGGTCCCTGGCATGCACAGTTCACAATAGGGTTTGCACTTCTATGAGAATCTAATGCTGATCTGACAGGAGGCAGGGCTCAGGTAGTAATGCTCGCTCACCTGCCACTCACCTTCTGCTGTGAGGCTCGGCTCCTAACTAGCCCTGGACAGATGTTGAGGTTGGGGACCCCTGTACTAACGGATAGAGTATCATTCTAATGCCCAGAACAACAACTGTAAGAGGTGGTCATTGTTATGCCCATTTTACAGATGAGAACACTGAGGCATAAGGAGATTAGGCCACACCACAGAAATGAGTAATAGTCGAGGTTCAAACCCAGGTATGTTTAACTCCAGAGGTTATTCTACAAGGCTCCTCAGTTAAAGAATTGAGGCCACAAGTTTTTTGTCCAAGCATCATGGCAAAGGAGAGGTTCAAAGTGTCTATGATTTGATTCCTGTTCCATCAGACACCTGAAGGCCAGGCAATGAGCAAATAATCTTCCTGCAGTTCTCAAGTTGGAGAGAGACAGAGTCAATAACAATGACTTATACAAAAGTCATCTCTTTTTCTCTGACGTAAAAAACCAAAACTGTTAAATAGAATGCAGCCCAGGGCTGGTGAGAAGGGATGTGGCCACATCTTTTTCAGGGCATCACTCTTCAACCCACTGCACTACAAAGGCTGGATGCACGTCCTTGTTGTTCTGAACCTTTGGGTTGGAACGTCTACTTCGACAGGCATTTGTGCAGTGGCCTGAGTGCAAGGCAGTCTGGGAGTCACATGGATGAACCAGAAAAAGCGCAGCCCTCACAGACATGACTTAGTATCTAGAGGACGGTATCAGGAAGAACACAAATGGCCATGCAGGAGCACACCAGGATAAAGGTCCCAACACAGGGCTATGGGGTCATAGGAGGTTAGTTAACTGGTTCAGGGATCAGGAAAAGCTTCCTGGAGGGGACAGGCCTCAAAAGTGACACTAAATTTCAAGAGGCAAAGACTGGAACTCAGAATTCACAGTCCATAGGTCCACTGTCTCATCCCCTTTCATCCCTATAAGGCCCTGGACACAGCCTTCCTTCACCAGTCCTGCCTTCATTGACCCCTCTCTTCTTGGTTTCTGTTTAAACCAGCCAATGAGCCCTTTCTGTGAATGCAACCCATGAGCTCTGCCTGAACAATGTCCATTGTACAAACAAGGACATTGTCTTGGTCAGTAATTTGTCCATATATAAATCATTTTTCTAGCATTTATTCTTTGTAACATGGGCATCTTGTGCAACTCACCATAATTGACTTAGCTAGCTGAAAAGTTCACCAACCACCTCATCATTCAAAGAGTGCAGCTAGTACCTGTTAAATGTAGCACTGTTGGAGAGTGCAAAGATGTACAAGACAGCATCCCTGGCCTTGAGAAACAAAAGAAAGCCCCGTGAATACTGCTTCATAGATTAAGTGCACTGAATTATATAATAGATTAAGTGCCTTGTTAAGAGAATGTTAATCAGCACAAGAGGTCCCGTCCCTTGAGACTAGTTTCTCCCTGTTTTCCTCACTCTCCCACACACTTCCAGGCCAGGAAGCACAGTGTAAAATTCTTTCATATTAGAGAACAGACCATATTTTTTGCAGCACGCCAAACAACTCAAAAGATTGTTCAAACCCTTTGAATGCTTTAAAATAAGCCAGGAAGTGAGACTGAGGCGAATAAACAACTGCAGATCACTTTCTAGCATTTCCAACATATTTATTTCATTTTCTCCGTGGTCTCATGTAGCAGTTACTCACACTGATTGACTTTATATATTTAAAAAAAAAGAAAACTGGAATAAAGCTGACCCAGATGTGTACAGTGCCTCACCCTGAGAAAACGTGTGCAGACTTCAAAACTTCACGCACTTGAAAGGCAGCTGGAGGAAGAGACTGGATGGACTGAGGTTTCTGTCTGAGAGTCTTTAACTACAGCACGAAGGTCAAGTTGAGGGTAAAATAGCTATGATGACCTGTATCTCACCTAAACAACCCAACTGTGGCTTCTTCTTGAGGACATGCAGGTAGAGAGAGGCACAGAGTGGCTTCAAGGAATCCTTTAATTCACCTATCACCAAATGGCATCTGAAGATAACATCAATATACTACTTTTCTTCAAGTGCATACAGATGCTATTGTAATTAATAAAATCCATTCACTAAAAGCAATTGAATTTTTGTTTGTAAGTACTTACTGAACAGAGATACTATAAATGTAATGACCATCAGCTCAGTTTCCTAAGTTAAAAAAGAGAAAAGAAGGAGCTGAGGAAAAGTATTCGTGCTCAAGCTTTATCGGGGCAGGGGTGGGGTTCCCAGGGTGGAAAGCAGGTGCGCAGGGGGCAGGAGGAGGTGAGGTAGACATCAAGATAGAGCAAATATAGAGTGGTGCATTAGTTACTAAGCTGTCACAACTTCACAAAAAAGTGCCTGTTTGCTAGGTCACCAAGACAAAGGCTATATGGAAACCACATATGGGTCAGAACAGTCTCCTGCGCTTCTATCTCCCCTTGGCCAAGGTTCACCTGTGGGCCTTAACTCCCTGCACTTCTGCATTGTATCAGTAGCTATGGAGGCCACTGGAGACACCACTTCCCACTCCCTGGCACATTCTTCATCTGAGTCCTGGCATGGTGGGAGAAGTCAGGGCTTTCATGGTAGGGGCCGGATCAGGCCTGGCTGCTGGCACTGCTGGGTTCTGCTGCACCAGGAGCTACGCAGACTGAGCTGCAGTTTTCCCCTGGGGAGTGAGGTAGTACAAGGTGGTAGTAACAACTTTCTAGCAAAATTCAGCAAGAGGCAGGCAGGATAAGCCTATCAGGGGAGATGCAAAATCTAGATCCCATACAACTATCTGTGGGCAATCCACCATGTTTTGTTAGTAAAGATGGGTTCTCAACAGTATGTGCAAATTAAGAACATTCTGGTGAATACACATCCCTATACATATAAATACATAAACAGGGGAGCGAAGAGGTTAAGACACCAAAATGTTAACACTAATAATCACCAGAGTATTAACATATTTCTCTTTTGCACATCTGTATTTTGCCTGTGTAATAAAATAATAAACTTCTGTTTACCAAAGAAAAATAGGCCCTCATATAAAAAGATGTTGGGAATCACAGATCTGAGCCTGTGGGTCATGAAGGAACCAGCATTTCCATATCCTATTTCCAACTGTGACCTCATTTTTTGCTTTGTCACTCCTCATTCATAAACAAAATACTCTGGCACTTTAGAGGGAGCTTGCTTCAGGGGGAGAAATGTGTGTTTTGCAGTGAAAGACATGAGTATGTAACCCATATCCGACAACTCTTGGCTATATGATCTCAGCAAATCCAGCCTTCAGTTTCCTTATCTGTGAATTGGGGGTGATAACAGACCTGCCACATGGAATTGTTCTGAGGAGCAAGTGAGTGTAATTATATAAATCAAAGTACTCTGGAAGCAACCATGCATTATCTATGCATTAGATAATATTATTGTAAAGGAGTGAAGAAGATCAGAAAAGTTTCAGATGCAGAATAATATAGATTTTGGATATGAAAGGATTTTTTGATTCATAAATAAGACTGAGGAGCCATAAAGCAGATTTATTTCTCTAGCTTTGGTATCAGGACAAAAAGAACTGCCCAAGACCTAAGATTTGCTAGTAACTCACCTGGGCACTGGGATAAGTCACTGCCCAGGATTGGAACACATGTTTTCACCTTTCAAATGATTAATTACATTGAAATCCATGCACAAGAAGTGTTTCAAGTTCTAGTAACCTCCTGGTAAGAATTTAATCTGAACTTTGGCAACCTTGCACACTGCTAGGCACAGAAACTATTCTTCCAGTGAACTAATGCTTAAGAGGGGATTCAAAGGCTCAGTGAACTTTAGAAGTAGAAGGGACTATAGCTCTAAATTTCACATTTTATATGAGAAAACCACAGCCCAGCCACCTACATGGCCTGACTTACTCAATGTCACATATCTGGTTTGTGGCAAAGCTATCTTTTTAAATAATAAAATAACAGCTACCACTTAAGTGTAATGTGCCTGGCAAGCACTGAACACTTAGCATAGCTGGTTTCATTTCATCTTTAAAATAACCCCAGGAGGTGGGAATCAATGGCCTCTTTACAGAGAAGGAAACTGAGGCTCAGAAAGCTTAAGTAATTTGCCTGGCTTAAGCAATCACCAGCCGGCCGCCCAAGCCCCATGCTTATTATTTGCCAACATCGCCAAGTCCCTGTCCAACGTGCTGCTCCCACACCATACTCCTGGGCAAAATATTATAACAACCACTCTCAGCCTAGAATGTCCTAGCCTCTGAGATACGACAGATATTCTAGCATCATGAGACCCAAAGTATCTGGGGGCGAAAGCTGTGGAGAGAGCTGTCCATAATCTAAGCAGTTTAATATTTTGCCTTTTAAACCATTTTACCTTCTCTTCTCCCAAATCCAACCAACAAACAACAGTTAAATATTCATTTCTGGGGCGATCATTTTGTTTTCCTCCTGGTCTTTCCTGAATTGATTTTCACAACTTTTCTCTCCTGCCTGTGGCTCTGGATAAAGTAATATTGAAGCATTCACTTTGCTTTGGATTTGGGAAACTTAGGACTTTTCTTTTGACAAAAAAATAAGAATAAAGTTTCACGTGTAACAAAAGAGGGTCTTTGGATTTGTACATATGCCTCAGTGGTGAGCAAAATGGAGAATGGTATTTCAGAAACTTAAAATAAAACTAAAGCACATATGTTCTGTAAAAAGCATTGTTTGACAAGATCAAATTACCCCAAGAGAGGGAACTGATTTCACTAACTGCCTCTCTTGCACATCTGAATCTCCCCCATGAATCTGGCAGACAGGGTGGGGGTGAAAGGGGTTAAACCCCACCCAGATGCACCTGGGTAATTACCCTCTGGACACTTACTAAAGAGCAGACTGCAGCGCTTAACCTTGAGCAGGCACAGGAGGGGTTACGGGAACTGACACAGCTGGATTTGCATTGAAGAAAAATCCATGGAACAGGCCTGAATAGCCACAAGCTGTGCAAGATTCTTGGAAAGGTCATTCGCAGGCATACATAAAATGTCTTTTACAAACACACACATACACACAAATCTTGATAGCACGTGCGCTTCTGAGGTGAAACCAGATGTTTACAAAATGATCCTTGCTTTCTACAAAAGAGGACACAGGAGGAGAGATCACTCCTGTAATCCATACCAAAGCATAGGACTTCGGGTTATCAGGACCCGTATCTATGAGGCTGAGGGTGTGTAGAACAGGCAGTTGACTCTGAAACGTTCACAGAGGTGGATGATTTTTCATCTAGTTTGTTTTGGTTAGTGCCCTAGAACAAGGCCTCAAAACAATCCCATTTGCCAAGATCTGTTCTTCCCCATATTATAAGCATGTTGTATTCCACCTTTGCTTATAAAATGTCTATAGGAAATAACAAGAATCCAGATTACCTAAAAACATTCTAAATGGAACCGTTTGATTACATTTAGCTAATTATCAGTAATAATTATGATATTCCCTGATCTATGAAGTCCCAATAACCTCAAGTACATTATTTTATGTTAATTATTATCGAGTTAAGTAACTAAAAATTCCTGTTACTTGAGGAATTGAGCTATAAATTACAGCAAAATTTTCGCATTTTTCTTATGAGACTATTTGGTTGTTTTGTTTATAATTTTTGAATTTAGTTCCTTTTTTCTAATTTTAAGTTAGACTCTTATCTGCACCTTCTTCTTCCTAAGGTCAAGCTAGAACGTCAATAGGATGAGCTTTTCCATGATGGTGCATGTCTATTACCATGTATGCTTTGCCATGACCCAAACAACAGATTATAGATATCTTGTGACAGCTTTTTCCATCCTCAACTTAACTAGTGTTTTCACATTTTATTATCTTAAAAACTACATCCGTTTCTGCATGCTATATGTCAATTAATATAAACTTGTATACCCTTTGTTTCATTACCATCTGCATTAGAAAGTTGATTAGTTTTCTTCACATACAGAGGAACTTAAAGCATAAGGAAGAAAATTAAAACTCATAATCCCATCACCTGATTTTTAAAACTTGTTAATATCCTGGGTATATTAAGGTCTGTAGTAAGGCAAAACATTTGAGAATATTAAAAAAGCTAAAAAGCATAATTTTAAAAAATACCTTTAAATCCCTGAGTATGCACTTAAAATCAACAAATAGTTTGTGTCCACATTGCTTATAGAATTGAGGAGATGGAAATGGCTTCAGAGATTCCTAGTTCAACTGCACTATTGAATCCAGAAGGTTAGGCAATTTATTTTCTTGGCCAGTGAGTGGCTCCATCAGACTCCCAATCTGCCCTCCATGTTCTCTGCACTAAGACAAACTCCCCTCCACTACTCTCTTGCCTCTGAAGCAGTGTGGCTGAGTAGGTGACATAAGATAGGGCCCAGGGAAGGCTCTTAACAACAGGAAGGATGAGGAGCTGTAACAAGCAGGAGCTAAGACACCAGCCTGGGTGTGCGATCCCACGAGGAGCCAGTTAAAATGTAGGTTAAGGCATGGGCTGATATGCTAGGGCTGCTATAACCAAGTGCCACAGAATCAAACAACAGGAATTTGTCTCACAATTCTGGAAATTAGGAGTCTGAGATCAAGATATCAGCAGGTTGGCCTCCTCTGAAGCTTCCCTCCTTGGCTTACAGATGGCTGTCTTCTGTCCTCTCCTCGCATCTTCACTGGTCTTTCTTCTGTAGGGATGAGTTTCCTAATCTCCTCGTCTTATAAGGACAACAGTCAAATAGGATTAGGGCTCACCCTAATGACTTCATTTTAACTTAATCTGTTTAACAGCCCCATCTCCAAATATAGTCTCTTCCTAAGGAGTTAGGCTTAGGCCTTCAATATACGAATTTAAAGAGAAGGAGGAAGGGACACACCTCAATTCATAACAGGCTGGTTTAAAGTTGCTGTTAGTCTGGTTGGATTTGGAGACTTGGGACTAAATGAATTGAGAAGTCCAGACACAAGCTGGCAAAGGAAAAACTGCCAGGTCTATGAAGCACAGGGGCCACCTTACATCCTGGGGAAATCCTGAGGAAAAGAGCCTGGGACTGTGAGTCAAGGGCATGGCTCTTCCAACTCTGCCAACATCTGGCTATGAGACCTTGAGCAAGATCCTTGTTTATCTGGGCCTCAGTTTCCTCCTCTATAACATGGGCACACAACGTCAGTTTAAAATGAATCACTAGATGATGTCTAAATTCTCTAGAAACCCGTAATCCACAAAAAGCACACAACACTCAGATTTCACTTCCTGTATCATCGCAATCTTGTCACACTCTTCCCTAGAGACTTGAGTTCTTCAGCTCCATCATGGGGCTCCCCTGAACTGATGCCCCTGACCTGGCCCCGCTTCCCTACCATTCCCTGACTGTTCTCCTCTTCTATCAATGTCTAGAAAAATCCTTCCCTTTCCTGCCATATCCCCCATTCTCAAGACTCTGCTCAAATGCAGCCTCCTTCATAAAACCTTTCCTAAGCAGAGGTCTCTCCCTTGTATTGTTTGGTTTTACCTCTTTTACTGGACACCTGTCATTCTCCCTGGTCTCATGATTATTTCGTTTCTTATAACTATCTACATAGACTCTTGAGTAAAGAATATCTAAAGTATGCTACCTGCTGTGTAAGAAAAAAAGAGAATGAGAAAATATATCTATATATAAAAATATATCTATATGTCATACAACTATATAGATATATATAGTTATGTTTATATATGCTTATATAGCTATATAGTTATATAATCTGTGCACATTTTGCAAAAGCAAATACAGTAAAGTTAAACCAGAAACAAATGAGACTGAGCACCTATGGACATGGGGTGAGCAGGAATGAGGTGGAAATGATGGGAGGGTGGAAAGGAGCAGAAGGAAGATGAGAGGGACATGTCTTTGAGTATTTCTTTTTGTATCATTCTGACTTCCAAAACATATGAATGTTTCACACATAAACAGACAAACACATAAATAAAATCAGTGAAGTGGGTAAAAAAAAAAACCTAAAATGGAAGACAAACTAAATAAATGAACCCAACTATATTTCAAATGAATGACATCATCAAGTGGGAGTGGAAGGGAGAAATATCCCTGGCACTCCAACCCGAAATTCAACTAAAGAAAATATACTTTAATCTGAACCTAGGTCTGTGAAGATTTAATGAAGAAAAGGCAGGGAGGGTGCATTCAAAAAAGTTAGCTAACTGCCGATTAAGTTTATTTCCCAGCTGATAGGGCAGAGATTAGTAGACTCCTACCTGATATCCAGCCCCTCCTTTTCCCTTATCTTAACAGAACCCTGATTTTATTGGGGGCAACAATGTGCTCAGCTAAAAAGCTTTTTCCAGCCTCCCTGGCAGCTGAGGGTGGTCATGTGACATGGTTTTGGCACATGAGATGGACTGGGAAGTGACTAGGTAGGGTTTCTGAGCAAGCTTTTGAAAGAGGGCTGATTCAGCTTGTGCCTACACTTTGCCCATCTCATTCTTCTAACAAGAACATGGACGTGAGGCAGAAGGAGGATCAGCAAACTTAGGACTACAGATGAGAAGCACACACTAAGGATGACTGGCGGAAACAGAAAAGGTGTCTGGGTCCCAGAAGACATTATGGGATGGAAATGTCAGTTTCCATGGAAATGTCTACTGCCTATCTCCTGTTTTCATTACATGAGAGAATTAAAACATGAGTTTTAGGAACTCTCCATAACTTATTAAGCCAATACTTTTCAGGTGTCTGAACTCACAGCTGAATGCAGATTGTAATACAGCTGTGGCTAGTGATGGAGCTAGATTTATAATCCACATCTTTTGGCTGGGCAACGGTGGCTCATGCCTGTAATCTCAGCACTTTGGGGGGCTGAGGCAGGAGGACTGCTGGAGCCAGGAGTTCGAGACCAGCCTGGGAATCCTGGTGGGTCCTTGTCTCTACAATAAGTAAATTAAAAAAAAAATAGCTGGGCATGGTGGCATGTGCCTGTGGTCCCAACTATTCAGGAGGCTGAGGTGAGAGGATCACTGAAGCTTGGGAGGTCGAGGCTGCAGTATCTCATGATTAAGCCACTGCCCTCCTGCCTGGGCAACAGAGCAAGACTCTTAAAAGAAAAAAAAAAGGTCTGTTATTGTCTACTAGGGTCTGACCACACTAAGGTTCGGAAGTTTCCCTGGTTACTGTTAATTCCACTAATTCACATGAAACTATGAATTATATTTAAAATGTTGCATATGACAATTCTTCCTTCTTTTCCATTTAAATAGCTATGAACAAAGAATTTTTTAAAGCTAAGGATAAGCTCTTTTCCTATTATCTGCAGACTTAAACTGAATATATTCAAAAAAGCCTTGAAGTCCAACCATCGAAAATATAACTTAAATATATCATGGTTTGGATGTTTCAATAACGTCACCATAAAAAAAGATATTTCCTTATTCCCAAGTTCATACTCAACCTTTCTCCACTATACTGTATTGCAGTATTTAGAGTCGTGTATCCTTTGTTTACTCTTTATCCATATGTCTTAGGATAAATAAAGAAACAGAACAGAGTATCTTTGTTTATTTATCTTTCTCACTAGCTTGCTAGCTTCTTGAGGTCAGGGCCTATCTAGTTTGTACACTAGCTAGCACAATCTCCATCTAAAGGGAGTTGTATTCATTAATATATGATAGAAGGAAGTATGTATAACCCATACAGAATAGGTTATGCTGGACCCCAGAAAAGCAAAAGATATAATTAAAAGGGCTAATGTATCCTTTAAGAAAAAAAAATTAATAAAGAGAGGTTTTACTCTACAAGGAGGAAAGTATGTATCTGGGTGGTTTTTTTTTTTCCAAATTAAATTCCCTCAGAATCAAATTCTGTTCACTGATTTAGGACAAAATCTCTAAAGACATCATTAGAATCTGAAAAGTGAGATGAACTTATACTGAGTTCATTTGGCTAGAAATCCCAAAACACATCAAGGAACACTCCAGGCCCTTGAGCACAGTGCTATTACACTGCTATTACAGCTACAGACATGGAATCTTGACTTAGTGAAAGTGTGTAAACTGGGGATAATGGGGAACCGGACAACAACTCCCAAGGCCAAGTGTAAAACTGCTGTGTCATAACCTCTGCACACCTGTAGGTGATCGGTGGTTCAGAAACATTGTCAGGATAGAGCTCTGCTGGCCGTAGAACCTTCAGGAAATAAACACATGCCAAGTGTGAATCAGCACCATTCCCCAAACCAGGAAGACCCTGTTCTCATGCACCATGTCAGTCTTTTAAACACCAGTATTCATTCAGCACACACGTTTGCTAGCTTACAGCGGGCCAGGCCAGGTCCCGGGAGACAGAAAAGTCATACAGAATGGGTGACCATTCTGGCTCTGCCACTTCCTAACTGCATGACCCTGCAGGTTATGTAACCCCTCTGGGCCTCAGCATCCTCACCTGTAACATGACGGTAATAATGCTACCACCTCAGAAGCTCATTATGAGGATATGTGAGTTACTGTTTGTAATGTGCATAGGAGAATGCCTGGCCCACAGAGCCATGTTAAGTGTTAGTGATTATCATTTGTTAAATAAATGAAGAATGCAACCATAACATGAGGCATGTTCATGATATATTTAGATTTTTTTTAAATTACATTTCAAAACAGATACATACAGCAAGATGTTAAATTAATATATAATGCATACGAATAGAAAATAGATGAGTGGTAAATAAAAATATTAATAGGGGCTTCCTTTAGACATGGAATTGCAGATCACCTGTGTCTTTTTCTCTATGGTTTTTAATATATTTTAATGTAAGAAAAATGGTAATAATTATTCATATTAATTACACAGACCTCAATTTCCTAATCCATGGGATGGGGGCAGCATTCCATGCTCTCTAAGGCACCTCACAGGCTTCACCTTCTGATACATGGTTACCAGATGCCCAGCTAAAGAAAATTAAATCATTAACTTTTCCTTTTTTTTTTTTTTTTTGAGATGGAGTCTCACTCTGTTGTCCAGGCTGGAGTGCAACGCCACCACCTTGGCTCACTGCAACTTCCACCTCCCAGGCTCAAGCGATTATCCTGCCTCAGCCTCCCAAGTAGCTGGGACTACAGGTGCCTGCCACCATACCCAACTAATTTTTGTATTTTTAGTAGAGACAAGGTTTCACTATGTTGGCCAGGGTGATCTCGAACTCCTGACCTCAGGTGATCTGCCCGCCTTGGCCTCCCAAGGTGCTGGGATTACAAGCATGAGTCACCACGCCCGGCCAACTTTTCCTTTCTATAATGTTAAGAACAGATTCTTAGAAATAGCTTTCTTCAAACTAATCAGAGTCAGTGGTAAGCATGAAAATTAGTATAAAAAGTAAACAGACTTGTCTTACAAAGCTAATTCAGCAACACTAGTCTCACTAAATCCTAAATCCCTCCATAGTAACTGGAATCTAGAGGGAGAAATAACACACTGTTTTTAAAGGAGGAAAGGGGAGTAAAAAGCCTCCCATATGGTGTCTGTTCGGATATTTAAGTCATTTTTCCCTTCTGTAACATTAAGTTCCTCCCTCCCTTTTACCTGGTTTGATATTTAAAACCAAGAGTAACAGTTATGGTTTTAGCAACTTTACCAAAACTGCATTGTCCAATCGCACATAAAAATTAGAAGAACTTTGTAAAACCCAAGCAAGCAGAAGAGGAATCTATACAGAGAGCAAAGAACATTTCCTTTTCTCCTTTGGTGTTGAATTCACTTAGAATTTGGTCATGGAAATACTGCTTAGGTTTCCTGGTGCCAATGTAACCTATATGCCTGAGTGCTGTTTTGAATTCACAAGTACATCTTTGACAGGGCTGCAGCACTGTTGAAAAGAGGCTTGGGCTTAAGGCTCGGAGCAATTCAGACTGATGCCAGGCAGCATAAACAAGACACTGAAACTTTCTGAGCCTCAGATCCCTCATCTATAAAATGGGCATATTAATATCGTTTTGAAGAATTGCTACAAAGTATGCAAATTTAGGAGATACAAAGGGGAAAATGTTAAAGGCACAAAAGGAAAGAAAAGGCAAAAGATTCCACTGTGTATATGGCAAGGACACAACTATCAACGTGCTGGGTTTGTGGTCGGGAGACTCTGGCAGGCATCTGGGCACAGTATACTCATGGCTGTGTATGCTGCTACAGTCAGTCAAATTACTGAAAATCTTCTGAATGTGGATTTTGTGGAGAAACTCAGTGAGTTAGGAATGAAAGAGACTGATGAGGAAGGCAAAGTAAACAGAGTATTCTTAGGGCCTCTGGCACCACCTGGTCCACACCCCAGATCTGAACAACTGTGTCTGGGCTGCACAGAACCTGGCCTGAGAAACTGTAGGCTTGAAGAAGCAGGTCCTGTGTGATGGAGAGCTTTGCCCGTCCCGGTGCTTCTTGGTGGGTGGCAGGAGTACTTTATGTACTGTTTCCATGGAGAAGCACAAACTTTCCAGGAGATTTATTAACTTCATTTCCCCATCAGACAACAGGGAGATATTTTTGTCCTCTATTGGGGTGGGCAGATCATAAAGTTGCAGAAATTAGGCCAGAAGGACCAAGAAAAGCAGAAGCCAAAGAGCAAGGTCTCTCTGGGAAGCCTTCCCTGACCTCCTAGGCAGGGGGAAAAACTCCCTCTGCAGTGAGTACGGCGCCACACAACTTACCTCTCAGGAACCTCCTGTGTTCTCGTTCTCTCTCTCTTCCCTCTTTTCTCTCCCTCTCTCACTTCATTCCCTGTTCTTCCTCTTGTTCAACTTCTCTTTCACCCCCTTCTTTCCTCTGTCTCCTTTCTACTTTCCCTCTCTTCTTTCCTTTTTATTTTTTCTCTCTCTCTTTCCTTCCTTCCTTCTTTCTTTCCCTCCTCCTTTGTCCTTTCATTCTCTTTCTCTTCTTTTTCTTTCCCTTTTTTTCAATATGTGTTTCTTGAACACCTACCATCCTGGAACCCGGTACCATGCTTTGCAGATCTTTATTATAGCAAATGGTTTCTTCTTCTTTTATTCTTTCCTTTTTTTAAAAAAAAAACCTCCTTTATCCAAAAAAAAAAATGTAAGCATCTATTATGGTGCCCGACATCCAACAGAAAAACGATTTTTTTACTTTCAATTCAGAAAACATCTATTTACCTGCTGTACTATACTAGGAACTAGGGATAACAGAATTGAATAATATATAGCCTTTGACCCCAAGGAGCTCACAGGTCATGAAAGACCCACATGTGAACAGAAAACAAATGGCATTTTGTCCATAAGGCAGAGATGGCCAGCTGTTCAAAGATTTGTGCACTCCTTTCAATATGCAAAATTATTGCTGGGATGAGACCAGCAAGGATCTACATTTCTTGCCCCAACCCCTCCAGTTGTCTAAATGTAGCAGACAACAGAATGAGCTCCGGCCAAAAAGGCCCTTTTGGAACCCTCCACGCCTTCCCTCTCCTCTGTCTCCTGGCTGGAGATTGGCAGTAAGTTAACTAAAGAAGACACAGGTTGAAGATGGCAGAACCTCTGCAGGCTGGGTCCCTGAATGACTGTATGGAGCAGGGTCATTCAATCTACTTCAAGTTGGGCTTTACATGAGCAAGAAATGTACTTTTATTTTATTAAGCTGAGTTTGAGTTACCAAGGATTATCAGTTATGACAGCTAGTATTAACTAATAAAATGTGACAGTTCATTTGATAAATATTTATTAAGCACTTCTATGTAGCAGATATTGTCTGGGAATATATCAGTGAACAAAAGAGACAAATATCTCTGCCCTTCTGCTGCTGATGTCCTGTTGGGTACCTAGCTCCACAGTAGGTGTTCAAAAAATATTTATGGAAGACATAGCTTAAAGACTCATTGAGCTTACATTTTAGGAAAAAGAAAGAAGGAACCGAGAAACAAGGAAACTTTATGTGGAAAACAGTAAACACTTTCAGAACATAGCCTCGATTTCACTAAGTGGAAAAGCCTCTCTTCCCTTTTTCCTGTTTATTGAATATGAACACTGCCATCTGTGCCCACTCTCAGATAGGGAGATGTCTCATGGCAAGGGTTGTCTTATTCGTCTGGGTATCCCCAGGACCTGGTACAATGTCAAGCATTTCATAGGTTCTCAATAAATGTTGACTAAAACAGTCTTATGCTTTAAAATTTATGTATGTTATGCATATCCTTTTATTTTGTCGAAGGTTACATTTTTAAAAATAGTACAAAATTAAAAATATGAAAGCCATAAACTTGCTAGAGAGAAAATTTCTATCCAGGGGAAGGGCTGACCAGCATCACAGATGAATACGTGAAAGGGCCAAAGGGCAGTACCAATAGTGAATAAGAGAAATGCAAAATCCTGAGAGCTGGAATAGCCAGGAAAATTTTACAGAAAATACTGTTAATAACAACAGCTTGACTTTTTATGACCTTGTAGAGTTTACAAAGCATTCCCATACCTATTACTTCATTTGACACATTTAATAGCTCTCTGGGGTAGTTATTATTAACCTCAAAGAGATTAAGGGATTTACCCAAGCTCAACAGCTAATAATTAATAGAGAGTCAGAACTCGAACTCTGGTCTTTTTATTCTGCATCTGAAATAAGGCTCCAAGGTGAGATGTGGGTGTGCAAGGCATACATAAGGGGCTTTCCAGAAAGCAGCCCCCCAATGCCCCCCAAATCAAGGGTTAGATGTGTTCACACACGAGTCTACATTTTCAGTGACCTGCTCCCCTCTGCTTATAAGCAATTTCAGGCTGTCTTCTAAGGAAACTGTAGACTAGTCAGTTTTTCCCCAGTGTCCTGCCAGTCATTTCCGGTGCTTCGCCAATATCACCATCTTACTGTGATTACATTATTGAGAAACAGAATCCAGCTCCTTGATTAGATGAGAAAGGAACTGTTAAGTCCAACAAGTCAGTTTATAATGAAGGAGAAGGTGGAGGAAGCATTCTTTAGTGTCTACCAAGTGTTATGGAAATCTTTCAGAGTAAAGGAGGGACCCAGCACATACTTTGGAGAAGGCTTCAGATGGCATGGAGTTCAAGTTACTGAACACAGATTCTAGAACACTGGAGGGGTCATTAGTCACATTTTCAGAAATGCCACCAGAATCCAAGCAAAATCCTCACAATCCAGGCACCAAAGCCATTGTTTAAAAATTCCACCTGCTATCAAAGGAGCTATCAAAACAACTTCAGAAAGGGTATATTTATATTATTTTTTAACAAAATATCCTTATTTTTTAACAATCTGATAGAAGTCATTGAATAAATATGATATGATATGAAATCTAATATGTAATGATGGGAGTGGCTTTTTTGGTTAAGGAGGAAGCACATTGTGAATGAAAGACTCAAGCAGGGGTTAGCCACTCATCTAGGGCACTGTAGGTGGAAGCGTTCATCTTAGAGGAGGCTGGATATCAGGACCTCCAAGTCCATCTAGCGACCTGTGAGCCCTTTTACTGAACAGAGGGTATCCAGAACTTAGAGGGGTCATAGTTCTAATCTCACAGATGCCAACTCCAAGACACCACTGGGTATTATTTTCTGAGCACAAAACACTCAGTATCAAATCAAATAAAAAAGGCAAGACAAAATAGAAAGAAAATCATAGGGCACCTAGAATCAAGACGAAAAGAAAAAATTGTAAAATTTTTCAACAGTTATCAAAGAACATATCTATTTAACAGCTGGTAAATGTTCACGGTTAATGATCTCAACTCTGAGACTTGGTTCCTTCGTGGGAAAATGACAGGGAGAAGAGATTGACAGAGCACCTCAAAATTCACTATCAGCCCAGTCTGTGAATCAATGACTTCAAGAAAGGCTAATGATATGCCAGGTACCTAATCGAGATGTGTGAATATCAATTCTTGGCCTTCATCTTTTCTGTCTGGGAGACTAAACATGCCAAAACCTCACCCTGACTTCACACTACCTCCACTTCAAATTCCACCTTGGTCAACAGAGATCATCCTCTTTCTCAGGTCTAACCATCTTCTTCATGAAACCAAGATACATGGTTTATTTTCTTAAGTGAGTGTTAGCCTTTACCCACAGTTTCAAGCCCAGCAGTGTAGCCAAACTAAAGACAATACTATATCCCACTGTCTAACAGAGACAATGAAGAAAAATGCAGATAACTAGTATTTCTAAATCTGAGTAATAGTCCTGTGTTCAAAGAAGAACAAGAATATATTACAAGAATGCAACATTCTGTTAAATTGTCCAGTGACCTTTATTGGCCAACTATCCCGCCATTAAATGCCATCTCTATCTTGAGAGATTACAAAATTATATCTAAAAAGCTTGATAAACTTTTCTAAGCCCTGATCAAATCACATACTTACATAAAACACAAGCATGCCATAACTTTCTCCATGTCATGTGTCATCCAAATATGTTTTATAAAGAGCATTCTAAGATCTAAAAGCTCCTGTAATCCACGTCCAGGAGTTTTTCTAGACTGAGAGAAAACATGTGCTGTAGGATTTCCCACACCTCTGTCAAAGATTTGAAGGTCTTTAGTCTACTTGGCAAAATAAAGTACACTTAAGATGCATCACTCTTGCCAAAGAAAGGGTTTTGACCTTTTGGCCAAGCAGATTCCAACCTAATGGCCAACTCAAATGAAAACCAGTGTTTATTCTAACAATTTGTAGAATATTTGTAACTACCAGTTTCGTCTTTCTCACTTTGCCAACTCACTACCCAGTGCCCAGAAGGAGGGATTATGCATAAGGCAGTGGTTTTGGTGTATAAACAATAAAGAATCAAGTCCTTTTTGCTCTTCCTTCCTTATATTTCTCTTACCCACCTGTCCCAAAAACCTCCCCTGTGCTACAGGAGCCCCATCCTGAACATGATCAGTATAAACATCAGCTTCACAAAAATCAAGTGCACAAATGTAAGGTGTCTGTGGTGTGTGAAGATGATGGGAGGCTATATGTCTATGTATGAGGAATGCATTAATGAATGGGAAGGGTTTTTGCAGAGATCAATGCAATGGCATTTGATATCACCATCAAATTGCTTTCTCTTATAAACTTTTAGAATATAGTAGTCTCCCCCCTTATCTGTAGTTTTGGTTTCCATGGTTTTAGTTACCCAAGGTACCATGGTCTGAAAATATGGAATGGAAAATTGCAGAAATAATTCGTAAGTTTTAAATTATACACCATTCTCAGTAGCATAATGAAATCTTGGGCCATCCTGCTCCATCCTGCCCAGAATGTGAGTCACCCCTTTGTCCAGCATATTCCCACTTTCTATGCTACCTGCCCATGAGTCACTTAGTAGCTGTCTTGGTGATCAGATCGACTGCCACAATATCACGCACTTATGTTCAAGTAACCTTAATTTTACTTACTAAGAGTCCAAAAGCACAAGAGTAGTGATGCTGGCATTTGGATTTGCCAATAAACTATAAAGTGATAAGGTAAAAGATTGAAGTGAAAAGGTGAAAAAGATCTTGACTTAATGAGGAAAGAAAAAAATCGTATGCTGAGGTCACTAAGATCTACAGTAAAAATGAATCTTCTATGCATGAAATTGTAAAAAAGGAAAAAGAAATTCATGTTTAGTATATATAGAATTTGGTACTATCTGCAGTTTAGGCATCTACCAAGAATCCTGGAACATATTCCCAGGACACAGATAAGGGGGGACCACTGTATATCTCTTGACCCACTTTGTATAGCACCATCCAGAGATTACCGATACTTTTGATACCATTAATTGATGAAAAGACAGCTGCTTCGTTTCTTAGAAACACGGAAGCCTGTAAATGTAGCAAAGGCAACCAGAAAAAAAATAAGAGTCCATATGTCCACGCCCAGTCAGTAAACAACAAAATTAAGAAACCCACAAAAACCTTTTAACCTGGACATCATGAAGGATACTCTTGAAATGGTGTCATCAAAAATCAGCCTCTTTTCTATTCATATGGCATATTAGCAAGCACAGCAAACAAGTAAATAACCATCTTCAAGGCCAAATTTAATGAATTCTTTTTTTACCCCCCTCTTTTATCCCAGTCTCTATCTCTGCACTTCCAGGAGCTAGGTTTTCTCATGGCTGCTGCTCCTCTCCCACATGATGTAAGCAGAGAGCTGGAGAAACAGGGCCCTAAGCTGGGGACTGTGAGCAGCAAGCCTCTGACATCACTGGGTAGCAGGAAGTACCACAGGAGTCTGAGGTTTCACGCCTCACTGCCCTCTCAATACAAAAATCCTCCCAGTGACACTGTGCCCAGAAGATGTTTACTGCCTAAGCACACAGTCAATCTCCCCTCGAAGAAACATGCACAATCTCCCCTCGAAGAAACACAGTGGTAGACTGTGTCCACCACTCTAGAGACAGGGAAACCGCACCCTCTGCGGCTGACACCATAGAAATGAACTCATCTTTAAATCTGCCGTGCTGCTTTTTGCTTTCTTCTGCCAGCTGGTCCTTGGCAAAGCTACTTGATAAATCCAAACACATCAGTTTCACTGGCCACTGAAGGGCCTGTGCTTTTGGGAAACAGGCTTGCCATAAAGCTAGTCTTTGTGACGGCAGCTTCTGGTCTCTCCTGTCACCCCTATTGCCCTTCCCTGTTCTGTCTCTAGAAATCACAGACTGCATAGCTAGAAGGGCCTCAAGTCCTACTCCCTCCACTCTGCAGATGAGAAAGCCTAAGTTTAGAGAAGGTTGGCAACTTGTCCGAGTTTACAGGGCTCATTAGTGGTGGCAGAGCTTAGCCAAACCCAAGACTGCTGTCCAGTATGGACTTCCATAAGCATGGGTTTTACTGTAAGAAAAAAAATACTGGGTTTCAGTCCTCAGTGGCTAATCACTGGTTGGTGACCTAGGGCAAGTAACATTTATCTATCTGCCTTCTCAGGCTTTCACATCTGTAAAATAGACAATAAATATACAATAAACATAGTTACAGCTCACTACATGGATGTGAAACTGTGATACTTTCAAGTGTTTACAGGAATATGATTTGTGCTTTTTGTACAAATCATACCTTATAAACCACACTCAAGTCTCCTTAATGTGCTTAAAGACCCATGAAACCTCTGGGTCAGACAGATTCTTAACTCATCTTTTCAGATCCAATTTGTTATCATCTCCTTCAGAGCCTCCTCTGCCCTCCCAGATGCAGCGAAGTGCCCAGCTCCCCCGTACACATCTATCTTTGCACCATAGTATAACCGTTCCTTGTACCTTTTCCCCTATTCAATTGTGAGATTCAAGGAAATGAACTGTGTCTTAATCATAGTCCATTAATCTTTGCATTTCCAGCACCTAGCACTATTCATGGTCCATTAGAAGTGAATTAATGAATGCTTATTGAATTAAAGTAGAAGTGAATAAAATCACTAAGTAGTAGGGACAAACTAAAGGTGAATATACTTTCCTCCTTTGACTTGCTGAATTAGAGTTCTCCAGTGAACCAGAACCAAGAAGATATATATATGTAGAAATTCATTATGGGGGTTGGGTCATACAATCATGGAGGCTGAGCAATCCGACAATATGCCATCTCCAAAAGCCAAGTGAGAGAACCAGAAAGTCAGTGGTATAATGTAGTCTGAGTCCAAAGGTCTGAGAACCAGGATTAGGGTAGCACAGGTGTAAGTCCCAGCGTCCAAAGGCCCAAGAACTAGGATCTTTGATGTCCACAGACAGAAGAAGATAAGTGTCCTAGCTCAAGGTGACATCAAATTCACCCATCTTCCATCTTTCTGTTCTACCGGGCCCTCTGCAGATTGGATGATGCATACTCGAGGCATGAATATCTGAGGGCAGATATTCTGTACTCAGTCTACTGATTCAAATGCTAATTTCTTCTGGAAATCTTCACAGGCACACCCAGAAATAATGCTTTACCAGTTACCTGGGCCTCCCTTAGCCTAGTCAAGTTGACACCTAAAATTAACATCACACTTACCAATCCTGAAATGACATTCCTAGGCAACCGCTCACACCTGCAAGTCTTCCCATGAGGTGCATTTCCAGGCAACACACCTTCAACAGCTCTAAGTGCCTCAGACAAAGGAGTCCTCACCACCATCCTGTAGTCAGGAGGCATGAAATAATATTTCTGAAATATTTTCACATCCCTCTTTGACAGTCTCTAGGGTATTTCCAATTTACCACAACGAAAAGAGAAATACTTTTATTTTGCTGTTTCTTGTAACAACAGGGCCCTAATGATGCAAAGAGATGGAAACAATAATATAACCAATCAGGCATAGGAGAATTTCTTAGCAAACTGGAACTTGTGACTGCTGCAAATCTCAAGAACAGTGAGGGAATCAGCATTTTGTGTATTTGATTAGCAAAAGTAGTTTGACATGTGACATTCCCATACCTGACTCATGGTGAGCCCATGTGACATGTCCCAGATATGTCCCCAAGGGTCATGATGAACACCAGGCAGAAAAATATAGTTTTAAAACACTATTAGTCATGGCATTGAGAATAAGTTTTGAGCTCCTTGTCATACACTATATTTTGGGTGATAAATGATACAACATTTGGATGAGAACGGGCATGTTCAGCGTGGTATGGCCGTAGACAACATTTGGATTTGGAACAGTCCTAGAAAAACATTCTAGTTTCTGAGACTCTGGAAGGTAGAGATACAAACATCAATTATGGCCCAATTTCTTGCTCCAAAATGGACCAGGCTGTCTCTCACTTTTATGCCTTTGTGAATGATTTCTTCTACCTGAAACTCCTCCACCACCACCCCAAACTTTCATTTCCCTTCCTTGCTTCTTCTTTTAGCAAACTCCCCCTCATCCTTCTAGATCCATCATCACCCAAGATAAATCTTTCAGTACTCCCTAACCAGAGTAAATTACTCTTTCCTGCATGACTCCTGACAAATCAAAGATTACCTTGAGTTGTAACCTTCTTTCTCTTTGTTGAATCTCCCATTGGACTATGAGCTCCCTGAGGGCAGGAAATTAGTCTTTTTCATCTTTTTTCCCCTCATATCTAGTATGGAATTTTATACCTATTACATGTAGCACAGGACAGGTATGAAATAAGTGTTAAATGAGTAAATGAGTAGAATGAATAACAAATTCCCTTAACCTAGGCAGGACAGATTAGCAAATTAATAAGAAAAATGAGTTGGTAAACAGGACTAGAAAGGTGACATTTTCCTGTTTCTATAAAATAGTCCGAGATCTCCAAAGAAAAGGAGCTTCAGAAGTATGTGTAACTTTGATTATTTGCTTGGTATGGACATTAAAAAGCAGATAGATGTTTACATTTTTAATAGGCCAGCTACAGACCATATAATCTTCCTGAATTCTTTCCCTAAAATGAAATTCCCTTAAGTAGGTCACGACAGGAAGATGTATCTCAGTGGTCAGGTCCTCTTGCAGTGGAGGCAACTATAAAAATGCCCTTTTCTGGATGTGGTAAGCCAGGATGGCTTGGGATGGTCTGGGAAAACACCATCTATACACCAACCACCTAGAATCTTAAACATAACTAGACTTTCACATGGTTTATTAGTATCCTTCTTGGATCTCAAAATATTTTTAAATAAGATTGAATTCCACATTTACTCTAGAAGAGAAAAACAAAATCTTCCCTTCAGGGTAGTTTCATTCACCCACAATTGCAATACTACTGGTATACTCCACTACCTGAATGCTTATTTAAAAGCCAATGATAAATCACCAAGTGATACAGGAAGATATAAGCAGAAGTCCCTTAAATATTGAACTTCCATCATGAATCTGAAATGAATTGAATTTGCAAATCTTTGGTTTATGCCCTGCTCTTCAGGGACATACTAACTATATAAAGATAGGTATCTGTGAGCAAACAGCCATCCGGGGGCACCCTCAGAAACATGCTAGAATACCCAAAGCCAGGGTTGCATGCACTTCGTTCTTCCAGGACTCTCTGCATTGGGTATTCATTCTGGAAAGCATACAGGCAGTGCAGTTCACCAGATCAGTGTTCAAATCCCAGCCTGCTCACTTCCTGGGTAGATGACTTTGGGAACTTATGGAACCTCTCTGAGCATGCATTTCTCAGCAGTAAAATGGGGCTAATAATGCCTATGGTAACCAGCCTTCAAGATAGCCCTAGTGTTTCCACCTCCTGGCTTTCACATCCTTGTGTAGTCCCTCCTATATTTACCACAGTCAAACTCTATGACTAATAGTATATGGTAGAAGTGATGGCATGTCACTTCTGTAAATTAGGTTATAAAAGACTGTGACTTCCATCTTGGGCTCTCTCTCTCCTCCTCTGTCATATGACTCACTGGGAAAGCCATGTCTTAAGCAGACTCATGGATTCCTTGCTCATATGTCAAGGAATTTTCCTACCAAAAGTCACTGAGTGAGCCTGGAAGCAGAACTTCCAGCCCTGGTCAGGCCTTTAGAGACTGCAGATGCAGCTGACAGCATGACGGCAATCTCATGAACCACTCAGCCAAGTTGCATGTGGATTCTTGACCCTTAGAAACTATATGAGATAATGAACTTTTATGGGTTTAACCTGCTAAATTTTGGGGTTATTGGTTATACAGCAATAGATAACTAATACAATGTCTCTTATGCATTATATGTTGAAATAATATATGTCAAATGCTGAGCATATGCTTGGCACATATTAGGAACTCAAATGATAGCTATAAAAATTTAAATTATATCACTGATAATTATATCAATTAATATTTCACTTTATTGTCATTTATATTTATAAATAATATTTACAGATCCATCACAATGCTTTTCTGTGGGAAAGAAACAAGTAGAAGGAGCATCAGTCTTTTTTTGTTTTTTGGAGACATGGTCTTGCCCTGTCACCCACACTGGAGTGCAGTGGTACAATTATAGCGCACTGCAGTCTTGATCTCCTGAGCTCAACTGATCCTCCTGTCTCAGCCTCCCAAGTAGCTGGGACCACAGGCACATGCACCATGCCCAGCTAATTTTTAAAGTTTTTTTTGTAAAGATGGGATCTCCCTATCTGGAGTTTGCCCAGGCTGGTCTCAAACTCCTGGGCTCAAGCAGTCCTCCCACCTCATCTTCCCAAAGTGCTAGGATTACAGGTATGAACCACCGTGCCCAGCTGGGCATCAGTCTTAACGACAGACTTTTTTTCATGTTTCCTGTTGGTAGCACAAGGCTTAAACTTAGTACCCACAGTTCTAATTTGCAGATACCCACTGATGTCAAGCATTCTGAAAACTAGATTTTTTTCTATGTAAATATTTAAAAGGTAATAAAATAGAAAAAAAGGAAGACTGTCCTCTCTGACCAATAGATACTGCTTTTAAAATAATAATGACCTCTGCTTAGCTGCTACTTCAGTTCACAAGAGTCCGTCTCTCATAGGCCTGCTCTAGGTTAAAGCCCTGGACACAAAGGCTCCTGATTTGAATTATGACTGACTGCTCTGTGGCCCTAAGCAAGTTACTTCCCCTCTGAAAGCTCTGGTTTCGCCATGTGTTAAAATAGAAAAAATGGTACACATCTCAAGGTGTCATTCTGAAGATTAAATAAGATAATGAAGTAAAATGTTCAGAAGAGTGAAGTGGTCAATAACAGTATGCAGCTATTATTATCATTTTCTGCTATGTGGTAGGAATTATTATTATAATTGTTTTAGAGATCAGGTCACCTAGGCCCATCATTGTCAAAGATTTGTTCAAGGTATGGGAGAAAGCTGCTTCTAGCTCCAGCCTTCTGATTTTTTTAAAAACAGTCCCCAAAGAACTGTAACCCTTTTTGGATTTACACAGGTTGCAGTGAATACACGCTTTTTAAAATTACCCTGTGTATAAACTATGGTGATAGAAGCCAGAAAGTGATTGCCTCTGGGTAGAGGTGTGGGAGTAGGGATGGGAGGCAGGGTAGTACAATTGACTAGAAAGGAGCACAAGGGAACTTTCTGAAATAACGCAAATGTTCTATAGCTTGCTTTAGGTAGTTTCATGAGTGGACATGACTATTAAGACTGATGGAACCAAACACATAATTCATCTATATTAATTATACCTCAACAGCAAGAATAAAGTAAACAAAAACCCAAAAAATTACCTCATGTATTCAAAATAAGCATTAGCCCCATCACAATTTCAAGCCCACCCTCCTCTTCTTTCTTCAGACATTGTTATGGGAAGAAAGGACAGCAACTCAGGGTGAACAAGCATGGCCTATACATCCCCAAACCCCCCCATCCCAAAACGCAAAACAAAACAGGAAATAGTAGGGCAAAGGAAGGTGAGCTCCTAAAGGGGCCCTCAGACAACCGCCCCTTTGTCCCTCAAAGGTGGTCTGTGCCCACTTTCCACAGACATGCTGCAAGCCACCCACATAGGCCATGGTCTGACCTGCCCAGGTGGAGACACAAGGTCTCCTGGGCTGTCAATCCTGCACCTTGAACAAATAGGAAATTCTTTTGGGAGGAGGACAGAGTGTGGAAGAGTGAGGATCCTTCTAGCCCACTTTATACACAGCAGAAAAACATCATATATCCAGGTAACTGCAATAATTCAAAAGTTGCTCAAACTTCAACTCCCATTCCTATCCCACCTGCCTGGAAGAAAAGTCCACAGCCCGGCTCAGGGTGAGCTGACGGTTCTGATTTAGGCTGGATTTGTGCCAGTGTGGAGGTGGGTGGTCGAGTATGGAGGGTTTTCTCTCCTAATAGTTTAAATAAAAGCCGCTATGGAAGAAGAGAGAAATATGAGCTCTAGTAGAAAAACTTTTCTTCTCTAAATCTAAGGGAAAATGATGTAGCAGCCAACCTTCAACATTCTGAAGGAGAAGATGCAGAGACCTTTGCAACCTCAGTTAGTAAGTGCCAGGAACTGAGTGTGGAGATTGGGTGATCAGCTAAGTTGACTCACCAGCCATGTGACTCCTTCTGGCCAAATCCTTGCCTCAGCAGAATTATAAATTACCGGGTGCCACAGACCTTCCCGGATCCCTGGCAAGTAGCAAAAACCATGTGTATAATATCCATAATACCAGGGCCCAAGAACAAGAATGTTTGTGCTAAGAAGGGACCTTAAGAACCATGCATTGCAACCACCTCATTTTCCAAAAAAGAATGCAGCCCATATGAAATGGTCTAACACAGGGGTCCCCAGCTTCCAGGGCCACGACTAGTACTAGTCCATGGCCTGTTAGGAACGGGGTTGCACAGCAGGAGGTGAGCGGTGGGAGAGTGACCAAAGCTTCATCTGTATTTATAGCCACTCCTCATCGCTCACATCACCACCTGAGCTCCACTTCCTGTCAGATCAGCCAGCGATGGCATTAGATTCTCATAGGAGCGTGAACTCTACTGTGAACTGCGCATGCGAGGGATCTAGGTTGCATGCTCCTTATGAGAATCTAATGTCTGATGATCTGACACTGTCTCCCATCACCCCAGATGGGATCATCTAGTTGTGGGAAAACAAGCTCAGGGCTCCCACCGATTCTACATTATGGTGAGTTGTGTAATTATTTCATTATTTACTACAATGTAATAATAATAGAGAGTGCAAAATAAACGTAATGTGCTTGGATCATTCCAAAAGCATCCCCCCACCACTGTGGAAGAACTACCTTTCATGAAACTAGTCCCTGGTGCCAAAAAGGTTGGGGACCACTGATCTAACATATGAGGGTTCACGTTTGGAGGAATCAATCTGCTCGGTTGCATTGATCCTATACCCAAGGGCATCTCTGGGCACCTACTCTTGGGAGAAAAATGCTTTCAGGAAGCAAATAATTAGGTAAGAGATGCTAAAGAGGTGAGGAGAGAAAATTGGAACCAGATGACAACATCTTAAGATACTGGTCTCTCTCCTCTTTCCCAAAAGAGAAACCTCGTTGTTGCACCTCTTCAGGGCACAGGCATCTGTGGGCACACGTCCCCACTTCTGGAAGGAAGCTCCTTCAGAACAAAAGCCATACCCAGAAACCACCACTGATCCCCCAAAGCCCCAGACACTGCCATATCCCCCTGTTTGTTCAACAGAACAATATTCACCCCTCTGTGGCCCCAACTTAGATAAAACCATGAAGGAAAAAAGAAATGCTAGCCTTCTGGCTTTCTTCTTCCCCAAATCCCTTCTCATCCACTGCTTCCAGACTGTACCCGTCCATTCCCATCTACGTGCCTGGTTTCCCTAGGAGCCCCAAGCAAAACCAGCATCTTTCACTGGCAACTATGCTAACATTTCTAAATCTTTGGTCACCATTGAAACATAAGGATCTGTCTCATTACTCAGCATACTATTCAAATACAGCTCTTGAAATAATAATAATAATGATAGCTATTATGTTTTTTTCTATATGCCAATACACTTTTAAAGTGTTTTCCATGTATTAACCCACTGAACTCCTACAATAAATCTAGGAGATAAGTATTATCAATTTCCTCACATTTTTAGAGTGGAAATTAGAGACACAAAAAGCAACTTGCCCAGAGTTACTCAGCAGGTGAGCAGCAGCGCTTGGATTCACATGAAGGCAGTCTGGTTCCAGAGCCCATTTCCTGGGTCACTATGCTATTTTATGTCTCCAGGTTACCTTGGTGCCTTTTCTGACTCTCCTCAAAAAAAAAAACACACCATAACCAAAACACAAGTCAGGCACTTTTCCCGGAGAAGGGAAAGAATAGCCTTCTATTCTTACCTCCATTTACCAGCACTTTCCACATTGAGTTAATTTGTATAATCCCCTGTCTCCTCCCCAGGTCTATGAGTTGTTTGTGGAGACAGACTTTATTCATCTCTGTCACAGTTCAATAAATATTTGCTGAATTTCTGAATAAATAAATATATTCATTTAAAAAAGGGCAATGCTTTAACCTAGGAGAGAAAAAGGATCCCTGGTTTATGAATCAAAAGGCTGAGGCTGCAGTCCCTGTCACCAACTAGCTGCGTGACCTTGAGCAATTTCCTTCACCTCTTTAGTCCTTTGTTTCCTCATTGCCAAAATGAAAGGGGTCAGGCTTGATGACCTCTGAGTTCCCTTTCAGCTGTGGTATCCTCAGATCATGGCACCGGGGCAGGCCAGTGAGAGAAGAGACTACAGCAAACTGGTCTCCATGTGTCCCTCACATAACACCCACAAGTGCAGGCACCAACAGTCTGACTTTACCAAGAGTCACCAGGAACAGCAGGTGGGAATGCTAACTGGGAAGGTGGGGTGGCAGACTGCAACCAAGCCCAGTGGCACCACCCTCCACGTGGGAATCACCCAAGAGGGGACATCAAAGGGGTACGAAGAGTCCAACTGCTTTCTGGGGGCTGCTGGCCATTGGTGTGAAAAGAATGAGACCAGCCACTCTGTCTGCACCAAAGCCACCGAAATGCCTGTAAATCAGGAAGGGATTACTCCACTTGAGTAAAACCTGTGATGTTCCTTTCACTGCTTTTCCCCCTACTATCATTACCCAGTCAAGCATGCTTGGCAATGTAAACAGGTGATTAACAGGCAGGTTTTGGAAGAAACCAGGAGTAGGAGCTGGATCTCTGCTCAGCACATGCACTGTGTTCTTCCTCACCTCCTCGCCTCTGAGCAGGAACCCATTTAGCCACATGGCTGCCCATCCCTCTGGAGGAAGATTTCTCCTAGGGGCAGGGGAAGGTGTATCGTGATGGTGGGAAACTCCTTTATTCAGCAACACCAAGATGAAGCTGGCATGAGAAATCAGACTCAGAACTCAAGCTGGCAAAACATCTGATGGGGTGCTGGCGGCCAGAGACAACAACATGGGTTATGGAGAGTCACCAATGGCAGAGGATGCCAATCAGCCAAAGGATTCCCTGTGTTTTCTGGCCTGTTCTCTGAGGCCAGCTCATTTCACCCAGTCATAACACAGGTTTTAACAAAAGCTCAGAGCTGAGAAATAAGGCTTTTGTGTCTTGTCCTCCAGGTTATAGGTATTTTTATTGGAAGGTGCCTTCTTTCCCGGGCAAATATTTTATGGGGTGTCTTTGAGTGAGTGGCCCAGAAAACAGAGGAAGGAGATGTTAAAAAAATAAAAAGAGAGAGAGAGGACTTTTAAGATTACAAGTAAAGTCCAGATGAGGGATAGAAAGGCTCCACTGTCATCACAGCAAGTCAAGAAACCTGCCCCAACAAGAGACACAACTTAAAGGTTGGGCTCAAATTTATAGATGTTCTTTTTCTGGCTTCAAAGACAGTACAGTGTAGGGATATTTTTTTTCCTCTAGAATGAAAAAAATCTCAGAGTTGGAAGGACCTTTGAGCCCAAACAATATCTAATACATAAATCCCTTCTACAATCTTTCCAACAAGTGTTAACCCATTCTCTGCATCCTCACTTCTCGGACAGGAAACTTATTATTTGCCCTTTCCACTTCAAAGAAGCTCCCATCATTGGAGGCTTCATTGAGAACCTGAGCTGAAATTTGCTTTCCAGAAATGTCTACCCATTTTTCATCACTCCATACAACATAAGCCTAAGTGCTAGGCTACTGATTATCTTCAAAATATTTGAAGACAGTCCTTAATTTTCTCTTTCTGGGTTTAGTAACCCTAAAATCATCAACCAAAATATCTCCTCAGCCTAGATGTTTTCCTCTGGACTCATGCCAGCTAATTTTTATCTTAACATCTTTACCAAAATGAACACTCCTTTTGTAGTAGGCCCATGACAGAAGGAGACAGGATGATTAGAACTTTTTTAGAACTCTTCATGCCCATCATTACTATTTTCTCAGTGTGGACATGTCACATTGTAGACTGGTGACATTTGTAACCAAAATCTAACTCTTGTCACACATATTATTGCCAGGCTAAATATTCTTCCATCCTGCTCTTGTACAATTGGTTGTTTCAGCCAGAGTACAGAATTTATATTTTCCCTAGCAAATATCCTCTGGTTTGGAATTGTTCAAGCTGTTTGAGACATCTGGTTTCAGATTAAGTCACCCACAGGCTCACAAAACTTCCAAACATTGTGTCTTCTATTAATCTGATCAACATGCACGTCATCTTTGTCTAACCAAGCCATCAGTATAGAGGTTGAACAGAACAGACCAGAGGCCAGAGCTCTAAAGGGTGCCTGCCATCAGTGCCTTCTTTTCAGATTAATATTTTTCAAGGATCGGTATTTTTTTAGTGTTGTCTCACAGTCCTCCAAGGCTCCTGGGCCTAACATCCAAATCCTTCAGTGAGATCTGGTCTTGGCAAAGTTTCCCAGTACAAAGAACAATTTGCCTTTCCCAACACATCCTACCATTGCTTGCTTCCAGGTCCAACTTTGCTTCTTTGCCTAAAATGCACTTCTCTTGTTTATTCACCGGGGGGGATCTCCTACTAATTTTCAGGTCTCAGTTCAAAGTTTCAACCGCCTGTGATGCTATTTTCTGCTCCATGTGCAGAATTAGGTGTTCCCAGAGTATCCTATATGATCCCCTCCTATAGTACCTAACATATGGAGCTGCAACTGCCTGCCGGTCTCTCAGAAGACTAGGTACAGAAAATGGGTGGTACATCTACCATTATCCCCTTTCTATCCTCAAGGAAGATTGTTCTAATCAATCACTGTGTCCAGACAAAGCCTCAGAATTCTCCCCAACACAATCCTCCAGGCAGCCACTACCAATTAATAGATTGGATCTGACACTTAAGTTGAAACTCTATACTATTTTATATTTCCTTAGGGGCAATGCCATGCCTCATTCACCTTGTATCACTAGGCCTAGCAAAGTGTCTGGCGTAAAATTAACTCAATAAACACCTGGTGAGTGAATGACTTTGTTTCCCAGAGAGTAGCATTTAAAAAATAAATTTTCCCATGCTCATATAAGATCTCTATATACAAAATAATTCTGGTAGTGGCAAGAGGTAGTCTTTTGCACTAATTGTGATTAATATTCAAGAATAATAATTGACTACTGCTTAAGAATGTTCTCCACCTGATTCTGAGCAGAGCTTCCTGAAAAGCCTGGCCTGATTGGTCTTGGTGTCCATAGCCCTCATGTGATACTTATGCATGCAGGGCCTTAGTGGCCGGGAACCAATTTGACTGCCTTCCCAGCTTTCTATATCCTAAATCTCTATTAGCTGATAGCAATTTTAGGAGGTCTGAATGCCAGGGTTGAAAATGGATCTGCCAAAGTTTTATCTATTAAAAAAATGTATATCATGAGGATTGTTTTCCCATGGAACACTCTTCAGAGACAGTGCCTGAACAAAAAGAAAAATTCCTAGAGAAACTCATTTATTATCACACTCTAGTGTTGATAAAGATAGCCCCTGGGATGAGCCCAGAGGCAGCTGTGCTTATGTAAAGGTCAAATAAGGGCCAGCAGCATCACCAGCTATTATTAATTATTTAGTAATTAGCCATTCTTTACCTATCTCTGCCTATGGACAGGGTATTTTAGATCTACATTTAATCTAGTCTCCAACACTACTCTTACAGAGTCACAGTGTACACAGAACAGAACTTGTAAATTAGGAGGATAAGAAAATAAGACAGAACAGTCTCCGTCATTTTCATAAGTAACTTTCAGAGGCCTAAAGAATTCCTAGTGCTATATTTAAACCACATTTGGGGGCTTTGTGAGGATGCTTCATAAATTGGAAGTGGTTAGTAGTACTTGACTGATAAATATTTACTGCGTGGATGGATGGATGGATGGAAGGATAGATGGATAGATGGATGGATATGCAACTTCATGTATGAAGCAACTAGAAAACCAGACATTCTATCACTTGATTCAACTGCTTAGAAACCGAAAAGAACCTGGCATAATCAACAAACAGAGCCAACACCTCAAACAGAGCTCAAATTAAATCACGAGTAAGTTTACTAGATTCAGATTCTTTTACAGGCAGAGTCTTTTAAAGAAATAATATAAAAGATTATAAAGAAAGACTTTGGGTTCAGCCATCGGGGCTACTTATGATTATTGATTTGGACGTACTTGCATACAGCATGACTTCCACAGCAGTACTGCAGGAACACACATTGTGGTTCTCTCTCCTTGTATGAAGACTCAGGTTTTTCTCCAGCTGGGAAACTATTACCCCATCAGCTTCTAAACATATTATCATTTGCCTCAAGCTGGAAAAGGCCCCATGAGAAGAATATTTTGGCTATTAGACATTTCTAGATTTTGCTCTGAGTAAAGGGCTCCAATCTTTCCATGCTTATTAATTCCTTGGCATTCTTTAATCAGCAATACTAATAGCTAACATTTATTAAGCTCTTACTTTGAACCAGGCACTGTTCTCAGCATTATACATGCATCATCACATTTAATTCTTAGAAGAGCTCTTGTAGTCATTACTATTATTACCCACATTTCACAGGTGAGGAAGGAGGCACTGTGATGGTAGGCAATTTCTTATGTCATCCAGCTAAAACATGGTAGACCCTGAACTCACACCCAGTAGCCTGTCCTCCTAACCACCAAAACCCTCCATTAAATGACACGGGTCCATACCATTTTCATAAAGGAAAGATCCTCACTCCCTTAATCCTTACTTTTTGGGGACCCCTACTCCAACCACTACTATAATAAAACACACACAAAAAAATCTATTTCAGCTTAGATCATTCTATTTCTATTTCAAAGTAGAAATGTTTCTACAAAGATAATTGAGTTTCTCTACCTTGATCTCATGCTGGTACTTCTTGTTCTCTCCAACTCCTAAATTAGCATTACTCAGGTCTGTTTTGAGGGAAGTTCTATGATTATGTTTTCTGAGGTCAAATAAGCTTGAAAAATGGTGGATTAAACAGCTAAACATCTCTTCACTATAAGACTCTCACTTCTCAGGGTCTTTATTTATTGGTATGCATTATACAACTTCAAGGGTGGGCCAGGATATAATACGCAGTGTTTTGCAAACCTATCTGACTAGAGAACCCTTTTGTCACAGAATACCTTGAAGGCCCCCCAGAATACACACAGGAAAATGCTGCCAGAAAGGAAAGGGGTCCCCATGTCTGTGGCATCGGCCCTCATCTCAGACCACAGGCTATCTTTCTAGTTTGCCCCAAGTTCTCTCTAAATTATATACAGGCTTTCATCTCCACCTCATCTCAACTCACTCCCTCTCACAAACTCTGTCCCTTCGGCAAACTACAATAGAAGACATCATCCATAATGGGAGCAGGAGGGTATTTTTTATTCTGTATGGATTCATTTTATAATTTTCAGGTCAAATTTAGTGCCAGGAAAAAGTCATCACTCCAGATGAGCTTCCTCTCAGCAGATAATAGGAACCAAGTCATCTGCTTGGGTTTCCTTTTTCTGCCTTCCTTATGAGACTCCTATTTAAATAAATAAAGCTTTCCTCAAAGCTTGCGTTCCTGCTCAGCTGTAAGATCTGACTCATTCCAAGTTTCTGGGGCTTCTATCTCTCCCTCTTCTAACAGTTTATTTTCCTTTAAATTGTCCTTTCAACATAAGCCTTAATAGTTGGGGTTTCAAACCCTTTAGAGGAAATTAATTAATTGGTTAATTAATTAATGAAATTATTCAACAAATGGAGGCTCAGGACCTGTAATGCAACAGGCTTCATATACCATGAGGACTGAACAGGCTGCGGTCTGCACTCTCCTGAAGTTTGCAGCCTTGTGAGGGAGACTGGCAAGAAATAAGTACATAACTATGCAGTAGTAACAAATTGTGAAAAGGCCTCACAGTACTTATAAAAAGAGAATGAATGCCCTGGATGAGAGTAACCAGGGCAGCAGATGGAGCAGACAGGGCTCCACCTTTAGGTTTTCTGGAAAGAGGGAAGGATGAAAGATGAATAGGTTGGTGCTGAGGAGCAAAGTCAGCAGAGGCTAGACCCACAGAGTCCTGTAAGCCAAGCCATGGCAAGGATTTCAGCCCTAAACCTGTAAGCAAATGGCAGCCGTGAAGGAGTTTTAAACCAAGAAAGCTCATGATCAGATTTCTGTTTAAAAAAAAAAAAATCACTCCAGCTACAATGTGGTGAATAGATTAGAAGGGGACAGAGAAAATGTACAGAGACCGTCAGGAGACTGCTGCAAGTTGCAGGTCTTGAAACTGTTAAGCAAATAACAATTAGGTTTATTTCCGATCAGTTCCTCATCGTCAAGGAATGGTAATGGTGTTGTCAAAGCAAAATGGAAGTAAAGGTATATAAAAACGCTTGCAAATACTCAGGGATATTTGGAAATAATGCATTCACAAGCATTCCACATGAGTCCTGTAAGGCCCTTCACCTCCCTGGTCCTTCACGGGCAGACCCTGCTATACACTCCATGCTACTGAAGGACACCAAGGCCCTTCTGGAGTCCCCAAGGCCACACCATCTGCCCACACTTAGCTGGGTGCCAAAGTGGGGCAAGGAAGCAGATGTAAAGGAGAAAAAGATGGCATGTGATTGAGCCAGATGCCGGAGAGGTCCTTGAAGGAAAGCACTCTAGAAGCACTACTCACTCAGGAGGAATGTTTCTATGGTCAGAATCCAGGCTTGAGGTTAAGAAAACTTTTACCCTCACCCACAAGCAGCCTGCAAAGCCTCACCTGCGCACATTAACAATGAGCCTCTTTGTCTTGTTTGATATGTTCTTACTAATTCATCAGATAGTTTATAAACTTTGACAGCATACATCAAATGGGACCAGTCTCATTCATTCACTGTTTCCCCCCCAAAATGTCTAATAAATATATAGGAGCTGATAAATTTTCCTCTTTAAAATTAAAATATAAATCTTCCCTTTAAAAATCAATATCCCTTAAATTTTCTCTAATAAAGAAAAATATAGAGATCTCCTCCGGCCTGCTGTAAGAAGCAATGCTATTTACTTACTGAGTCTTCAGCCATCCTGTACATTTCTATTGTCCTCCCTGTAACCTTGTGCTACCTTCCTGAAAATGCCACCTCACCCTACTCCCTCCAGGGCCAATCCCTTTACCACAATTTTACAAATGAAGAGTAAAAAGTATAGGCTAAAATGCATTTTACTCTTGCCAAGTGCCAGATCTTACACGAGTGCCTTATACACATTGTCAGGCAATTATTACAACGTCAGGTGATGTGCGTTATGATCCCCATCAGACAGATGAGGAAACTTGAGACTTGAGTTCAGCAATTTGCCCTCATCACACATTGAGCAGCAGAGGCACATCTGAATCTATGTTGATCTGGCTCCGAAGCCTAACTTTTTAACCACTATGGCCTTCCACACGCAGAGGAATTTAACTCTGTACCCAGAGGAATTTTTCTTTCAACTCTGGGCAAAGTTATTAACTGATTGGGTCTTGGTAGCTGAATATGAACAAAACTGAAAGCCAGGCCCTTTCCATTAAACCAAGCATGTAAGGGGAAATAACTCTGCCTCACTAGAAAATCTTAAGTTGGACACATGAAAGAGAAAGTTAGCGCTAATCATTGTGTGCCCTCGTTTTCTAAGAAAGTTTTTCCTTTCCAAGAAAGGAAAAACAATGCACATGGCATACCAGGTAGAGTTGTTTAATGTTATTTCATTGCAGAAAAGTTATTGCTTTCTAAGACAAAGCTATTTATTTTTTTTCTGGCAACTCAATGGCAAGTAAGAATATAATACATGAGATTCTCACTGGATGAGCTAAGCAGTCTTCTACTTGCTGTATTTTGGCTTTAGGGGATGAGGCTGTGTAGTGCAACCTCATTGCTGTATAGCCAACCTAAAACATAGCCTTGAAACGACAAAAAGAAGAGGAAGAAAGAGAACGAATGAAAGAACTGACCTAAACACATGTTCTCACACACACACGCGCACACACACACACACACACACACACACACACACACACCCCTTTCGTGGAAACACATGCATACATACTCTTTCATGGAAACAGCTTCCAATTTGTTTCATAATTGCATTGAGTCATCTGGGCTAACATTCAGACCATTTCTCAAATTCACCATGCCCCTTACAGACATAAAAATTAGGCATTTAAGGAAATTTCCCTCCTCTCCATCTAATATATTTCACTTTAGGTAGTTGGATGGAGGTGGTTGGGGGAAGAGGGGGCAGAAGTTTTGGAAATCAGAGTTGATGAATTGCAAACGTGTGCAAGTGATGCACAGGGTGGGAGGAAGTAAAAAATGAAATTCTTCTGTGAAAATAATGCACATGTCCC
Organism: Homo sapiens; assembly: GCF_000001405.40. Classification (NCBI taxonomy): domain Eukaryota; kingdom Metazoa; phylum Chordata; class Mammalia; order Primates; family Hominidae; genus Homo; species Homo sapiens. The sequence continues at coordinate 63,876,315 of NC_000001.11, read as the reverse complement.
AGGAAAATCAGTCACACATTTTTTATGAATCAATAGACCAGTGCTTTCTTTATATGTGTGCCAAGCAGCATTCCTGGATAACTGTTCCATGTCTCATGAGGTGTAAGCCACTTCACTCCATCTTATTAGAAACATTCAAAACAAGGCAAAGATTTTGAAACCCATAAAATTTATGAAATCCTAAGCATACCAAAGACAGAATGAACGAGGGACTCCTCTATTTAACTGGCTTTAACTTACATTCACTTTCGCAGCTTAACCCACCTTTAAAATCCCACCAAGATTTGAAAACATTAATAACTATAAACCATTTTAAAATATAGTCTCCCACTTTCTCAACAACCTCAAAACTCACTTGCTTAAAACTTCAAGGACACAAAAATAAATCCCAGAGTGCCAGGAAAATTGACTATAACCTTTGTCACTCACCTGATTGCTTACCCACCTCACAGGCCATTTGCAAGATTAGTAGGCAATGTAGCTACCAGACTTTGTATTCCCTCTAAATTCCAGACAGTAGTTAATGAGGAGAGAAGTGATCAAGGAAGCCTATTTATTCTGAAGCCCAGTTCATGGTGGCAAGCAGAATACATTCTTCAGAACAACCAATCAATACACCACCATAAACTTGTGAGTGTGCAGTTTTAAGTAACATAGAAGTATTTAATTTTTCTACTACAAGGTAGACTGAAGGGAAAACTCAGTTTAAATATTTACTATTTTAATTTAGCAGTGATTATAAACATGGCATACCAGGTAAAGTTAAGAAAGAAGAAAAAAAGCAAGTGTAAACCATGGCTCTGCCCTCAAGGTTCTTAATTAGGGCTCAGAAATTCAACTGATTTTATTCTTTAATGCCCTTTTCACAGACGAGGAAACAGAAGCTTAGAAAGGCAAAGTAATTTCCCCCAAAACACACAGCAGAGCTAAGATTTAAACATAGCCCTGTCTAATTCTAAAGCCTTGCTGAAAAAACTAACTGCACTTCAGATAGTAAGACCTGGACGTTTTTCATTGTAAATTCAATAAAAGCTAACACAGAGTGCTTATTTCACTCCAGGCATTGTTGTAGGCACTCAGCACAAACTAATTTATTTACTCCTTATAATAACTGTATAAATAAGTACTATGATTACCCCTGACTTTACAAATGAAGACAAGTTTACAGAGAGGTTAAACAACTTGCCTAGGGTCAAACATTTCATAAATGGTAAGTCTGAATTCAAACCAAGACAGCCGGCTTCAGGCTGTTCTCTATGCCATTCCATTATCTACCTGTCTAAGGCATGGTGGCCCCAAAAGGTCCAGCAAATGCTGGTTCCATTAGTAGGATAATAACAATACCCAGAACCTTAAAAGAAATGCTCCACCATACTCTATGCTTATCAGATTATACCTGGTCTACTTCATTCAGATATCTTTACAGTATTTTACAAAAAAAAATTGATGAAATGAAACTTGCCCTGTGGAGAGCAAGAAGGAGAGAAAATGTGGAAGCAATGTCCAAAGATCATGGAGAAATTGGGGCTGTTTGACCTGGACAAGGAAACTTCAAGGGCACACATTTATCATCCTCCAAAAATGTCAAGAGGGCCTTAACCACTCTAAGAAGAAGTAGGAAGCAGCCCAGGGACCTTACTCATTCATCATTCATTTGCTTTTTTACTGAGTGGCCTGTAGGTGTCAAATGGAGAAAATGCTCCCTAGCTTAATAACTTTTGTACTTCAGAAGTGGAAGTACAGCTCACTCATCAATGAAATTCTTTTCCCAGAATGTATCCAGCAGAAGTGGGAAGAACAGATAACAGAGACCAACCATCTCAGCACCCGGTGGAAAGTTGGACAAGTGATCTATGAGACCTTGCTAATAAGCAGATGCTATGATTCATGTATCCTGTCCTGCACTACCACTGCCAAAAAATGCCATCAAAATCCTCACAAATTACAGCTCTTAATTATCTTTAAGAGGCCAAAAGAAGCAACCTTCAAAAAAGAAGGAAAAAAAAGTCTTAAATGGCTTTTACATTGAGAATTTGACAAGTTTAAACAAAAGTGAAACATACCACACTTTGAAAATATGCCAAAGGACTACTTGTGTTCTAAAACAAGAGAGTAATTATGCAGGAAAAATGCAATTTCTCTCCTCCATTTCCTTTATCTCAAGTTCCTCTCTCATTAATTTATTCATGAACATATCTCAATAATAACTATCTTGTACTTAGAGAGTATCTTGCCCATTTTTAAATGTTTTTACATAAACAAGAAACTGGCATCAGCATCATGGTTCTCTCTGAGCGACGAGACCAGTTCTTAACAGGTTAGCCCTGAGCAACATACAGCAGTAGCGGTCTCTCACCACTGGCTACTCTAGCAAAACATTTTACAATTTCTGAGTCAGGAGAAGTATCTAAGGTCAAGATCTATAAACACATTCCAGAATATGAGCACTTCCAAGTAAAAAAACCAATCAAACCCACTGCAATGGGCAGACAATCCTTCCCATGGACTACTGTAATCTTTGTTAAAATTAAGATTCATGCTTATTTTAGTTTTGCTATTAGTGTGGCTTTTTAAAATTTCTTTTTTCTTGAACCATGTATTACTTGGAAAAAAAACATAATAAAAATATTCTGCTATTTCAAGACATCCTTCTAGATAGGATAATGAATTTTCCATAGATAAAGAATATTCTACCTGCACCAGTCCTGTGAGTTTTTAGTGATACTTTTTCTTTTGACTTGATCAATGGACTGAGAGATTGCATGAATCAGTCAAAACAATTTAAATGAATCTACGAAGAGACAGTAACAGGATTCTACCATGTCAGGATAAGACTCCAGCCTAGGCCTGCTCACTCCTTCTGGGTGTTGCTTCAATGCAAGTTTTTGTTTGTTGGTTTTGTTTTGTTTTTTAAAGAACGGGTTGGAGGAGTGGGGTGGGAGATAATACACACTAAGAAGAAAAACAAACTCTCCCAACAACAACAAGAAAATTCTTACTCTATAGTTTACAATACTATTGGAAACAGAAATATCATTTAGCTGTAGCCAGAATCACTCAAACAGGCACTCAGCCCTGAATCAAGGAGCAAACATATCAGTGGAAGGTACGTGTCTCCATGTAGCCTTGATGACTCCAGAACTAAGAACAAAGAGAAATCATAGCAGGATCTGGTGACAGCAGTTCACAGCAGGTCTCTCACATCACTTACAACCTCGATTTGGGGGGAGGAGAGAGAAGAGAAAAAAGAAAAGAGAAGACAGAATACCTCTCTATTGGAACACTGTCTCCAAAAAAATAAAATCATAAATATATCTGAAAATCCTGGGAATGTAAATACCCTCTCAAATCATCTCCCACCCTCTCACTGTCCTTCTTTGGGTTTGAGGAACCAAAAGAGATTATAAAAACCACAACATATTCTTGCTATTGTGGGATTTGAAGAAACCAAGAGATTGTGACTAACAAAGTCTATGAAGATAATTGTGTTTCCATTAGCACCACTAATGAAGAGAAGTGAGAGATAAATAATGGACAATCCAAAAACCATTTGTATTTGATCCTACAGTAAGATAGATGAGTTCTCTTGCATTAGGCTAGGCTTCCTAAATATTTCCCCACTTTTTAAGCCAAGGATAAAATCAGACTGCCTTCAAGAACACACACTAACCAATGATGGAAGAAAAGGCCAAGAAAGGCTGGGTGGCCTTGGACAAATCTGAGAGGAATTCAACTTGGTGGTGTGTATATCTTTCAATCTATCCTTTAGGGAACACCAACTATATGTCAGGAGCTACGTTCACTACTTACATTATCACCTCTACTAAGTGTTTGGATAGCACTGCCCTATAAGTACTACCAACCCCATGTTGCAGGGAGAAAAAAAAAATAAGCAAAAGGAGGTTAAAGAACTTACCTGGCCACCAACTGGGAGCTGGGCTCAGGCCTAAATATATGTGTCACCAGTGCCTATATTCTTTCTACTATGCCTTGCTGCTTCCCATTTTTAAGAGACAATTCTCACAGTGGAGAATTCCCAGGCAGATCATCAAAAGAGGATGTGTACAGCATTTCACAACAGACACAAAAGTATTCAGATTTACCAGGGAAGGGTGATATTTAACCGTTTACTAATGGGAACTACTGTAGACCACCCTGGCATAAAATATGAATTTCTTCAGAGATGTGTATGTTGACAGTTTCTGCTGAAAGCATGCAGTTTGTTTGTTGCTACTTCTCCACCAAGTTTATTTAATAGAATATTTTGCAAAGCTACATTTCAGGTTAGCTCTTACACTTTGACAAATGCAGTATAAGATTGGCGTTAAATCTCAACAGCATCTCATTAGTGTAAATTAGGGACTCAATATTTACAACTAGAAAACAAGTGGTTAAGAGACCCCAGCTAAGACAAGTTTCATTAAAACTATAATGACTTAATACACATTATGCCCAGTTTCAGAGAGCTTCAAGCTCCCTAATCATTTTCTGGATGGTTTCCATTCCAACCAGCTTCCATGTTGGTGTAAACCCATCAGTCTCCAGTAGGGATAAGCATGGGAAAATGAACATAGTGTTAAGTCTACAGAGACCTTGTTGCAATGTCAAAATCAAGTTTTGTCAGTTTAAATTACAGCTTTACAAAATAGGCACTGTCAAGGCAAATGTCTCCTGGAGCCTGTATGGTTGCCTGGAGCAAATGTTCTACCAAGTTGGGTAGAGAAACCGGTTTCCATTTGTCTGGCAGTTTTCTCACTGCTTCCAAGGTGCTTGGCAGTGATAACACATTCTACAAACTGGTAAACATGACAGAGCAACTGGGGTCTCCAGAGTGCATCAACTTCTGATGCTCCACAGGGGAACGATCTCTCATAGCAACCAATCAAGTTCTTTGCTCACAACATCCCTCTATTTACTCCCATTGTAACTGGAAACCCACAAGCTTTCACTGAAGCACTTGCTAACTTCCTCAGCTCGAGGCCTCAACTTTTCAACACAAAGGACCCCTTCTGGATTCTTCCCCTGTGGGTACCATGTTTCAAAGACTCCATCTGTCATGTACTTATTATGGTGACCAGAACTGTCTCCTTTTCATAGATTTTGAAATACTGAAAATAGCTCACAGACTCCACTACTACCTAAGTTCGGAGACATCAGTCTGGAAAGCAATAAAATTATAATGTGAAGCAGGAAATAACAACCATAACATTTCACATTTATTGAGTGCTTATTATTTATGCCAGGTGTTGTGCTAAGTGCATTATTTGCATTATCCAGTTTAATACCGACCACAACCAAGTGAGGTGGGCAATGTAATTATCTTCCTCATGGAAAGATTCAGAAACATTAAGTAATTTGCCCAAGGCCACCAAGCTAGTGCCAGAGCAAAGTTTTGAATTCTTGCTCTGTGACTTCAAGCCACTACTATCCTCTACTCCACTGGTTCCCCAGCCTCTCACTCCCAGTGGCACTTCCAGATCCCTCTTCTCCTTTTGGAGAATTTCATATGCACTGTACACACTTTGGGGACTCTTGGAAAGGTTTGAGTTATCATTTTACACCCCTCAACATTTCCATCCTCAGTCTGGGAAGGGATACTACTTACCCTCACAGGAGAATGACAGGCAGATGACAGACAGAGACAGCAAGAACACCTAGAGCATCAGACACATTCAGCCCAAGTCAAGAGCATTCCAGAATACACCAAACTGCTAGGTGTTTAGTTACTATTAATATATACCCACACCTAACTTGGTCTACTCAGAGTAATAATGTTGGAACCTTTCTCCTGGGCATCTTAGAGTCTTTCAAATATTTCCTTCTAAATTCTCTTCTTTTAATGAGAAAGGCAAAAAGGCTTTAATAGGCGATGCCTCAAGATTTATGATGAAAATACTAACATAGCCTTGGACAATGAAGCCTGGGAACTCTTGCTACCTAATTCCTATTCTCACCACAAGGGGAAAAGAAAGTACCTAAGTGGGCTGGGGGCAGCAGCTTCCTCTAGATGCTCAGAGTTCAAATTATGGGCTCTCTAAGGATAGCTAAATGTCCGCATGCAGACATGATTAAACTTGAGAGCATACATGAATAATATTATGGTGTATGGGGAGAGGAGAATGGGGAGAACAGAACACCCAATGGTATCTTCAGTATGATTTCCACTGTGTGCAAAAGTTATGAATTCATGGATAAGGACTATGAGTGAACACACAAATATATTAAAAGTTTTACTCGTACAAATGGTGAGCCCACACACATTTTTCCTTGTGTTTTGAGTTCAGTTTCTGTTGTAATATTTGTGCAATAAATAATAATTTCAAAAGCATATTATGTACAGAGTGTATAATTATGTGGCACAACTATAAACAAATTAGCTTTATAACATGCCAGTCAAGCATTAACATTTGGAAAATAAGAGTTAGGATACTTATGTGAGGTTACTTACTTACCTCTGTCTCTGTCTAAAGAAACTATGTCCAGTTGCAAGATTCCTTTTGATCATTCTCTGTGCCATCAGGCACAAATCTGGTGGACAGCACTCTGCCTCTACCAGGAGCTCAACAAGTGCTCTAGAATAACTGAATGAGGACTTCCATGAGTGTTGTTTTGCAACTCAGACAAAGACCAGCAAGATTACAACTACAGTGGATACAAGTTGGGTTCCTTAATAACCCAGCACCACAAAGCTAAGTTCTGTACTGGGGAAAAAATGTGTATGGAGGAGAGGATGATTCTTCAGTGCAAAGTGCAAAGAGGAGAGAGTACTGTGAATCAGGTTTGTGGTGAGGGCTTCCTATTGGTCCTTGATCTGCAGGACACAAGCCCCCTTCTTAGCAGGCCTGACAAAAAATAGTAAGGTGCACAGCATCTCAAGGACTTGGCAGGTTGGCATAGAAGCCAGGCACAAAGGCCAAAGTTGGCCCAGTCACAATGAGCTGCAGGCCAGTGTGGAAGGACACTGGGCTGATACCAGTATATTCAGACTCCCTGAGGAGCAGCGTGTCTTTGACCAATTTAAATTCTGGATTATTAGAAGTTACAAATAATCAGTAATAGTAACAACTGCCATAATCATTGTCGAGGGCTTGCCATGCATATTAGGGACATCCTGCCATAACATCTCTAGGCTTTCATGGTTCCAAAAAACAACAGAGAACTTGGGAACCAGATACCTTCTCTAAAACACATTTGATCCTAACAAGGAATTGGAAGGGTGTCCCCACTAATGCAGAGATTCCAACACAACCAAGTCATGAGACTCTGCAATCACTTAATAGATGCTGTTCAGAGAAGGTTGTGGGGGACAACAAAAGAAAGCAGAAGAAAGAAATACACAACTGTTGGCACTGGGATTCATGCTAAGGCTTAAGTAATCTCACAATTTGATTGCATACTGCAAATAAAAATGATGCAAAATAAGTGCCTATTTGCTAAAAACAAAACAAAATGTGTAAAAACCTATGTCTTGAATAAAGTTTCTTCTCTATTCTCCTTCACGACGTTCCCAGATCCTACTCATTCTCCCAAGCTCAGTGCAGAGGCATGTGCCCCATGAAACTCCTGATCCCCTTGCTGATCCTCTCACTTCTGTCCACGGGGTGGAGACTGCCTCCCCTGAACTCACATGGTTATCAGCACCTCGCCAGAGATAATAAAATAATAAGAGCAGCCATTTGTCAAGTGCTAACTCTAGGCCAGGCCCTTTTCACAGCTTATTTCAAATCCTAAAACAACCCTTCCAGGACGCTGTGTATTATGCACAATCAAAGATTTAGAAACTGAAGTTCAAGATTAAGTAAATTGCCCAAAGCCAAATGTGCTCATAAGTGGTAGAGCCTGAATTTGATCCCAGGTCTATCAGACTCTGGAGCTCTTTGCTCTGCATCCTGCCATATCCTATGGCCCAGCCTCCCTCTGCCTCATATTTCTCTGTCTCTTACTAGGTGACAAGATCCTTGAGGACCCGACTCATTCCTGAGTCATCGCACACTCATTGATGCTTTAAGTAATCCCTGAACTATGGTCAACAGCACACAGGTAAGCAGCACACAGAAAGTAGAGATTTAATAAACACTTGTTTAATGAGTGATAAAATGACAGAAAACCCACGGGAACAGGTAGAAAGAGCAATTGTCATAGCGTTGGCAAAAACAAAAAAACAAAACAACAACAACAACAACAAAAACTGCGCTAGTATTTCTCTGAATCTTTAATTATAGAATGTCCTCCTTTTTGCTTGATTCGTCCTGACCTGCCATGGCTGCTTTTTCATTAGCAGCTTCACTCCAGCCACGCCTGGGATCTCTTCAGTGTGGTGCCAAGGCGTGTGGCCCTCCAGGCAGGGAGAGCAACAGCTTGTTTCCAAAGGGAACTAACGACATGGCCATGCTCGGCAGTAACCCTCATGCCACAAGCTTCAGCATCCCCCAGACAGCCGGAATCGGGAAAAGAGAAGCAGATCAAGGAAGGTGGGATATTTGGCCCCTGCCCATCATTTCCATGGTCCAACAGTAACCTATGGATCTTATCCTAGATTTATTTTTTCTTTTAAAGGATAAAGGACAAGTGGTCAGGGGCAGGCCCATAAATTTGCTCTGACTTTTATTAGATGGGGAATATTTTCGTCGGCGAGGTCAGCATAACTTGGAAGAAAAGACAGAAAACTCTCCACAAGTGAACCACCTCGTTACCCCTGACATAACACAGGCCTGCTGCCTACTGACAAGGGAGTCGCCTGCTATCATGCACAGTTAGAACTCCTTAAAAGTCATCAAAATAGGTTAATTTTTCCCATTCAACATTATCTTTTCATGGATTTCACATCTCATACACAGATTCTAGGGGGAAAGGAACATGACTGGGACTATTAAGTAATGGAGCTGAATCCTTTCAAGATGAAAGAAAACTGGGCTCGCCATCTCCACCATCTCGTAGACAGGAAACACAGCATAGACACAAGCTAAGGAAAAGGTCAAAGACATAGGAGGAAGGCCAATAAACCTCCGTGAGCGCTTTGTTTTGTGAAACCACCTGGTCTAACACTCAAGTTCTGTACAAATGTCTTATTCATTTGTTCATTTTTTAAAAGTATTAATTATGTGTCTATTATAGTGGAATGCACTAGGAATACTCTAATGAACAAGGCTTTGTCCCTGTTCTCCAGGAGTTTACAGTCCAGCAGGAGTGAGACTGTCTAAGAAAGAGGTCCCCATACAGTATAAGTACAGGAGCCAAACAGTGTAGCAGCTACTACATGGCAGCCTTCAGCTGCATAGCTGGCTGTACAAACACTGTAGCTAGATTAATTAAAATAATGGTTTTCACTATGCCTATCCAGTGATTTCATCTATGTTATCTGATTTCATCCTCAATTAATCTATCACAAGAACATATTCTTCTTAGGGAAAAAAAAAACCTGGACTATCAAATCTATTCCTTTCAAGTCTATGTAAAAGAACACCTGGAATTTCACAGAAAATAACTTTCTGTACAGAAAGGAAACAATCTATGACAAACTCAGATATTTCATGAGATAAACCAAAGCTTCTCTATAAAGCCTTCTTAATAAAATCGTTTCCAGCCACTGAGCAGGCCTAGTCTAAAACAATAGATCCATAACTATATCTAATGAAAGATACTTTTTTTTATTTCAGAAGGAAATATATAAGGAAAGGAGAATGAAACAAAATAAAACCAAAAAAAAAGGCTAGGTCCCTAGAACTTCAAGGGAAGGAGGAAAGCTTTCTTCTCCTAAATTTGACTGACAAGAGGAAATTCAGCCAATTCCCATCTATACTTGGTGTAGGAAAAGTAGAGCTCTTGTTTTCAAAAGAAACCACTTATTCAAGATGATCAAGTGGATGTAACATTCCAAGTCATTTGGGGAGATGTCGTAGACACCTTGGTGGGTTTTGCAATGAGCAGCCACATTTGCCTTGCCCATATTTCTTAATGTTTGATACTTGGATTACCCCAGCAGGAAACGAGCAGTCTTTGAATGGAGGGTTTTGTTCAGAATTCTAATAGCTTCCAGCATTTGCTCCAGACCACAAGAAGTACACCAAATTTACTTAGACATCCAGGCCAGACGTGAAGAATTTCTCTGTCAGATCTAGTAAGCTCCATCAATTTAACATTTTGGCTTCTCTGGGGCAAAGAGAAGACTGCCAAACAGCACTGGTGCTGGGGGGGCACCACTGGTGACATGTGGCAGTTCTTGAAAGAAAATTAATGAACATGACCAGTAACCTCTCTGCCCCTCTCTACTCCTTATTCAAGGAAGAGAAGGAAAATTTCAGCAATTGGGGTGACTAGGCAACTGCTACTCTTTAAAACAGCTTCAAGATTGTTGGGTTTTTTTCTCCACCAGACTTGCCACATTTCATCATTTGCATTCAAGACCACTTCACTATGAAATTCATTGACTTAAAGGTAGAGCCATCAGTTGTTCTGTTCAACAATTTCCTCCTTGTTAATCTACTGAGCAAAAAGCTACCCCTGGCAACCTCTGATTCAGTCACAAGCGCTATGTACAATCAAATCCAATAAAATATTTGTTTAGTGCCCGCTATGTGCCAAGCACTGTACCTAGCCTATTACACATATTAATGATGATGATGACAATCAATAACACGAGCATCATTTATCAAGTGCTTACTCTGCAAAACGCCAGAGTGAAACATATAAACATGCCTGACCTCACTCCTCATAACCCTTTGAGCAACATGTAATTATTGTTTTCCCCTTGTATGGGAAAAAAAAGGACTCCACAAAATTAAATAAACTTGCTCAAAGTCATATGGTTTGTAAGTAACAGAGCTGAGACTTGAACTTAAGCCTGTGTCGAGGGCAATGCCTGAACTGCAATTGAAATAATATCAGAAGTTTGTTGCAGTATATAAGGATGAGATAGATGGTAAAAGTTTTCCAGAGTACAGCAAAAATGACACTGGACATGCTAGTTGTATTACTCATTTAGACCAAAAGCATGACAAAACTACTTTGTAATAGAATTTTATCATCTCTCTAACACTGGGACCACTGTGATATGTGTGACCTATTTTCAGTCCTAAAAAGACCTACCTAGAGTAATCAACTATAAAGACTAGGACCAAACAGGTAATACAAATAACAAAACTACCAATAACATTTAAAAAAAAATTCCCTTGCAGATGCACTCAATTTCTATGAAGCTAAATTGCCTGGGGAAAAATGTATATGTATGTTTGTGTTTCCACTTGGATTTTCTAGTTTTAACACTTCGTTTTTATGTTTGTATATAGTGAAACATTCTTTACAGGGGTTTGAAAGGACTCATCTTAACAAAGAAAACATTCATAAAAGTTAAATGGGAAACTGAACTCACAGATTGGATGAGTAATAAAAAGCTTATTGATACCTGATTTCTGAACAAAGCCAGAAAGGAGAAGGTAAAACAAAAGGAAAAAAAATAAAAAAATTAAAAAAAAAAACCTTGAAATTTTGAGGTTCCAAAATTTGGAGGCAAAAAAAAAAAAGATTGAAAGATTTGGAAAGCTTCAAAGAGAGAAAAGGACATCGTACAACTGCTCCACAGCAGCAGAGTTCCAAGGGGTGGGAGGACATTTGGAAAGCCTGGTTCTTCCAAGATCCTATAGCCACTCACTTGTTCAATGGGGAGCTATATCCTAATTCCCAGCCCAGAATCTTGATTTAGATTTAGGCTGACAAACGCCTGCACAGCTAGGATCCTGCCAGTGACAGAGTAGAGGCTCTGCTGATACTGTGCAGAAAACCACCAAACCGCCTACCCCCCGTCATACCAACACAACACACATGGACTCATAAATGCATTTGGCACACAATTTCCAAGGGTTCATGAGTCACCTGAGACATGAATCCAGACTGAGAACACCTGTGCATAGTAAGAATCCTTAGACTTGAGGATCTGGCCAAGTTTAGAGCCACAAGTAAGCTGATACAACTGCTTTCTTAGCCTGTGGCCTCATAACAAGGCCAGTTTCTCCAGGTTCTCAATAGGCTGAGAGTGAGCAGCTTTCATTTAGGCAATGGTCCAGCCATGAAACATGAGGCTGCCTGAGGCTGACCGCCTGAGTTTGAATCCTGCCTCCATCTCTTAATAGCTGTGTAATCTTGAATAAGTTTTACTTAATTTCTTGTACCTCGGTTGTCTTATCTCTAAAATAGGGATGATAATAATGCCTACTTCAAAATGCTGCAAAGATTACATGAATTTTTATATGGGAAGCACTTAAAACAACACTTACCTATCACACAGGAAAACACCAAATAAATGCTAGCTGCTATTATGCTATGGTCCTTTTTAGGAAAAAAAGAAGGTGGTTTAATACAAAGGTTCCTATCAGAAAAACACTGCAGAAAGGCCGAGAATAGTAGTTAATGCTAGCATTGATTTTTGTGTCCTGTATTAAATCATCATGAGATGTCCACTTCTGCTATTTTTGCAAAGTTGACCATTTGGTTAACTGAACAAGTATCGCCATCTATGATACAATACAATACAATACAATACAATACAATACAATACAATACAATACAATACAATACAATACAATACAATACAATACAATACAATACAATACAATGGCAGTGTTGAATGCTGGAAAATGTAGTCTGTGAAACTTATCACAAATAAAGAAAAATACGCCATCAGATTAATAGCTTTCCTTCATTTCAGTTTGTGAAATGAATTAATCACTTTCCTTCATTTCAGTTTCAGCTGGCAAGCACACAGCTTTGCATTATCACAGACCCATAGATGGTGACAAATTAGAAGGAACCTCAGTGATCACGATCATTCTGTACATCTAGTCCAGGACCTCAATGTGCAGCTGGGAAACCTGAGCCCAAAGACAGGCATGACTTGCCCAGATAGACCCTGTGTGTAAGGGCCAGCACCAGAAACTCAGGCTCCGAAGTGTCTATCTGTTTACTCATTTACCTCCTTTCACTAGACTTGACAGCCCCTTAGAGGCCAGAATCTATCATACTTGTCACCTTCCTGCCAGCTCAGCACGCCTAGACACAGAAGGCAACAGCAAATGAAGGCTGAAAAGAACTAAAGTGATAGTGTTCTTTGCTTCTACTAAGGTATTATTTTAACTCAAGAAAGAAGAGATAGTTACCTCCTTCACTGAAAGATGACCCAAGTGGTAAAGCAAGGCAGAAATCACAACTAAGCATCCTGCTGGTGTGGGAGTCAGGAGATCAGGGCTTTTGCCCTACCTCTACCCTAACTTGCTTTGTGACATTGGACAAGCATCTAACTTTTCTAAAACAAAAAGTGATTAGGCAAGATGCTGTCCTTGATAGAGCTGAAAGGAATCAAATTTTATGAGGTCACAAAGTGAAATTCAATTTATTATTGATTATAATTCATTGTATGTCACTATGCTTATACTATACTCCAATATTAATTTTTAAAAGTCTTCTTTGTACATTATCACTTAATCCTCACGGTAACCTTAAGTAGGTCAGAAAATACCTTATAACCCCATTTTACAGACAATGACACTGAGGCGCAGTGTTCCCATGTTTATGTCAGAGTTAAATTAACAAATACCACCTATACTGAGAGGCAGAATTCACACCAAGAAAGAAAAAGATATGCTCAGCAGTAGATCAAGGGCCCAAGAAGAGGCAGTATGTGGCTTGAAGGTGAAATTAACAAGGAGCCATGGAACCTGGTCATCTCTCCCTAACTCTCGGGTTTCTTTACTCAAAATTCTGCTTTCAAAGATATACTTCTTTCACAGCTACATGAAGAACAGATGGGTTATGGGAAATACAAAGCCAAGATATTTGGCGGAGATCAGACAGAGAAGGTGAAGTAAGCCTCTTGAAATGTATCCTGCCTGCAATAAAACAAAATGTATTTCTTTTTTTTTTTTTTTTTTTTTTTGAGACAGTCTCACTCTGTCTCCCAGGGTGGAATACAGTGGTATGATCTTGGCTCACTGCAACCTCTGCCTCCTGGGTTCAAGCGATTCTCCTGTCTCAGCCTCCCAAGTTGCTGGGATTACAAGCATGTGCCACCATACCTGGCTAATTTTGTGTATTTTTAGTAGAGACAGGGTTTCACCATGTTGGCTAGGCTGGTCTCGAACTCCTGAGCTCAAGTGATCCACCTGCCTCGGTCTCCCAAAGTGCTGGGATTACAGGCATGAGCCACTGCACCTGGCCAGGAAAATGTAGTTCTAAGCATTTTATTGAAACTTCACAGTAAGACAGACCCTGAAATAAGGTAAAGAATAATAAATAAAAATTATGTGATAACCATTATTTATTGCTTAAGCTTAATTAAAATACCATTAATATTATTTTTCCTTATAGAATATGCCATTTTTTATTTTAATAAATCTTAGCAAATACATAAAATCAACCCTAGACTTGTCAGGAAAGGCGTCTCCACTCTAAAGTCCTATATTATCACAGAAACCCTAAGAAGACTGACCTACTGGCTCAATTGGAATGGGCATTTATCTTTCAAGACTTCCTAAAACCTTTTGAACCCTTTCTTAACATCCTGATATTGTAGTTTCCCACTGCATTGACGAGTACCATTATTTCAAAGTAGAATCCCCAAAAACCATATTTCCTATGTTTCCAACAGCAAGGCAATCATATGCCCCTCTGCAAATCACAGATGCAGAAAGACATACCTTCCAGTAAGCCTACTGGTGAAGTATTCCTGAGCACAGTCAGTTCAACGTGCTCGGCTGCAGTGGCAGTGGTATTTCCTACAGACCTGTCTTGTGGCAAAACCAGGCACTGCTACACAATGTTCTTGGCTATGTAACATCCAAACCTGGTGTTCTGGCCTTCCTAGAGACACAACACTCAAGCAGGCTATGACAGAGCAATGCCTAAAAGGAGAAAGAAATAAATAAAATCCAAGGGAAAACCAAAGGAATGACTATTGGCAAAATGGAAAATGTTACTGCCAATTTTTACATTTGCAACATTTAATTATTTCTCCCCAAACTCAAGAGAACCATAAAAATAAAAGTTCTGGCAGCCACGTCTCAGCGTGCAGCTTTGTTTCATCACAGACTTTAATAACATTCTTTTTCTGCTGGTGAAACACTGGGGAAAGGGTGGAGAAGGATCGAAGTTTCTGGACTCAACAGTCCCGGATTCCTCCTGGACAGCTGTGTTCTTCCCTGGAGTAAAGCCCCTTTCCAAAGAGAGAAAACCTTTTTATTTTCTGGCCCAGCTATTTTCAAGACAACCTAATTTAACTCACTCAAAACTCCATCAGGCAAAACAGAATCTTGGCCATTACCAACCGTGTGTCAAGAGAAGGGAAGGATGTCAGAAGGACAAATTTGTTTCTAAACTTTAAAGATTGCACACCCTCCTATCTGTTCATCATTGTTATAAGGGATGGCCACATAACTGATTTGTCATGTCTATTTCTTTTACTCAAAAACACTATTTGCTAGACAGAATATTTTCAAATGGTGTCTACCACCAGATTGTACCCTTCCATTCTTCTTCTTCTTTTTTTTTTTTTTTTTTCCCCGAGACAGACTCTTGCTCTGTTGCCCAGGCTGGAGTGCAGTGGTGCGATCTCTGCTCACTGCAACCTCCACCTCCCAGGTCCAAGCGATTCTCCTACCTCACCCTCTTGAGTAGCTGGGATTACAGGCTCGTGCCACCACACCTGGCTATTTTGTGTGTGTGTATGTGTGTGTGTGTGTGTGTGTGTGTGTGTGTGTGTGTGTGTGTATTTTTAGTAGAGATGGGGTTTTACCGTGTTGGCCAGGCTGGTCTCGAACTCTTGACCTCGTGATCTGCCCACCTCGGCCTCCCAAAGTGCTGGGATTACAGGTGTGAGCCACTGCGCCCAGCCTCCATTCTTCTTATTAAAAACTTCTTTCCAGCTTTCTAATACAGAATCTCATAAACTGGTTTGCCTCTCTGGTTGTTATTTTATATTTTCATAACTTCCCCCATTTTAAGATATTCTATTGAGCATTTCTCCTTACAGATAGGAAAGTTAACCACCTTCCCACACATAAAATTCATAACCAATTAAATCCAATAAAGTTTTATTGAACAGCTACAATATATATTACTCAGTGTCAGTGTGGTGAAGAAAGGCCTGAATTTTAGAACAATAATAGTAATAAGAATAATAGCTACTATTTGCTCTGATCCTGTGTGCCAGGAATCGTAACATGTCTGGACAGATAACATAGCATGACACTGCATAACAGTGAAGAATGTGGCCTCTGCTCTCTAATAGGCCTGGGTTCAGTGAAAAGCTCTACCACTTAGGCCAGTTTCTTCACCCTTCTGTGCCTCAGGCTCCTCATCTATAAAATACAGATATTAACAAGACAC
This sequence comes from Homo sapiens, assembly GCF_000001405.40. NCBI lineage: Eukaryota > Metazoa > Chordata > Mammalia > Primates > Hominidae > Homo > Homo sapiens. Next base: position 63,859,944 of record NC_000001.11, on the reverse strand, counting down.
ACCTCACAGGGCTGTTTGAGGATTTCATAAAATCACAGGAGTAAAGAACTTAGCCCAGGGCCTAATTAACAATGACACTTTGCAACTACCCTATTATTCCCATTTTAAGAGGAAGAGACTGAAGCTCAGAGCTAGTCCACAACACAGCTGGGATTCAAATCCACACTCATCCAACACTGAAGCCTTTGCACTTTCTAGTGCCATGCATTGACCAGCTGTACAGTGAGGGAGGGCACACTAGAAGCCTAGAGTCTGACAACTGGGAGGGCCTTACAGTCAGTCCACCCTCCAAGCATGGCATCTCTCCAGTGAACTGGCAGGCGACTGACCCCGCTACTTATACACAAGCTCCAAGCTTTACCCATGTCTGTATCCCAGATCTGGAGAACAGCCTACAGGGGGGACATTTGCTTATTGCATGAATGATTAAGGCAATTTAAATAAACTAATAATTATAGCTAAGTATTGAGCAGAAACTATGTGCTGGGCACTAGAATCAACATGTACTAACATATTTACTATTAAATTTTAAAAACTCAAGTAAGCTTTGCAGAATGTGGTGAGGGAGGTACATATTTTCATTAAATCAGACTCTGGAGAGACAGATAAAAGCATCACAAAAGTGTCCCCAAAATAGAAGAGGGGATCTTCATCTTCACAGGGCCTGCACTTCAAGAAAACATTGAGTAGGATAAGGTGACTGTCTTACTTAAAAGCGCTCAACACCAAAACCCCCAGCCAGCCAGAAAATGAAAGTCAGAGGGTCTTCATACAACTGTGTTGGTTGTACCCTGCAGAGGGGCGCCCAACCCAGGGAGCAAGTGAGGACAGAAACACACCAGGACTCCTCCAGTCATGCTGAGCATCATGACATGGGTCAGCACACACACAACAGAAGGGGCAGTTTGTACAAAGGTACCATAAAAACTTTGACTACCTTAACACACACAGGCTAATTTCTTATTCAATTATCCCATCTCACATCCCAAGACGGAACACATTTAAATCAGTAACTATATAAATATATTGATTTATTCACATTTATTCAAACATGTGAGTATACATTCACATACTCACACATTTCTTTATGTGCCGAGTAGTACACTTAGTATAGTGGGAGATAACAGAGATTACCATCTAATAGACATAATTACAAGTATCATAAACAATAGGGCCAAAGAGAATAAATATCTTAATTAGCATTCTGGACAGCATCAAAAAACTTGCTGCCTAGGTCACTGAGGCACTAGGGGTCAGGGAAGTGAAGAAAATACCCTCATCTAAACAAGACAAAAGGAAAAACAACACTATCATCAGATTTAAATACAAAGTACACTTGAAAGTTAAATTCAACTAGTAGTTTTAGAAGCAACACAGTTTACACTTTAAGCAAAAAGTCAGATTTTTTAAAGTGGTAGGGTCTAATCTTGGTTTAGCCACAGAATCACTGTGTCATTCTAGGAAAATATGCAAAATACACCCAGTCTTAATTTGTGCATCAGGGAAAGGTTTCATCAATAGCTGAGAGGTAGAATGAGAAATTCCACTCTACTTAACTAATGCAAAGTGCTGTTGTTAGTTAAAGCCACCCCCAGTCTGGGCCATAGATTTGAAAGGGAAAGGATAGGGAAGGATGGAGATGTCTTTAAACAACAGGATCACCAGGCAAGAGCAGTGAAAAAAGAATAAAAAAGCAAAGATTGTACTTTAAGTCAAGAAGACACCATTTCAGGAAAATAAACATGGGGCCTAAAAGCAAAGGAACACACATTAAACCTTCAAGGAAAAGCTGATAAGTGAAAGATACAGATACAATAACTCCATATGTCTTTAATGTTAGTAACCACTCAGCACAATTCAACTTCAGAGGCTGATGGCTATCTTTTCAATTAAGTTTGGGGGAATGGGGAGAGGGTTCCCATGTGCCTGAAACTGTGATAGGCAACTAACATTTATTACTTCATTTATTCCTCATAGCAACCTGACAAATTACATCTTATCCTACTTATATCCTACTGCACAGATGAAAACACTGAATCTGAAAGAACAAGAACCTCAAGCCATTTCCATCATGCCAACTGTGCAGGATGGGGACTTGGAGGTGGGGCTCCAGAGTCACCTTTGGTAACCAAGAGCTGCTGAGGAAATGGAGCAAGACAGTCTTCAGAGGCTTACCAAATATGGTTCATTCTACCGACTCTTAAAGATCCAAATATAGTATGAACTTGCACTTGACCATAACTCTAGTGGCACATATCCACTGTCAATTGTCTCCAGTTGATAAGAATGCAACGACTCACAGCTATTTATTCTCCATGACAGAGAAAACACTTTTATGTGCTCTCCCCATGCCTGGGGAACCATGAGGTTTTCCAATGCCAAATCCATAGAGCTATTTGCAGACCATCTGAGTCTACCTGGATAAAAGGCATCTAAGTACATCCAACATGGAAAAGGCACTTCAGATAAGAACAACCTCCTGGCAGACTTGGGATATACCACATCTGAGGGTCCATCATAAAACAGATACCTAAAAGTTAGTCTTCATTTTGTTTGTTTATAGAATATGGCTATTCTATTCTTGGTCCCTTTACCTCCACATGTTGTTTCAAGCATCAACTAGGTGGCTTTTATTAACACCTTCTAAGGAGAGGCTACAAAAAATAAATAGGTAAAAACCATGTCCAAGCCATCAACAACAACTGATTATCTAGAAATTTAAGAGAGATTTCAATTGCATATATGAAGATGCATATCTAATCTCATTTCTGTAAAAAAAAAAAAAAACTTCTGAAAGTTGTTCAACAACAGATACTTTGAAAATTGAATCCTATTTATTTATTAATTCATTCATTCAACAAGTACTTATTGAGCAACTGTTACACACCTGAGTCTATGTTAGGTGTTAGAAATCCCGAGATTAAAGACATTCCCTGTCCTCAAGGAAACAAAATCTAACGAGAAAAGAGAGGGTAAAAAAAAATGCAAGAACAACGCAGGGAGAGGAGTGCCGCACTAAATTACTGTAAGCACAGGTATGATGAGAGACCAGAGAAAGGGCTCCTAACACAGTCACATGGAGTCAAGGATGGCAGTTTTTAAACATTGGGGATGGAGGATTATTTCAGACAGAAAGAATAAAATGTATCACTTCCATTTCTGGCCAAGTTGGAGTAACAGGATAATTGTCAAGACTGGTATAACAGTCAGTAAAGGGCAGTGATCCCTGGAAGAAGGAAGGCAAATGAAACGAATCCTACGAGTCCTCCAGCTTACTGCCTGAGAGAATTTCCAGCTCAAGGTGTCTGGAGGAAAGGGAGAACTCAGGCAGAGCTCAGTGAACTGCCTGAGTTGAGTGAATTGAGCTAACAGTCCAGGGAGACCAAGGCAACTAGAGTTTGCAAGGCCAAGTATCAGAGAAAAGAGAGCTGCAGAAAGAGCCACAGAGAATCCCCCTCAAGTATTCAGCAGAGTGCTGATCAGTGCATACATGTGTGGCAACTACCCAGCACTGGGGAAAGAAATATCCAAAAAGATATTTCCAGATTGGAAAACCTCATGATTCCCCACGCCACGAGGAGAGCACATAGAAGAGTGTTTTCACTGTCATGGAGAATAATTAGTTATAGACTAAGTACAACTATTTCAGTCTTCCAAATCTTCAAAGCAAGACTTTCCAAAAGGATCAAACTGCTTCTAAACAACTTAAACACATTCCAGAACAAAGTTCAAAAATATTTGTAGGAATACAAAAATAGCCAGTACCCAACAAGGAAAATTCACAATGTCTGGCATCTAATCAAAAATTACCAGGCATTCATAAAGCAGGGAAATATAACCCCTGATGAGGAGGAAAAAAAAAAAAGTCAATCAAAACTGACACAGATGTTAGAATTAGCAGACAGAACATTAAAATGGTTATTATAACTATATTCCCTAAGTTCAAAAAGTAAGTGGAGACACTGAAGATATGAAAAAGAGCTACATCAGCAGGGCGTGGTAGCTCACACCTGTAATCCCAGCACTTTGGGAGGCCGAGGTGGGCGGGTCACGAGGTCAAGAGATCAAGACCATCCTGGCCGACATGGTGAAACGCCGTCTCTACTAAAAATACAGAAAAAAAAAAAAATTAGTGGGGCGTGGTGGCATGCGCCTATAGTCCCAGCTACTTGGGAGGCTGAGGCAGGAGAATCACTTGAACCAGGGAGGCGGAGGTTGCAGTGAGCCGAGATCATACCACTGCACTCCAGCCTGACAACAGAGCAAGACTACGTCTCAAAAAAAAAAAAAGAGCTACATCAAACTTCTAGAGGTGAAATCTACAATGTATGCGATGAAAAATACTCTGGATGGGATTAACATCAGATTAGACATTGCAGAGGATAAATATTAGTAAACTCAAAAACACAAAAATCAAAACTATCCAAAATAAGATACAGAGGGAAAAAGGGAATTAAAAAAGTAAACAGAATCAGTGAGTTGAGGAACAACTTCAACTGGCCTAATATACATGTAACTGGAGCCCCCAAAGGAGAGGAGCGAATTAAGTATCAAATATAGTATTTAATAATTGCCCTTGCCTCCAAGAATTTACAATCTTGATGGGAAAACAAATTGTAATAAAAAACAAAGTCATAAGGTATTTGAAAATCAAAAAGTATTATAAGAACAGAAACAAATGTCATGAGTCAGTACATAATTAATTACCAAACACATAGTACACATAACTGTTTAGAGGAGAGGAACAGATTACTTCAAGTTGGGAGGTCAGGTTAAGAACAGTCAAAGAGGAAACATTTGAACTGTCCATTTCATAAATGGGTATTTTCATATAATCCAAAGTAGTGTTCATTAGTATATATAGTCAGCCCTCCATATCCCCAGGTTCCACACCCATGGATTCAATCAACCACAGATCAAAAATATTTGGAAAAATAAGTAAATAAATAATAATAATAAATAATACAAATTTTAAAATACAGTGTAACAACTATTTACATAGCATTTATATTATATTAGGTATTATAAGTAACCTAGAGATAATTTAAAGTATACAGGAGAATGTATGTAGGTTAGATGCAAACACTATGCCATTTTATATCAGAGACTTGAGCATCCAAGGATTTTGGCATCCATCAGGGTCCTGGAACGAATGTGCCACAGATACCAAGAGACGACTGTAGTTTTTCTTCTTTCATCACTTTTTCTTCTTTATTCATTCATTCACCATTAAGTGAGCAATCTGTATGTGCCAGATACTATCTAAGCACAGACATGTTCTATCTCTACCTATGATGGGTTTAGAATCCAGAAGAGGTAAAAGAGAGAAATGGCTATTGCTCACACTGCTAGATACTCTGTGATGGAAGTACGTTCGGATTGTTGTAGGAAGGAGGCAGTTAACTCCACTAGGGAAAGGAAATAGAAGAAATTCATGAGACAAACAACTGTCACCTATTTGTAAAACCTCCATCCTGCCCTGTTTCCAGACTTGGCTGTCAAAAAGAACTGTTGGAAAATATGTAGAAAAGTCTACCTACCATGGAAGGAAGCAGAAAGCCAAGCAGTTTTTCCCTTGATTTCAATTCACTAATACACAGGAGGAAGAAAATGCAGGAACCTCCTCCTGCCAAGCAATCAGCCACACGTAAGTGGTGCTAAGATTTAGATAAGCCCTGACAAGTCTACTGAAGAATGCCTTAAATAGATGGGCAGCAGAGCAGTAATACGTCACATATTTTTATATGACATAAAGCCTCAGTGAATAAAAAAAAATTCATTGGAATCAGGTTGGTGATCTGATATTTCCATTGAAAACGTTTTATTTTTCCTGAAGCTAGCAGTCATGCACTATGCAATATACAAAGCTAGAAGGAACATTCATTATCACAGAGGCCAATGCTCACATTCTACAGATGGGCCCACTGAGATCCAGAAAGAGTAAGAGGCTAGGCCACAGTCACAGCAGCATTAGTTAAAATTCCCATCATCCTAGTTCTGGGAAGCTGGTGATCTTTACATGAAACCGTATGGTTTTTATCCATCTCTTAGAGTGAATGAATTTCAGCTGTGATTTTAGTAGAGAATTATGCTAATACAGGAGAGGTATATTTGGATGTGGAATGATCCTTTATCATAAGCCTTGGTTTAATAGTTTTTCCTAAAAATAGTGTTTCACTAAGGAAACCTCATATTTGGAAACTTTCATTCATGCTCCATTGGTAATGAAAGATTCCTTACTGTGTCCCCAGTGCACTGTTTAATGTTCAATTTACAGACTATTTTGCTGAAGAAAGAAACAAGATATAAGAGCAAAGCATAAGCTAGACTCTCACTCTACTATATACAAGATACAGGTTGAGTATCCCTTACCCAAAATGCTTGAGATCAGACATGTTTCAGATGTCTTCAAGATTCTGGAATATATGCGTTTATACCAGCTGAGCATTCCTAATCCAAAAATCCAAAATCTGAATGCTCCAAGGAGCACCTTTGAGCATCATGTTGGCATGCAAAACGTTTCAGATTTTGGTGCATTTTGGGTTTTGGATTCTCAGATTAGGGATACCCAACCTATATATGATCTTGGGCAGAATACTTAACCTCTCAGTTTTTTCATCTATAAAACGAGGCTAACAATAGTACTTACTAGGGTATATGTAGTGTGTTCTCAAGTTTTGAGAATGAACTAGCTGATATAAAGTACATCACCAGGCATACCACAGGAGTTCAAAAAACATTAGCAGCAGCTGTTGCCACAGTTGGTGACTATGATGCTGGGAGCAGGGGATAGGTGTAATCATTGTTAGTGTCTTGAGGTTAAATCATATTAGACATCTTTTCCCTTATGATTCTCAAAGAGAACTCAGATACATATATTTATGCCAGGTACTGATAATGATACAACATCTCAGTCTTAGAACTCTCCTTAAAGAGTGTGTACCTGTCCCTAAGTTTAAATCTTACTTATAATAATAATAGTTACTCTTCCAAATCTGAGTGGAGCTAAATTATTTGCCACCTTATGCTGTAAACCCTGGGCCACAGAACTTGGTAATAAAATGTAAGAGTATCATACTTTCTCCATCTGTATAAAGTCCTTACAGAAAAGCAGGAGTCTATTGCAAATGTCACCCTAGGTTTCCCATGGTTAATACATGTGGTAAGACTGAACTGTCATGCTACAGATTTGTCCTAAAAGTAGAATGTGAATTCAACAACTACACTCTCCCAGTGAAAATGATCTGTTTCATTTTTTAGTGTTTTTCCTTCCATCAATACTCAAAGGAACTGGTTTGCATTAGTGAGTGTCTACAAAGGTTTCTTCCTCTTCTGGACAATTAATTTGTATCATATAAGACAAATATTGGCACATCTGGACAAACTCAGCATGAGTCTAAAAACCATGAAATTTCTCAAGGCATCTGTGAATAAAAACACCTCTCTGAGCTTTTCCAAGATGACAGACCGAAGAGGGGAGAAGTGGAGAAATGGACACAATAGCCCTCTTTGAAGATCAGAAAGGCTGTTGTGCGAAAGAGGGAGCAGACTTCTAAGGCTGGGTGCTCAGGAGGGCAGGATGAGAATAAATACATAGGAAAGTTGCAGGGGGCTGCTTTCAGCTCTACAAAAGGAAGAGTTTGCCAGGGCAAGGGTACACATACATGTATGCCCCGGCAGAGTGAAACAGATGGTGGCTGAGTCCAGGCAGCACCACTGATGAGCTGTGCATATGGGGCAAGTTTCTTAAACTATCTGATCTCTCCCCTGTCAGTCAGTACAGTTATTCCCACATTCACAGCTATTCCAGAATTGAAAAATATATGTATATTTAATGCTTAATATATTGTAGGCATTATGATTACTTCAACTCTGAAGGATTTGTCATATGCCTTTGGAATAGGAATATCTACGTGACCTAATGAATAAAATCTCTTTAGTTCTGCCTTTTCTTTTGGTCTTAAAATCCAATGAGCGAAGCTCAAATTATTCTACCACCTGCTGTGCCACTGCTTTTAGGTAAGATGCCAGTCTACTTGTCTTCCATCTTCCCTGGATCTTTCCAGCAGCAAAACCTAAAGAAAAACACTTATCATCCACCAACCCTTAACCCAAGGAAGGATTATAGGATTATTTACAAAATCATTACAAATCATTTTTCATATACAGGTGTTCTCCCCTTTGCCCAGCACATGTTTTGTATAAATCACATTCTTATTTTCCTACCAAATGAGCTTATAATTGTTTGCATATGCTTATTATTTTATTCCAAGAATATTACTCCATGACCATTAAAAAAGATTTGGAAAACAGAAAAATAGGGCAATGAGGGGAATAATCACCCACAGTCTATTCATTGTAATTTTTCCCTGTCATCTTTATACATGAGTGATGGTGGTCTTTTTTTACATAATTTTAATTAGATTAGAATTTTGCAGGTGACTTCTTAGCATTTTTTAACTGCTCTTCACTTAGTGGTGGCTCCTGCATTAAGTTCCTCTGTTCTCAATACCAATTAAGTATCAGTGATTTTTAAGACGTTTTAAAGCACCAAGGGTCAACGCCACTTAGAAGCATGGAATTTTGAAAGCAGAAAAGAAAATCTGCTCTTGAAGAAGGAATGACTAATGCAATCTCTCATTTTATGGACATTAAAACCCAAAAAGCGGCCGGGCGCAGTGGCTCACGCCTGTAATCCCAGTACTTTAGGAGGCCGAGGCTAGCGGATCACCAGGTCAAGAAATTGAGACCATCCTGGCCAACATGGTGAAACCCCGTCTCTACTAAAAATACAAAAAATAGCTGGGCGTGGTGGCACACGCCTATAGTCCCAGCTACTCAGGAGGCTGAGGCAGGACAATTGATTGAACTCGGGAGACGGAGGTTGCAGTGAGCCTAGATCGTGCCACTGCACTCCAGCTTGGAGACAGAGCAAGATTCTGTCTCAAACAAACAAACAAACAAAAAGCAAACAAAACAAAAAACCAAAAAACCACACAGGCAGCAATCTCTGCTGATATAGAGAGCAAGGTCCCTGAATTCACTGGCCAGTGCAATGAACCTACTGTAAATTGGGCCCCAGTATCTCCTGCTATGCACCCCCAACATAGGTTCTATAAGTTTGGACTTTGTCTCTTCAATTCCTTAGAAATGTACATAATGTGTTCTGTGTACAATGGATGTATAGCAAACTAATTAGGGCCAAAGTAGGCTTTGATGAGGATAATTCTACCCAAGCAGAAACTCAAATCTGCCCTATAATATAGCTAGAACAATACAGCTAGAACAGGAGGAAAAGGAAAAAAAAATCTCCAGTCTTTGCTCTAACATCTTTACTCAACTTGACATATCTTTATACATCCAAACTGTGATAGTTTCTCATACCTGTTGAATAAGCAAAATCTAAAAATACTTCCAATATCAAGAGTTAGAAAGGGTAAAGAGCAACGGGAACTTATATCCTGTAGGAAGGAGCTCGCACTGGCATAAGGCCGTTGGAGAGCAATTCCACAGCACCTAGGGAAGCCGAAGACATGCATACTCTATTCTATTCCTAGGTATTTGGCCTAGAAAAACTTCACACATTTTTACAGAAAGATAAGTCAAAGTTTTCATGGCAAAATTGTTTATAATACACAAAAAAATGAAGGCAGGAGAATGGGTACATTAATTGTGAAATGGTCATACAATAGCATACTTACTGCACAGCAACTAAAATAACTTCTTAGATCAACATGCAATTCCTAAATTAACAAGGTTAATACCAAAAACACAACATTGAGCAAAAATAGCAAGATGTATGACAGGTACAGTAAGTTCCCATTTATACACAATTTTAAAATAGGCAAAGCACTATTTTTAGTAGCACTCAGTGCATTTATGCACAGAGAGCAAAAATATAAAAACATGCATGGGAATGAAAAGACATCACATTTAAAGGACAGATTATCTCTGGAGAAGAAAAGAGACAGGATTTAGGAGGGGTACACTGGGAGCTTTTGTTGTATCTATAATGTTTTATTTCTTTTAAAAATCTGAAACAAATAAAAAATATTTGTATCTGAAATGGGTTTTGTCACTTTTGTCTGCTTTTCTGTACACTTAAAACATTTCAAAGTTTAAAAAAGAAAACAAAGCACGATGGCTTAGCAATGGATTGGTCTAGATATCCAGGAATCTGAGATGGTAGGAAAAACAAAAATCCATCCACTGTTGTGGAGCACTTTAGTTATTTTTATTTATTTTTTTGAGACAGGGTCTCATTCTGTCCCTCAGGCTGTAGTGTGGGGTACCATCACTGCTCACTGCAGCCTTGACGTCCTGGGCTCAAGTGACCTTCCCAACTCAGTCTCTGGAGTAGCTGGGACCACAGGCGCCCACCCCACACCCCGCCAACTTTTTTTATTTTTTGTAGAGATGAGGTGTCACTATGTTGCCAAGGCTGGTCTCAAACTCCTGAGCTCAAGTGATCCTTCAGCCTCAGCCTCCAAAAATGCTGGGATTACAGGTGTTAGCCACTGCTCCTGACCCTATTTTAGGCATTTTAAATAAGACTGGTGGCCATCACAAACTCCTCTGCATCCCTGTGCTTGGCATGGTGCCAAGCCAAAAGTAAATACAAGCTAAATACTGAAGAATTAATGAACAAATCAATAAACAAATGAACTGAATGGGTTGTTATACATGCCTTTGGTTAATGAAAACAGAAAACAACAATTACCATTAATAATTTGAAATTCAAAACACTTCTAAACGTGGGCCCATGGACAGCCTGAAAGGCATCATTAATTAAAAAACATTGAAAACTAGTGGGCAAAGAAACCCGTAAAGACTTTAAGATCCTTAACATTCCATGTTTTTTCTTTATCTCAGAGCCAGGCATAGCACACTCATCCCATTCTTGTCACCTAAGGACCAGGAATTCATTGCCATAACAGACCCCAGGATGCCGCCCACAGCCTGACATATCAATAAGTCTTTGGTATCTAAGTGAATTAAAGAGCTCTTCTGAGCCTATGTGAAGAATTCCCAGCATTTTTCTGCTCTGTTCACTCGGTTTACTGAGTACATTAAGATTCTAAATCATTCTGTCTTCACAAATGTAGGTTTGTCCCTTTGGGGACAAAAAATTTCCAGGATGATAACCACGATTTCAAACTCCTTACCATTATAGGGGAATATACAGGCTTGATGAAATCAAGCAGAAATCCACTACCAGACGTTTTTGCCATTATTGATTTTTTTTAATTCCAAGTGAATTTAAAAAGAACCAAAATAAGATGCATGGCACATTCATCTAAGCCTAGTAATTAAATCCAAAAAAGCAGTTTATAGTAGTTTAAGCAAAAAGAATAATTTTAGAAAGTACCACAGGCCTCCACTATCTGAAATAAATTAGGTGTTTTTTAGTTTCCTTATGTTATTAAAATATTAATTTACTTTAAAATATAATCCTGAAGCTTCCTTCGAAATACCTTCTTCAAGGAAAGGGGCATATATTTATAGTGTTCTTTTAAAGTTTAACAAAAGAAGGATTCAAACTGAGTTACCTCCACTCTGCAAAAGTCTTTTTTTCAAATGTGTAACAGGATCTTATTGCAGTCACTTGGTCTGCTCTCCACACAAAGAAAGACTGGAAAGCATTTGTGTTATGCTTCTGGAGTTAAAAATGAAGACGCCTTTTTGCTTCCATCAGTTCTTTTTTATTAATAAGGTGGCCACACCAAGTCAGAAATTATAACCATCTGCTTTAGCCATTAAATACAGATTCAAAGGCCTAATGATAAAGTGACCTCTTTATTAATAACAGAGAGCGACAAGTGGCCATTTTCCCAGAGTGTTCACAGAAATAAATCAATCCGTAAGTCCAGGTATCAGCTATATCGGTTCTTAAGTTTTCTCTTCGATTTGGCCTTTATTGTTTTAAATCACTTAGGAAACAAAAAGGGAGCTCAGGAAGTACCTTTTCCATGAGTTTTGTTTTTATCTCTGCTCTTGATGAGATGTCACTTAGCCACCTCACATAACTTGAAGACACGATCTTTCATTCTCCACATCACAGAAGAATCATCCCCATGCACCATCTAACCGATGAGTAGACACATGGGACTTATCAGCAGCAGGGAGTATATCTGAATCAAAGCCTCAAACAAAGGTGTGTAGGAAAACCACAGCTCTGTCAAAGGAAACAATAGTGGAATCACTGCAGCTGTATTTTAATATGGCAGGAACACAGCCCCTTGTTTTCTTTAATTCACATATTAGAATTTTAATTATCAAGTTGCTAAAGTGTGGTGGCTTTCAATTGAAGTGGGTTTTACCGACCCAGCCTCGCAGGGCAGACAGAAGTCCTTTGTTGCGCTGCCAGATGCACAGAGACGCCAGCATGGCACCATCCACGTCCTCTGCCTCAGATCCTTCTGGCAGGAAGCCTCTACCACCACCTAGAGCACAGGAGTCTCTGGGAGATGAATCTCCCTGGCCCTTGTCCAAGGGGCTTTATTACTGGAAGGACCAGAAAGATCTCTTTACAAACCTGATCTTTCTCCTTACCCAATCCATAGGCTGGTACCAGAAGAAACAGCAGAAGACTGAACTGCTACGATAGAAGTAGACCGTGAAGGATGAGTAGTTCTTGCGGGGAATACTTTGTGAAGGCTGTGGAGAAAACTCCTGTCCCACCACAGGGAGAATTCCTCCAAGTCCCGTCTTTACTACAAAGTTAAAACCCTCTAGAAACCCACAACACCAAGGCACGGAGCCAGCACATACAGCCCCAACACCTCTTGCTCCTCTCCCTGGCTTCCTGTTTCCTGATTTCCCCTCACTGTTTCCCTCACTCCTACCACTGTGGAGAAGGCAGTCACCATCTGTCAGGTGGAAGAAGACCTCTGCAGGGCTGTGGGGACAGAGGCAAGAACACTGGACTGATAGTTCAACAGAGGCCCACGGAAGCCAGCCTGGAGGAGATAGCGGGTGAGCTCTTGTAACCAGCCAAATCCTACAGATCCCCCTTAGTGACTTCACCTCCAAGGCCGCTGTCCTGGGCCTGTGGTCAGTAGAGTCCTTGCTCTGCAGTAACGCGCTGTGCCGCATTAGGAGTGTTAGTGAGCTTCTAGAGGCCTTACTATTCTTCCCCCAAAACATAAGAGCGCAGAGTTACGTCATGTCAAAAGTCCCTTGAAGGTTTGGCATTTATAACTTTACATCACTTCCTGTATCTATTGCCTCAGTTCCCTCAAGTATCAAGCCGCGCAGTTGCAGATGATTTCAAGGCCCTTTCCAACACAGAGGCTCTGTGATTCCGTTGATGAAGCCAGATCACAAGCAAGGATCATGCTTTTAATCTCAGTGGCTCTTTCTTTGCCAAATAATGATAGGAATGTACTTCAGCTGAATGCCCCCATCTCAGCTACCAGTACATCTGGTTGGGAAACCTACATCTATCTGCCCACTTGCCAACACGGAAATCTTCAAACAAAGACAAGATGATTCATGGCATCTTTAATAGGGCCCCCACCTTGACATTAAGTCTTGGGCTGAGGTTATCGAAAACAGCAAGTATACAAAGAATTTACTCACAGCCTGAGAGCAAGCCAGAGACCGCGCAGGTGGCTGGAGGGAAAATTGACAAGAATTACAAAGAAAAGGTGCATTGAGTTAATAGAAAATAACTCTGGTATTGAGGAACAGGGGCTGAAAACAGATGTGAGGGGTAGGCCACCTCCTCACCATGAGGAGTGAAAGCAAGAACCACAGCTGCTGATTTCTCAAACACACACACACACACACACACACACACACACACACACACACACACACACACATTCTCTCTCTCTCTGTCAAATAAAAAATATAAAATTCACTATGCTGGCCCAAGGTTGTGGGTTGCGGTGCCCTTCAAGGAATATTGTAGAGCTGAAAGCTGATTAGACACAGCACCCAAAAATCAGTATTCCAGAAGGAGTCAGAAGCTAAAGATGACAGTTTCACATACTAGAGGGGGTGCTGAGTATAAAAACATAAGTTCAGGCTCCATCTAAGCTTCATGATCTTTTATAAATTACTAAATCTCTACACCAAATAAATTCCTCATCTGTGACATGGAGACTACAAATATCCAGTCTATCCGAAAAGAGATTTTTAAAGCAGGTAAAACACATACAACTATCTGGGGCACAGCAGACACTCCCAAAAGTTGGAAGTTACTATGAAGATGCATGCAGGTATCAGAGATCAGAACACAATAATGGGTCAATCCAGAGAGACAAACAGAAATCAAGAAAAGGCAGGCAGTGGCAAACAAGGCAAAACAGTGGGTCAAGGATTGAAACAGGAACCTAAAAGAAATACTCCAGCATCATCACTTTTAATAAATATCTATTGATGTTAAGGAGAAGAAAGCAGATTGCCAGATGAGTGATAAAAGATGACCTCATTCATTGAAAGAGAAAGAGAAGCAAAGACACAAAGCCAAGGAAGACAGACTACAGAGATATACTCCAAATACTATTGTATAGTAGTTACCACTACTACTAGTAGGGTTAGTTCAGGTTTTTTTGTTTGTTCGTTTATCAGTATTTTCCAAATATTTCAGTTTTTATTTCAAAGTTAAAAAATGATACCTTAAACATTTAATAATAGGCCCTGAGTAGCTGTTCTTTCAGGGAAGCTGAAGCCCTGGAGAAGATCACTGGCATTCTGAAATTCAGGCTGTGCTCTAATTATTTGAAAGTTCTTAACACATATATGGAGAAACTCAGCCAGTCTATAAATATATGTAGAAGCCCTTCTTAATTCAAAAGCATGACATTAAACATTTCAGGGAAAAAAACATAAACTCCCAAAGAGTCTCCATCTCATTAGAGAATTAGATACGCTCACGTTAAATTATAACTCACAAAGCAGGGTGCACTAGTGTAACAATGAATTCAAGGAGAGTGATTTGAGCCAGGCTGAGGACAACTGGAAGACTTCAAAAGGCAGGATAAAGTCACTTTCTGCTGCAGAGACAATTTAATTAAAAAGAAGCTCCTTTCTACCCCTCCTCCAGGTAATAGAGAATTCATTGTATTCTGAGAAATTGAAGATCTTACAAGAAGGCAGATTGCATGACCTTCCATTTGCAATATATTCTTTCAGGAAAGGGAGTAATTAGGATTGCCTAGAAGGGGCTGCTTTATTTCATTGAGGAGATAACTTTAAACAGGCTTCCTCACTACATGCACCACACTCAACAAGCAAACTCCCTACACTGGACTCCTATAGGGCCTAATTCTCACCTCAGCCCCAGCTTTACCCAGATTCTCTAACCTGTTATTATTAAGCTACTTAGCTGCCTTCCACCCTTCATCCCTAGACCCCAAACACCCTAGTAGACTGTGAATTCCTTTTATTCTTTCATGTATTCATTCACCATTTTTTTCAACACATGCTATGTGCTAGCAACACAAAGATAAATAAAACACCCCCCATCCCCATAAAGTTGATAGTCTAGCAGCAGTAACTGACTTATTAGTAGATATTTACAGCTCAATGGCCGACACATGCATGGAGCATCCAAGAGAAGGAAGAGGATGTGCCTAACCAGCGTGAAGCCAGGCAACAGGGTTTGGAGGACATTGCAAGAAGAGTGGGTGGCAGGAATAAAGGCACTAACCATGGTGAAAAGGGACACAGAGTCAGCAGAAAACCATGTAGCCAGATCTTAAAGTGCGAGGCAGAGAGTGGAAAGACACAACCATAACAGCCAACGTTTACTGAGGGCTAACCATGTGTGAGCTGATTAATTCCTCACCAACCCATGAGGTAGGTTTTATCATCCTAATGTTAGCAATGAGGAAACAGGCTACAAAGGTTAAGTCACTGGGAGAGTAAGGGAGATAATCACTCTGATATGCTGCCCCCCTAAGGCTAGAGGGATTAGCAAGGGCTGGTCTGAAAATCCCTTTGGTGTCATGCTAAGGAGCTTGGGCCTTTCCTATAGATAATAGGCAGGCAGTAAATGGCTTTAAGCAGGGAAGAGTCAGATTTATGTCTCAGGAGGCTACTTCAGCAAGGTGTGGAGGACTAATATGAAGAGGGACCCACCCAGAGTTAGGGAAATCAGCTAAAAAGTTGTTGCAATCTTCCTATGAGCAATGTGCAGCCTGATCTAATGGTGCAAAGAAGGAACAGAGTGCAGTCGGGTCCCAGCAGCGGCTGCAGTGCTCTTGTCTTCTGCGGCTCTCCATGCCCTCTCCTTTTCACTTCTGGAAACATGGCCTCTGGTGTGGCTGTCTGATGGTGTCATGAACATGTTCAACGACATGAAGTTGCATAAGTCTTCAATGCCAGAGGAGGTGAAGAAGCTCAAGAAGGTGGTGCTCTTCTGCCTTAGTGAGGACAAGAAGAACATCATCCTGGAGGAGACCAAGAAGATCCTGGTGGGCGATGTGAGCCAGACCATCGACGACCCCTACACCACCTTTGTCAGGATGCTGCCAGATAAGGACTGCCACTACACCCTCTGTGACACAACCTACGAGACCAAGGAGAGCAAGGAGGAGGACCTGGTGTTTATCTTCTGGGTCCCTGAGTCTGCTCCCCTTAAAAGCAAAATGATCTATGCCAGCTCCAAGGACGCCGTCAAGAAGCTGACAGGGATCAAGCATGAATTACACACAAACTGCTACAAGGAGGTCAAGGACCGCTGCACCCTGGCAGAGAAGCTGGGGGGCAGTGCGGTCATCTCCCTAGAGGACAAGCCTTTGTGAGCCGGTTCTGGCCACCTGCCTGGAGCATCTGGCAGCCCCACATCTGCCCTCGGGGGTTGCAGGCCGTCCCCTTCCTCCCAGACCAGAGGGGCTGGGGGGATCCCAGCAGGGGGAGGGCAATCCCTTCACTCCAGTTGCCAAACAGATCCCCCCACTCCCTGGATTTTCCTCCTCCCTCCATCCCTGACGGTTCTGGTCTTGCCAAACTGCTTTTGATCTTCTTATTCCTCTTGGGTTGAAGCAAACCAAATTCCCCCCAGGCACCCCAGTTGTGGAGAGGGGCCTATATTTTTAACAACACCCCCACATCCAACCTGTTCCTCCCCCTTCCCATGCTGCCAACTTCTAACCACAATAGTGACTCTATGCTTGCTGTTCAGTTCTGTGTATAAATGGAATGTTGTGGAGATGACCCCTCCCTGTGCTGGCTGGTTCCTCTCCCTTTTCCCCTGGTCACTGCTACTCATGGAAGCAGGACCAGTAAGGCACTTTCGATTAAAAAAAAAAAGAAGGAGCAAAGGGAACAGATGCAAGATATATTTGTTGGGAGACATTCTCCATGAGTCCCTTCCGTTTCTGCACATCTTGTGAGCAAAGCACTGGCTGCCCTTGGTTCCAGACTAACTTTTCAAAGATGTTTATGTGGAGAGCAGCCTTGGAAGAAATGATCTCCCTCTGGAGCAAAGGTGAAGCATCTTTGTTGCCCAATATAAAAGATTTGGGTTCCCTAAGTTCAGAGTTTCTCTCCTGTAACGCAATGCACTTCATGTATGGATGTCACCTGGCCCTCTTCATGACATCCTATGGGAGTTGGGTCTTGGAGAAACAGTGAATAAATATGTTGATACTCTGGCTATTGCTATTGCTATGACTAATAAATTTCTTTGTCTCTAACCCACGAATCCTTCTGCCAGCATCTATGGAACTGTGGCAGGCAAGTTCATTTGCAAGTAAGATAAAGTCTCAAATCCTTCACAGTTCTTGATGATATTTAGGGGAAAAAAATCAGTAGGATTGGTGAATGGCCAAATGTAGAATGTTAGGGAGAAAAAAGGAATCAAATATTACTTCTGGTTTTTTTGTTTGTTTGTTTGTTTGAAGGTTGAAGTTTGGACAGTGGTTTGAATGGTTACTTTAGACAGTGGTGTCACCAACAGAGGTGAAATATATAACAGGTACAAGAATGTAATATATAATGAGGCATAGTGGGTGCTGGGGATGAGATAATAAATTCAGTTTGGAGGCCTATGAGACATCCATGTGGAAGTATCCAACATAGAGCTGAATAATGAAGGCAAAAGGAGAAGAGTTGGATTAAAGATATATAGGGGTCATTAGCATCAGGGCATAGGTAAACCCATGATATTGGATAAAATCCTCTTTCATACAGAAACCATCATATTCATCCTTAAACCCTTAGTCCCCTGCAGAGGGCTTTGCACAATGTATATGCTCAATAAATGTCTGTTAAATAAATGGCTAAAAACAGATCCAGAATTAGTTGTATCCTTTATTTAAATTAAAATTGCTTCAATGGTTACTTGTGTAATGCTAATCCAGGTTTTCTCAAATCAGAGTCTCAAATACAGGGTATGTACTTTTGTTTCACATGAAATACAACCAGTTTCATACACAAATAATTACAAACTCTTACATGTAACATGGAAGCAGAACAGAATTCTAAGACTCATAATATCATGTCATTAAAAAGCAATATTGTTGGTTTTCTTATTGGAGAAAAAAGTTCTATTATCCACAGGATCACTCCTACCTTCATTCATTCAACATAACAAAAAACTTACTGAGGACCTACTATGTTTAAGGAACAGTGCTGAAATCTGTAAGGGATCTAAAAAGCACAAAAGTCCCTTCCTTAAAGGAATTTACAAAAGCAGGGTGGTGGCACATACACCAGACCGGAATTTAGTTCCAAGTTCCACATTTAGCAATTTTATGACCTTGAGCAAGTTACTTAACCTCTACAACCTTTAGTTACTAAACTTGTAAAAAGAAAACAGTGAAAATGCATACCTCATAAATGGCAATGAGACGTACATTTTGTAATACATGTAGAGTATGTATTATAATACTCCATCAAAAATGGTGGCCAGTATTATAACCATCATGATAAACTAGTTGGGGAAGAAATACTCATAGAAATACTCATAGAAAAACCACTCAGTTAGAGATAATGCAGAACATTATAAATGCCATTGAAGTGCTAAAGCGCTAGAAACACAGACCCTTAGGAACCTGTTGAAAACAGTAGTAGTTAACACTGTGTTTTAACTTATTTAAACCAGCCCAACAAACCTATGAATGAATAGTATTATTCCCATTTTCTAGATGAGAAAACTGACACCTAGACAAGTCAAGTAACTTACTCCGGTTCACCCAGCAGAAAGTGGTGGGGCAGGAAATAAACCCAGTCTGTCTGGCTCCAGAGTCTGATGCCAAGCTGGCTCCTCAGGGAGAATCATGCATTTTTATGACTTATATGTTGAAGACAAAAGAACTGAACTCTTTGAAACTATTTGCCTTCAACTCACAACTATTATACAAATACTATTTACTCAGAATTGGAAGATTATTTTAAAATATCTAAACAAGGCCAGGTGCAGTGGCTCACACCTGTAATCCCAGCACTTTGGGATGCCAAGGCGGGCAGATCACCTGAGGTCAAGAGTTCGAGACCAGCCTGGCCAACACGGTGAAACCCTGTCTCTACTAAAAATACAAAAAAATTAGCTAGGCGTGGTGGCGTGTACCTGTAGTCCCAGCTACTCAGGAGGCTGAGGCAGGAGACTCACTCGAACCCCGGAGGCAGAGGTTGCAGTGAGCCGAGATCGCACCATTGCACCCCAGCCTGGGCAACAAGAGTGAAACTCCATCTCAAAAAAAAAAAAAAACTAAACGACAAGCAGAGAGACTTTTCTAGGTTAGCTCAGGTCCTATTTCACAGATTCTGAAAACTGTAAAGGGAGGAAGATTTAATGCTTCATACCAAACACAGTGTAAGACAAAATCACAGTGCATCATGGATGGATGCACAAAATCCAAAGTGACTCAAAGTGTAGGGCTTTGGGCTTAAAGCTCTGAGGCACCTTTATGAAATAAAATGACTCCATTTACCAACTCTCATTTCCTACTGTTCATAAGCACTTCCTTAAGCTTAATATATACTCCTCTCAGATGCAGAGTTTTGGGGGTTGTTTTTCCATTTCCATGAGAATAATGTAACAGACTGATGAGATATATTCAGCCACTGTGTTGGGCCACCTTGGATTTTCATCAAATTTTGTTTTATTTAATTTTCAAAGAAAATAATGATGAAATACCCTAAATATCCAATCACTGAGTGATGGCTAAATAAAAGAAATAAAAGAAAAGAAAAACAATATCTATAAAGACTTGGAAAAAATAGTATTATGTATTAAGTGAAAAAAAAGCTTGCTACAAAATAACATAGACAAGATGATTACATTTATGGATAAAAATGTATGCATAGGGCAAAAAAGCCTGCAAGGAAATGTACCCAAAATATTAAAAGTGATTTTTTGTGTGTTTATAATATGAGCCCTAGTCTTTCACTTTCTCAGTGTTTCTTTATTTTCTGAATTTTCTTTGGTACATATATTATTTGCACCTTTTTTAATTGCAATAAGCCAATATAAAAACAAAAAAAAAGTTCAATGTGCTATCCATTGCACTACAGAGCCTTCTTATACTTTTTAAATGTTTGGAATATTTGTATTACAGACAGATTAATGGATAAATAGATGCCAAATTAGATAGATAGATAGATAGATAGATAGATAGATAGATAGATAGATAGATAGATAGATGATATGGAGACAGACATTCTTTTACCAAAACATTACAGAACAGCTCCTCTTAGAAATATGGTCAAAATCTGGCTTCCCCGTCCAATTCAGCTGTCTCTTTCTTTAAACCAATCAACCATCTATTTCTTTAAGGTAAATGTTACTTAAAAGCATCTTAGATGGACAGATCTGACTTTTGAAGCCCTAAACAGAGGGTACAAGTAACCAATTAATGCATGAATTACAGCCATGCGTCACTTAACAACAGATATGTTCTGAGAAAAGCATTCTTAGTTGATATGCTTGTTGTCATGTGAACATCACAGAGCGTACTTACACAAACTTAGATGGTATAGCCTACTACACACCTAGGCTTTATGATATGGCCTATTGCTCCTAGGCTACAAACTTGTACAGCATGTTACCATACTGAATACTGTAGGCGACTGTCACACAATGGTATCTGTATAGCTAAACATACCTAAACATATAAAAGATGCAGTAAAAATACAGTATAAAAGATTAAAAATGTTACACCTGTAGAGAGCACTTATCATGAATGGAGCTTGCAGGAATTAGAAGTTGTTCTGGGTGAATCAGTGTGAGTGAAAGTGAAAGCCTAGGACATTACTATACACTACTGTAGGCTTTATAAACACTGTACCCCTAGGCTACACTAGATTTATAAAGTATTTTCTTTCTTCAATAGAAATTGGACAGCTTACTGTAACTTTTTTATTTTATAAACTTTTTATTTTTTTAACTCTGGACTCTTTTGTAATAATGCTTAGCTTAAAACATAAACACATTGTATAGCTGTACAAAAATATTTTCTTTATATCCTTATTCCATAAGCTTTTTTCTATTTAAACATTTTTAAGTTAAAAATTAAGACACAAACACACACATTAGCCTAGGCCTACACAGGGTCAGGATCATCAATATCACTGTCTTCCACCTCCACATCTTGTCCCCTGGAAGCTCTTCAAGGGGCAATAACAGGCATGGAGCTGTCATCTGCTATGATAACAATGCCTTCTTCTGAAATACCTCCTGAAGGACCTGCCTTCAGGTCCTTCAGGAGGCTGTTTTACAGATAATGTTTTATTTTAGAAGCAAAAGCAGTACACTCTAAAATAATAATAATAAAAAGTATAGTAAATACGTAGACCACTAACATAGTTGTTTATTACTATTATCAAGTATACTTACTATTATCACAAATATACTTACTATTATCATTATACAATTAGGTATACTGCATATAACTGGAGGTGCCATAGTTTTACAGGACTGGCAGGGCAGGTTTGTTTACACCAGCATCACCACAAACACATGAGTAATACACTGTACTACAACATTACAATAACTACAGCCTCTCTAGGAGTTTTTCAGCTCCATTATAACCCTATTGGACCACCATTTATATGCAGTTCTAACGCTGACTGAAAGATGATTATGCAGTGCCTGACTGTAGCTACCATACAAATGTGACAGGAAGAGTAACTTAGCTCATACACAATTACATACATACTTATTTTTTAAGAGACGGAATCTCGTTTCTGTCACCCAGGCTAAAGTGCAGTGGCACAATCACGGTTCACTGCAGCCTCAACCTCCTGGGCTCAACTGATCCTCCTACTCCAGCCTCCCAAGTAGCTGGGACTACAGGAACACGCCACCGTGTCCAGCTAATTGTTGTATTGTTTGTAGAAACAACGTCTCACTATGTTGGCCAAGCTGGTCTGGAACTCCTGGCCTCAAGCAAAGATACACACTTTCTTTTGACAGCCACAAACAATTAATTATCAATATAAATGTCAATATGACACACTGAAATTGCTTTTCAGAAAAGGTTATCCAAATTTAATTTTGTCAAAGAAAAAAACCTGCTCTACTGGCCAGAAAGTACTGAGTTCAGTCTAATGAAATGAGTAGAATAGGTACACAAACTACATAGGGAACTTTGAGGGCTGTTTCCATCTGGAAATGTGCATCATGTACACATTACTCCACATGCAACCAGTCATCCTTTAACCACTTTCAAAACACCAGCCATAACACAATCTGAAAAAGAATAATAGTATGCATATTTTTTAAAAGAATACAATTATTGGAAGAGCTTTGGGAAATGAATGCAGCCCTACTGTGGAGGTCAAATTCATACGTAGTAATAAAATGAAAACAAATCTGACATACTGAACACTTGTCATGTGGCTCTCACTGAAAGGGTAAGCAGAATTTTCAAAGCAGGATAGAAACTGGAGTTCAGTGGAAAGTACAGACGCTTGACTACCTTTCTTTATGGGGAACAGAAACATTCTATTAGCCCCCTGCTGCTTTGGCCAAGTTAAGCTCAGCCTCCCCTGCCATTCATCCAAGACAGGGAACCGATGTCTTGATGCTGGTTAACAGATAATTCAAACACGCACACACACTTCATCGCTATAAGAGGTACCTCTATGTGGTTGTCAGCCTTTAGCAATATCAACTCAACAGGCCCACAAGCTTTTTACAAAATAAACATAAATTAATTGGGAGACAAAGATGGAGGGATAGGAGGGGGCATTCTTAAAAAGATGGAAAGTCAATTGCATTAGTGGTCACAAAAGAACCAGGGGTGTTTTTGTTTGGCAGTGGAGCAGC
Source organism: Homo sapiens (assembly GCF_000001405.40). Taxonomy (NCBI): domain Eukaryota; kingdom Metazoa; phylum Chordata; class Mammalia; order Primates; family Hominidae; genus Homo; species Homo sapiens. The sequence continues at coordinate 63,836,720 of NC_000001.11, read as the reverse complement.
TACATGCAGAATGTTAACCTCTTTAAATAAGGCATTGGTGATTTTAAGAAATTAATTTTAGGTCTGATTAGTGCCAAGTGCAGAATTTCTGCAAGAAGAAGTCATGGAGTAGAGAAAAATCTACAGTGTCTGTTCCTCTTTCTGTTTATAACCTCTGGACTTTAGTATCGTCTCTTGGGCTACCTGCAGAGGCCTTTTTATACTCATCAACTCAGAATTCCCCCCTGCTAATTATGAAATCTTAAGAAACTGGGTATAGGAAAACACAACTTTTGGTCATAACTTTTTGTTCCTATTTATTAATATATCCTAACTCACTTGGCATTCCACATCTATAGACACTATTTATGGTTCGTAAATTTAGTTTTTCCACTGGTTCAGATAAACAGGTCCTAAAAATGATTTAAGATGTGCTTTTTTCTACAAAGTCTCAAAAGCCATCAGACACTACAATGAGTGTGAATCATGGACGGACTATGGTGTTGAGGCTTAGGGCTTGGACTCTGGAATCAGGCAAACCTGGATTCAAATCCTGACTTTGTATGTCAAGTTGTGTAACTTTGAGCAAGTTCTTTAAGTTCAAAATGGTCCTGACCCCAGTGGGGCTATTGGGAGGAAGGAATGCAATAGTTTACAAAAAGCAAGCAGCAAATCTGAAAATCTACCTCTTGGGGCTACCTAAGGAACAATGTTTTCAAATTATAAAATCTCTGCTGGGAGACAATAGAATCAAGAAGAAAGAGAGTGTTTTCACTTTAGTCACTACACAAATTAAAGTTTCTGTGGGGCTAGTGTCAGCTTTACTTTAACCTAAATGTGTGACGTATTAACCACTCCCAAGCTCCATTTCCTCTAAAAGGAGACGGTTGTCTCAATGAAGCTCTATCAAGATCTGAATACTTGCAAAAATGAAATCCACATTACTGTGTGCACCCTATATTGTCCAACAACACAAGTGCCTTTTAACAATGAGATCATATTCTCTTTCTATCTACTTCTCCCATACTTTAGTATATTTTACTGCACTATGAGCTTCTCAAAAGGAAGGACAATGTCTTGCCTGTTGTTTCTACCCATAGTGCTTCTAACAGTATCTGGCACACGACTGATGACCGATGAATAAATGAGTGACTGAATCATCTCAGTATCCTCCCCAAAGGCACATAAATTTTGCACACAGTAGGTATCAAAATACGTTTGTTGGAAAAATGGATTTTAGCAAAACTGGGAGTGCCTTTATAGGTAGGGACTTCCTCTTACTCATCTCTGCAGCCCCTGGGCCTGGGCAGAACCTGGCACAAAAAGAAAGGAGGATCATCTAATCTTTTTGCTCTGGAGACATGCTGGCAATTGACCTACTCAAAAAGTAATTGGTAAGGTGTGTGTGGATTCCAGTTCCAGAAGGCTTTCTCTGTGTCTGGCACTGTACCAGATGGTTTGCATGATGTTTTCTTAACAGCTCTGAAAGGGATGAGTGACATCATTTTAAAATGAGTGAGCAAGGGCTCAGAGAGATTAAGTCACTTGCCCAAAATCACAAAGCTGATAAATAACAGAGCTGAGATTTAAAACCAGGCTTCTGGAACCTGTGCTTTTTCCATTATGGGAGGTTAAGAAAGAAGGGAAAGCACCAAAATAGATGGGACCACCTTATTTGAAGCTGTGTGACTTTAGGGGAGGATGGAGGAGGCAGCAACAGGTAAATAGGGCTCAAGGAGTGAGGTTGACCAGTGGGGCCAACCGCCCCAGCCAATTATTGATCCATGAGCCTGCCACCTGCAGCCATGAACAGCAGGTCTAGAAGAATGTTGATTAGAGCCATTTCCCAAGCAGAATTGATCAGGTAGTGGCTGGCGGTAATGGCAGTGCAGACCAATTCCTTCTGGTCATTATATACAAGTTCAGGCGAGCCCAACGACATGCCTTGGGCCCAGATCTTGGAACAGTAGTCCACTTGCCATCTTGGAACCAATGCACAAAGCACAAGAGCTCCCACATGGAAAGACTAACCACATTTTCCAGACTGAGTGCTAGAAGAGGAGGAGGCCTGAATACTTTGTCTCAGAGGAAGAAATGTAATAACTCTTGGTTTTGGAAAAATCCATTTTAAGAGTAAGCCTAAGTCCCATGTGCTCATCATAGAAACAAAAAGAGATAACATTAATTGTCAAAGCATCAGAACAGAAGAGCTGCCATTTTTTAAAAATGCTATTTTATAGTTTTGCTAAGATTCAGCATGTAAACAGCAGTACCCCTCCTATGACTACAGGGAAAACTAATTTAATAAAATCAAATATGTTTGAACATCTTCTGTTTTTAACAGTAACATCAACTAGAAACCTGGAATCTTATACATCCGTATACAGGCAAGATAAAACACTCAGTATAATTACTTTTTAATTCATCTAAGGGTACAAAAGTAATTCTTCTAGAGACACCACACTAGACTCTCTAGTTTGCAGGCTCAGAGTAACCCACTTTAAATATCTGAAGCAGATCCTGCCATCCCTCAGCTCAAATGCCCCATGCTTCCGGAGGCTTCTCCATCTCAGCTCCACCGAGAGGGTCTAAGCCCAGGGTAACATCTTTCTTACTACAAGAGCTTAACAGCCTGCTTAGATGGAGAGGACAAAAGCTACACAGGATGTTAGAGAGAAAGCAATGCCAGGTCAGTAACTAACTGAGCTTTTTCCCTGAGTTGGAAACAAACAAACAAAAAAAAAAAAAAAAGAAGAAGAAGAAAAGTCAAAAAAAAGCCCTCGAGACGGAAAGCATTGATGTAATTTCACTATTCCTAAGCATGCCAGAAGCCATAAATATTTGTAAAGCATAGTCTTTATATTTGCAACATTCAAGGGCATAACTAGAAAAAAAACCAGTGCGTAAATATGCACATGTGCTAACTATTCTCTTAGATCACCCAAAAGAAAAAAAAACGCAAGCAGGCAAGCAGAAGTCCAAATACTGCTGGAAAAGTTTGGGTTGTTTCTGTCTGAAATTTACTCTGATCAGCAGAATCTGTCTTTGCACACTACCTTGAAGGAAAAAAAAAAATGAAAAGGAACTTTATAGATAGAACCTCCAAACCCGTGCTTGACTCTTCTCTGTCCTCTCCCCTCCCAGAGCAGCCAATCAGAGCTTGGAGAACACATCACCCCCAGGGACTATTCTGAGGCTCGTCCCCGAGCTAGCCAGAACCCTGGGCCCTGGGAGCTTCCCCTTGTCACCCTGAAGACCCACAAAACAAAGCAATCCTTCTTCCAAGATGGCCCTCTAACTATTTAAAGATCATTCTCATGTCTTCTCCTTTTCTGGCTTGCTCTTTTCTGGACATACCTGGTTTGTCACTGTTAATACCCCAAGGGTGGTCTGACCAGCACACACTTAGAAAAGATAAAAGCACCAAAACCCTTCCACTCAGGCAGTCCATTTCACTTAACACTACTAATCAAAGCAGCTAAACATTGTAACTAGGGATCCCTGCCCCAACCCACAATTGTACTTAAGTGGATTAATATTAATAATAAAACAGCTACCTGTTACTGAGTGTCTGCTGTCTGCCAGGAATTGTGTTAGACAGAGTCAGTTCTGCTATAACACAACATATGAGTTCTGAGAAATCACCACACTATGCAAAATTGTGCAGTAAAAACAGCAGAGTTTATGGGAAAACAAGATTGGAACACACTACTACTTTCTTGTGGAAATGGGCATTGTAAGGGTTACAGCTTATGGGTTATTGTGAAGTGGTGGGTGGGGGGCTGGTTATCAGAAAATGGACAGAAAGTTGTAATGGCAGATGTGGATGAGTGTAACTCGAGTGTAACTCAACACACCTGGTGAACTGAGGAGCTGGTAGATGTTTCAGGTGTGTGTGTTTGTATATTGCCATGCATCTCACTTTAGCTGAGTGCCGTCTTCTGAGTCCACCTAGTACTTTTCGTGGATAAAACTGACTATGTAAGTAAACATAAAATTTGCATTATTCTCAAATTTTTCTGAATACATCAATCAGCTTTGAAAAAATGTGTGTGTTTTCAAAACAACTGTTATAGCAGCACTGACTGTGCTTTATCTCATTGAATCCTAGCAACACTGAAAAATCAGTAGTACTAATTCCATGTTCCAGAAAAGGAAACAGAGGTTCAGGGAAGTTAAGTGATTCCCAAAGCCACATCACTGGTTGATACGGTTTGGCTCTGTGTCCCCACCCAAATCTCATCTCGAATTGTAATCCCCACATGTCAAGGGAGGAGACTGCTTCTCCTTCACCTTCCACCATAATTGTAAGTTTCCTGAGGCCTCCCCACCCATGCAGAACTGTGAGTCAATTAAACCTCTTTTGCTTATACATTACCCAGTCTCAGGCAGTTCTTTATAACAGTGTGAAAACAGACTAACACAGAAAATTGGTCCTGATAGAAGTGGGGCATTGCTATAGAGATATCTGAAAATGTGGAAGTGATTTAGGAACTGGGTAACGGGCAGAGAATAAAAAAATTTGAAGGGCTCAGAAGAAGACAGGAAGATGTGGGAAAGTTTGGAACTTCCTAGAGACTTGTTTAATGATTTTTACCAAAATGCTCATTGTGATATGGACAATGAGGTCCAGTCTGAGGTGGTCTCAGGTGGAAATGAGGAACTTATTATGAACTGGAGCAAAGGTCACTCTTCCTATGCTTTAGCAAAGAGACCGGTGGCATTTTGCCCCTGCTCTAGAGATCTGTGTAACCTTAAACTTGAGAGAGATGGTTTGGATATCTGGCAGAAGAAATTTCCAAGCAGCAAAGCATTCAAGATGTGACCTGGCTTTTTCTGAAAGCATACAGTCATAGACATTCACAGACAGATGGTCTGAAATTGGGATTTATGTTTAAAAGGGAAGCAGAGTAGAAAAGTTTAGAACACCTGTAGCCTGACCATGTTGTAGAAAAGAAAAATCTATTTTCTGGGGAGAAATTCAAGCTACCAGCTGCAGAAATTTGCATAAATAAAGAGAAGCTGAATGTTGATAGCCAAGACAATGGGGAAAATGTCTCCAGGGCAATTCAGAGATCTTCATGGCAGCCCCTCCCATCACAGGCCCAGAGGCCTAGAAGGGAAAACTGGTTTTGTGGGCCAGGGGTCCCTCCTGCACTCCCTGTTCTGTGCAGCCTCAGGACATGGCACCTTGAGTCTCAGCCACTCCAGTTCCAGCCATGGCTAAAAGGGGCCAAAGTACAGCTCAGGCATTGCTTCAGAGGGTGGGAGCCCCAAGCCTTGGCAGCTTCCACCTGGTGTTGGGCCTGCGAGTGCACATAAGACAAAAGTTGAGCTTCAGAAGCCTTTGCCTAGATTTCAGAGGATCTATGGAAATGTCTGGATGTCCAGGAAGACGTCTGCTGCAGGAGTGGAGTCCTCATGGAGAACCTCTACTAGGGCAGGCAGAGGGGGAAAATGGAGTTGGAGCCCCCACACAGAGTCCCCACTGGGAAACTGCCTAGTAGAGCTGAGAGAAGAGGGCCACCAGCCTCTAGATCCCAGAATGGTAGATCCACTGGTAGCTTGCACTGTGCACCTGGAAAAGGTGCAGGCACTCAATGCCAGCCCATGAAAGCAGCTGTGTGTCAGGGGTGCTGTATCCTGCAGAGCCATAGGGGCAGAGCTTCCCAAGGCCTTGGGAGCCCACCTCTTGCATCAGCATGCCCTGGATGTGAGACATAGAGTCAAAGGAGATTATTTTGGAGCTTTAAGATTTAATGGCTGCCCTGCTGCGTTTTGGACTTGGTGCAGGGCCTGCAGCCCCTTTGTTTTGACCAATTTCTCCTATTCGGAATGGGAACATTTACCAAATTCCTGTATCCCCATTGTATCTTGGAAGTAATTAACTTGCTTGTGATTTTACAGGCTCATAGGTGGAAAGAACTTGCCTTGTCTCAGATGAGACTTTGGACTTGGACTTTTGGGTTAATGCTGGAATGAGTTAAGACTTTGGGGGACTGTTGGGAAGGCACGATTAGCTTTTAAATGTGAAAAAGACATGAGCTTTGAAAGGGGCCAGGAGTAAAATGATATGGTTTGGTTCTGTGTCCCCACCCAAATCTCATCCCAAATTGTAATCCCCACATGTCAAGGGAGGGACCTGGTGGGAGGTGATTGGATCATGGGGGTGCTTTCCCCCATGCTGTTCTCACGATAGTGGTTGTTTTAAACCAACAAGATCTGATGGTTTAAAAGTGGCACTTCTCTCTTAGCACTCTCTCTCTCCTCCTCTGCCATGTAAGACATGCCTCGCTTCCCCTTCACCTTCTGCCATGATTTTAAGTTTCCTGAGACCCCCCAGCCATGCAGAAGTCTGAGTCAATTAAACCTCTTTTGTGTTTATAAATTACCCAGTCTCGGGTAGTTCTTTATAGCAGTGTAAGGTGCAAAGCAAGAATATGGCCAAGGTCTACCCAGCCTCTTCTCCACCACCTTATGCCCTATTGTTACCACTTTCTTTTACTTTGGCAACCAGTGCTGGGTAGGAGGTACTGTGACACTCTCTGGGACTTAAAAGCAGATTCAAAACTGCTCTGACTCCTCCACTCCTGCTTTAATTGTCTGCCCCACAGTGGCGTAAAAGTTAATGCAAACATATATGTCTCTAGCGTTACCCATGTCCCTTCCCTCAAGTATGAGCTACGGCCTCAAAGATAATTAAGTTTTTATGAAGGTTTTTTTTTTTGGCCTCATTGCTATGATATTCACCAGTCAGATTCAAACAGAATTTAAGCTAATTTCATGGAGCTTAAGGATTTACTTTCTGGAAGGCCCTTTCACTGTTTTCACAACCTCCCTTCCTGGGAGCTTGTGTTCAAGTTCCTTGGCGAGGAAATAAGCTGTCTTACTCCATAAAATGACTGTTGAAAATGAAAGTCAGACCAAGTCACTCCTTTCTTGGAAGACTTCCATGGCTCCACACTGTCCTTAGGATCAAGTCCAAGCTCCCCAGCATGGCCTGCAAAGCGCTCCTTGATCTGTCCCCAGACTATATCACGAGCCACATCCCTATCCACTTATCTGTCCCCACACTGGATATTCCAGAAAGATTGAATTACTTTCAGTTCCACCAGTACTCTATGGTTCTGCACTTCCAGACTCTGTACATTATTCCTCCTACCTGCAATACTCTCCATGCCATCAATTACATCACACTCCCTTCGCCTGTTGAATGCCCATTCCATCCCCAGATCTCAGCTTCTATGTTCCTTCCTCCTGGAAGCCTTCCAGGGTCCTGTCCCCACATCTGAATTAGGAATCCCTCGTGACGGTGCTCCCATAGCACGCTGCACATTCCCTATCACACTATCCCTATCACCCGCATTCCCACTTTGGTGAAATTACTTATTTGTCCAATTATTAAGCTCTGTGAAGGCAGGAACTGCATCTGGTTGATTAAATGAATAAATAAGTGAATACATTTGCATAACACATAGCATAAAAGAGCTTTCATGTGCAACATCTCATCTGACCCACATATGCCATATGAAACAAATGGGGAATCAAACAAAGGATCCAAGGGAGCAAATGCATTAGCTATTACCACACAGCCAGTACGTGGCGGAACATCCAAGTAAATTATAGCAACTATGTTCTAGGCACTAGGTATACAGCAATAACCAAATCAGACAGAAACACCTGTCCTGGTGGAGCTCACATTCCCAAATAAATAAGTCAATATATCAGTACATCAATATATCAGTTTATCAGATGGCGATGATATGATGGAAAAATAAAGAAAGAAAGGAAGGAGATAGTTAGGGCCTCACTGAGATGGTATAATCTGAACAAAGACCCAGAAGAGGAGAGGGAGTGATCCCTGCTGGTCTGTGGTCTCCAAAGTGCTGAAGCAGGAGTAGCCTGGCAAGTTCAAGGAGGAGCAGCAAGGACAGGACAGCTGGAGAGGAACAGCTGCATCTTGGAGAGGAGAATAGTAGCTAATATTTCCTGAACACCTACTATGTGCCAGGGGAATAGAGTAAAAAACCAGAAAGACAAATTCTGTTTTTACAGACCTTACAATCTAGTTGCTTAGGTTTAAATATGCTGGAATCAAATAACATGCTCTGAAATAAACCATGCATGTAAAGGTCAGTTCACTCCTTAGCCTATCAGGAGGATGTTGATCAACTGAAAACTGCTTTGCAAACCTTCTACTAAATGAAAAAACAGGTAGTGAAAGTTGCCCCCATCAGTAATTTTTGTGTTGGCCTCCCAGGGATGAACAAGAAGTCATCCTCTATATATAAACAGTGACAGCTGCCACATCACAGGGGTTTATGAACTGTGGCTTTCTGATCAAATGTATGAAATTAACAGAAAAATGTTTTAAAACATATTATTGCTAGGGAAATTACATAATAAAGACAAAAGCCCTATTACTTAAAGTAATGAAAACAAAAATAAGGATTTATAAGCTTCCCAGCTCTGACCTAAATTTGCTATGCATTATTTTTCTACATCTCTTTCTACTTTAGAAAAACCGCTACTAATTGCATTCACATTACACAGTATCAACCAAACCTGGATTTGGGTTTCCTCCAAGACCACCAACAGGCTCAAGTTACTGCAAGTTTATTAAGTGGAATTTTTTTTCTCTTTTGTACAAAAACTAGAATGCTGTTACCTTTTGGGGTGGCTTAGCAGATAAATGCTTGATGTGTAACATTTTAAGAAAATCCTGAACATATAAATAAGGGGAATATGCACATTCTCTTAACTTGCAAAATAATACAGGATTTTTTAAAGCCTACAGTTTATTGGTGGCTGGGAGCCTGAAGCTAATGAGAAAAACATTTACAAGTTTGGTTTCCACAATTTTATTCTGTGTTCTCTAGGTGCAGATGCTCCTGGCTGTACTCTAGGAAAACCTGGAACTTGGCTGGAAATGGAGAACACAAGCAATTGGAAACCAGTTCAGTTTCACCCAGTTTAAATTTCCCTGCAGTGAGTAGGGCACCAGCTCTCCCCTCGGAAGCCAAACGTGAAAACTTACTATTTTCATGGCAATATCCAGCCTCGGTCTTCCTTTAATAGGCTGTCCTCTCATACTTCAGAACAAGAAACCTAGATAGTTTCCTGGTGATTAAATCATCCAAATTGTGTGTCATCAACGCCTTGGCAAGTGTTGAGGCCAAGCAGAATGCTTCCAGTTTACAGAACAAATTCCATCCAACCCCTTGTCAGCATTGCCATCTCCCCTGAGTCCCCTCCAATTTCTTACCTTCTTCTTTGTATTGATTACCTCAGAACCCCACCCACAGTTCTTACTGACTTCCCACCAGCAAAAGAAAGGGAGTGGGGTGAGGTTGGGACAGGGGTGTAAATAAACAGCACCTGTAGGCAAAGGTTTCATGACAAAGGCACCAAAAGCAATTGCAACAAAGCAAAAATTGACAAATGGGGTCTAATTAAACTAAAGAGCTTCTCTGCAGCAAAAGAAACTACGACAGAGTAAACAGACTACCTACAGAATGGGAGAAAATTTTCACAAACTATGCACCCAGCAAAGGTCTAATATCCAGCATCTATAAGAAACTTAAATTTACAAGAAAAAAACAACAACCCCATTAAAAAGTGGACAAAGGCCATGAACAGACACTTCTCAAAAGACATACATGCAGCCAGCAACCATTATGAAAAAAAGGATAACGGCTTCCAGCACCATCCATGTCCCTGCAAAGGACATGATCTCATTCCTTGTTATGGCTGCACAGTGTTCCATGGTGTATACGTACCAAATTTTTTTTATCCAGTCTATCATGTGGCCAATAAATGTGTGAAAAAAAGTTCAACATCACTGATCATTAGAAAAATGCAAGTCAAAACCACAGTGAGATACCATCTCACACCAGTCAGAATGGCTATTACTAAAAAGTCAAAAAATAACTGATGCTGGTGAGGTTGTGGAGAAAAAGGAATGCTTTTTCTCCACAATGTACCATTGTGAGGTTGTGGAGAAAGCATTCCTTTTTCTCCACAATGTACCATTGGTGGGAGTGTAAATTAGTTCAACCATTGTGAATCACAGTGTGGTGACTCCTCAAAGACCTAAAAATGGAAATACCATTCAATCCAGCAATCCCACTACTGGGTATGTACCCAAAGGAATAGAAATCATTCTATTATAAAGACACAGGCATGCATATATTCATTGCAACACTATCCACAATAGCAAAGACATGGAATCAACACAAATACCCATCAATGATAGACTAGATAAAGAAAATGTGGTATGTATACACCATGGAATACTATGCAGCCCTAAAAAAGAATGAGATCATGTCCTTTGCAAGTACATGGATGGAGCTGGAGGCCATTATCCTTAGCCAACTAACTCAGGAATAGAAAACCAAATATAACATGTCCTCACTTGTAAGTGGGAGCTAAATGATGTGAACACATAAACACATAGAGGGGAACAACACACTAGGGCATATAGGAAGGTGGAGGGTGGGAGGAAGGAGAGCATCGGGAAAAATAACTAATGAGTCCTAGGCTTAATACCCAGGTGATGAAATAATCTGTACAACAAACCCCCATGACACAAGTTTACCTAGGTAACAAACCTGTGCATGTACCCCTGAACTTAAAAGCTAAAAAATAAAAATAAAAATAATCAGTGCCTGGCCTCCTACTTTTAGGGAAATCAGTCTTATTCATTACTGCCACTACTATGTTTTCTATTTCTAATCCTCTATTCCCTGGAACCCAGTATTTCCTTGTATTTATTTCTGTCCTAGATCTTATAGATGAGGGAACTGAGGTCCACCCAGCTGGAGGCAGGATTGAGACCACGCTAGGTTTCTTGACAACTGGATTGGGATTCATTCCTCTGAATCATTCTTGTTTAAGTCCAATGGCTCAAATTGAACCTACTGAATATGGATTTTGGCGTAAAAGGAAATAAACACTGAATATTTCTCCCAAGTCATCCAGGATAAAGAAATAAAACATTCACATGATGGAATAATATGACACTATTAAAAATTCAGCTTTCAAAGAATATTTTTACCAGTTATATTTAGGTATAATTCACATAACATTCACCCATTTAGTGTACAGTTCAATAATTTTAGTAAATATATACAGTCGTGCAATCACCACATTCGACTTTTAAAACATTTCCGTCATCCCCAAAAGTTCTGCTGCTCCTAGAAGTGACGCTAACCATTCCCACCTTGCCTGAGGCAAACACTGATCTGCTTTCTGTCTCTAGTTTTTTGCCTTTTCTAGAAATGTAATGTACATGCAATCACACAATATGTGGTCTTTTGTGCTTAACTTCTTTCACTTAGCATAATGTTTTTGAGGTTTATCCATGTGGTAGCCTCTCTTTATTTTGCTCCTTTTAATTACTAAATAGTATTCTATTGTATAGATATACCACATTTTGTTTATCCATTCACCAGTTGATGAACATTTAGGTTGTTTCTAATTTTTGGCTATTATAAATAATGCTGCTTTGAATATCTGCATACCTATCGTTGTGTGGGCATGTGTTTTCATTTCTTTTGGATAAATACCTAGGACTGGAGCTCCTGGGTCATATGCTAAGTTTAATTTTTAAAGAAACTGCCAAATTGTTGTCCAAAGTGGCTGCACCATTTTAGATTCCTACCAGAAATGGATGAGGATTTCAGTTTCTCTACATCCTTACCAATGCTTGGTATTGTTAGTTGTTTTTTTAATCATAGCCATTCTGTGGGTATGTAGTGGTATTTTATTGTGGTTTCAGTTTATATTTGAATATTCAACAACACTGACAAATATTTACCATATATTATTAAGAGAAATAAAGCAGGATTCAACAGTGTTTGTAAAGAAAGACATTATACATACGTAAGCCCTATATATACATGAAGACTGAAAAAAGACACATCAAAATATTGACAAAGGATAGGAAAGCGTTTTTTCTTTGCTCATAACTGTAAAATTTTTATGAGTAAATATATAATAAAAGTATTTTTAGAAGCTTAAAATATTGCTAACACACTAAGAATTATGTATTGCCAGTCATTAAGAGGTAGGATACATATCCAAGCCTCAGCTAAACTCAATTCTATTATTCATTTATGAATCATCCATTGTGGGGTTGTTTGTAGCAAATTTGCAAAACCAGATTAGCTCCTCAAAGCCTCAAAGCATGCTTCTGAGACCCTACCCCAGGGATCAGCAAACTGCAAACCCCAGGCCAAATCCAGCTCACTGTCTATTTTTGTATGGCCTACAAACTTAAGAATGGTTTTTAAATTTTTAAGTGACTGGGGGAAAAAAAAAGACAAATAATATTTTGTGACAAATGAAAGCTGTATGAAATTTAAATTTTATTTCTATATATAAATTTTCATTGGAACAAAGCCATGCTCATTTGTTTACAAATTATCTATGGCTGCTTTCCTGCTTTTAGAGCAGAGTGGAATAGTTGCAACAGAGTCTATATGGCCTGCAAAGCCTGAAATCTTTACTATCCAGACTTTTACAGAAAACATTTGTTGATTTCTGTCTACCCAACCCTGCTGGGTGCACAGAAAAGACAAGATCAGTTCCATTACCCAAAGGAAAACTCATTAGGAGAAAAAAAACTTTTTGGATTAGTTGCTCATTGTATTAATTCATATTAATATGTCTTTTCTTAAAAGGTAAGATTTGGGGCTGGGCACGGTAGCTCACGCCTGTAATTCCAATACTTTGGGAGGCCGAGGTGGGTGGATCACCTGAGGTCAGGAGTTCAAGACCAGCCTGGCCAACATGGTGAAACCCCATCTCTACTAAAAATACAAAAATGAACCAGGAGTGGTGGCTCATGCCTGTAATCTCAGCTACTAGAGAGGCTGAGACAGGAGAATGGCTTGAACCCGGGAGGCAGAGGTTGCAGTAAGCCGGGATTGCACCCTGGGCGACAGATCGAGACTTCGTCTCAAAAAAAAAAAAAAGTTTAAGATTTTGACTGGGTGTGGGGGCTCATGCCTGTAATTCCAACACTTTGGGAGGCTGAGGTGAGAGAATTCCTTGAAGCCAGGAGTTCAGGACCAGCCTGTGCAACATAGCAAGACCCCCTTATCTCCACAAAAAATAAAACAATTAGCTGGGTGTGGTGGCACGGACTCCTAGTCCCAGATACTCAGGAAGCTGAGGCAGGAAGATCACTTGGGCCCAGAAGTCTGAGGTTACAACGAGCTATGATAGCACCACTGCAATCCAGCCTGGATGGCAGAGTGAGACCCTATCTCAAAAAAAAAAAAAAAAAAAAAAGTAATGTCTGTAGTTAGCAGCAATATCAAAAAAACTTTCAAAGCGCTATCTTAAATTATAAACCTTGTATCTATTAGGTCCTCCATACTCATTGAATGAATCAACATATAAATCGATGGATGGATGGGTGAGTGGGTAGATGAATGAGTGGGTGGATGGGAGGATTCAACATTTACTGGGGCTAACTGTGGACAAATTCCATAGCAAGTCCCATCATGGATTGGGAGGGACCAAGGAAAGAAGATCTGTCCTCGAGTCTCTGAGTAAGAAAATGGATATAAACCAGTAACTTGCAAAAGAAGAAATACAAATGACAAAAAATATTTTAAAAGATTTTTAACATCACCAGTAATCAAAAGTATATTAACTTAAATAACAATAATATTCCCTTTTTTAACCCAGAAAGTTGTTTTTTTTTTAAATGACAATACATGGCATCAGTTATGTGTAAACAAAAAAACCACTTTATTTCCACAGAACACAGAGAGGGGAATACATTTCTGTAACCTTTATGGTAGCCACAATGATTGTGTAGATCAAAAGACTTTTACCTTTGACTCAATAATTCCACTTCAAAGGGTTATTGCCAAGAAAATAATCATGGATATGCACAAAAATTAACAGATAATCATAGCATTGTTTATACTAATGAAACAGAGAGAGGAGTAATGCCCAACAATTCAACAATAGGGATTAAGAAAACTATGATGCAATCACACACAATGCTAAATTGTGTGATTAAAAATTGATGATTTGAGAACAGTGTATTTTGATATGGAAAGCTGTTCACAATAACACTGATAAGTGGGAGGAAAGCAAGTTATAAAATCAACTTGCAAGAGAATTAAACTCATTTTTTAAAATCAGGTATTTACATGGAAAAAGTTTCTAATGATATAAGCTTAAATTAAAATAATTATTGTCTCAATTATTTTTCTTTTTACATCTTTGCTCTTTTCTCATTTTCTACAACAAACACATCACATGTTTACCTTTTTAAATAATAAAAAGAATTAAAGATATCCTAATAAAATTGAGGACTTCTGGATGCTCATATAAGTAGAATAAAGGAATAAAATCATTCATTAATTAATAATTAGTTGATTAATTAATGCAAGCAAACTAGGTTGTAAGCTGTTATGGGCAGAGACATACTCACTTGTTCAACAAATATCTATTTCGCATCCACTATGTGCCAGACACTGTTACATATACCACAGTTTCATCAGAAAACAAAATAGGCAAATCGCTGCCTTCATGGAGATTCCATTCTAGTGTTTCACATGTCTCATAATCTCTGAACCCCCACATCAGCAAGCACAGTGCTGGGCACGTGGGACAGTCCTACATTCAAAATTAATGTTGGTTAATTTCTTAACAAAAGGATTCATCACGGCAAGCTTCCCAGTACATTTACTAAATGCTTTTATCATCACAAGAAAATGTCTGCACCAAATATGGCTTTTCATGAAGCTGTCCAGTGTGCAAAGTAGAGCAAACCTGGAATACCAAAATCCCATATGAGAACACAGGTTTCTGGGGCAATTGTGACTCACTCCCCAGCCACTTGAGGAGAAGGGGGAGCTGTCAGATAATATTTCATGAATAGCTGGGCTTAAGTCACTTGAACCAGCTGGGACTTTTCTTAAGCTACATTTTCCTCCGGCCAAAATATCCTCACGGCTGAAGCTGCCTGTTCAGTATCATGCCACAGAGAAATGGGTCTTTCTGTTTTCCTCATAACTGCAAACGCTGCTTCTTTTTCAGGTTAGGGAAACCCACGGACCTGGTATTCAGCTTATGTAATAACTGGCTCCCTGCTGAGGTAAGCCACTAAGAGACCTGCACTCAATTTCAGAAGACAGATTTTTCTCCTTTTGGGCCAAAGTTGTTCATAAAGTATTGACTCCAAATAAGTACACACGGGTGCTCTCAGTTTCCCAGAAGTCCTGAATCACTAACACATCAACTCACTATGATTTTCTTCCAAATGCAGCAGTGAAAAGTGTTGGCAGTTTCCAATGGATACCAAATGCTATCAACCATCAACAATTGTAAGGGTCTTTGAAATTAAAACCACAAATGCCATCGCAGGACTGTCAGGGAGAAGTCATTGAAAACCGAAGAGGAAGGCAAGGTGGTGGACTCATTCTGTGTTCAAATTTCACCATCAGAACTTCCTCTGTGGGTGAAACTGGGGTCAAGGAACCTGACTTTCTGAAGCTCATCAATGAAATAAGGATAAGGACAGCATGGTTAAATGTGAGAATTATGCAGAGCACCTTGCTTTAATCTAGGTACAATGTGAACACTTAATTCACGGTAGTTCTAGTGCTTCCTCCCCCCAGCATAATCTTGAGAATAAAAAGGGCTGTGTGGATGCAAAGTGAACACAAAAAATCTTTCCCTTTTCCTTGCTCCCAGAGGCTCCTTATAGAGCATTAACAAGCACAGCTTGTTACAAGAGAAGCCTGTAACAGAGATAGCATATTCCACCACAATTGCTGGAAGGGCTTACATGTCAGAGATTTGAATTCAAGTCCCATCTCTGCCACTTCCTAGCTGTACCACCTCACACAGGTTATTGAACTTCTCCATTCCTCATCTGTTTCTCCATCTGCACAATAGCAATAAAAACAATACTTATCTCTAAGGCTTGTTATAAGGATGATGTGAGAAAAAGACTTATAAAGTCCTAACACTATCACTACACAACCACTCCAGGCAGAGGATGCATACAGAACCTTACCTGACCTTTGAATTTTACTGTCAACCCTTAGTATGTTCATTCTTTTATCCACATCTTCCCCAAGGCCATGAAAGAACTAATTCCAGCTAAACTCAAAATTCACATCAAACCTGAATCTGCATATAGCAGAAATGACTGCAAGGTAGCAGAGAAAAAAAAGAAGGCAAAATTCACTCTTTTCAGGTGCTAGACTAGGATTTCAGTTCTACTGGGGCATTTTCCTTCTCCTAATCTCCCAACAGTCCTCCATAAACTAAAAGCAAAACAAAACAAACAATGAAAGCCTTCTACAGTGCAATCACAACTTCAGTTTCCAAAATCCACCTTACTGAACACTGTTCTTTGTGGCCTGCAGCAGTACAGGGGGGTAGATTTCATGAAACAACCAAACAAGTGTGTAGAAAATGCAGCCAGATTGCAGGGCTTGCAGGGGGACAGGGAGAGCCACCAATGACGTGCCCTGTGGAGATCACTAAAACATTACAATGGCTTCAAATGTGTCACCCAGCTTAGCAATTCCACCCTTGGTTCTTGCCAACTTGAGCTTCAACCAAAATGATATCTGATATTTTGATATCTTATCAATGACATTTTACTGAACAATTTGGAACTTTTGGCTCAAAAAGTTAACCACCTTTGCCTTATTAAAAGAAAGAAGAGTTTTGGGTTTCAACCATGCTTCTTGATGCCTGCATAGTGTTCCATGGTGATATTTGTAAAATACTTTCAGAACTGGACCATTTTACGCATCCAAATCCTACTCAGGTTTCAAGGTGTACCTCAGTTTCCCCATTTCCTACTTCTAAGAGATATCTTTTATCGCCAAGTACTATGAACTACTGTTAGGAGATTTACATACATTATGTAAACTTTATCCTTACAATAAGACTATGATGTAGGTATTAATAATCCCACTTTATGATGAAACTTAATGACCAAAGAGGCTAATTTATACAGCTACTGATGGACAGTGCTGGTATTCGAAGGAAACTTTAAGTTCCAGGCAATTTTTATTCCTCCAATCAACTATTTCAACCAACAGGTATTTTTCTTCTCTCTACTGCCTTTCTCTAGCAATTCCTATCTATGCCATGTCCTCAGTTTTCAGCAGCATCCTCTTCATGGGCTCCTGAGGAATATTACATTTTCTAATGGAAAGAACTCTATCCATACCTTTTTTCCATCTCCCTCACAATAATAACTGCTGCAGGGATGCCAAGAGTTTAAGAAGCTTATGTGACTTGCTCAAGATCACACTCAACAAGGAAGCAGGTTCAAGCATAAACACATCAAAAAGCACCCATTCTTTTTCAAGTTTCATCCCTTACAAAAGGTATGCACCTGCCCTCATAAGTCAGTGCCTGCAGAAACCATCTTCTTCCCCAGGAAGAAAAGATGTCACTTGTATAGGTCTAAGGAGGCCATAGATGATCCTACCATGAAAAGAAAACAACATTAACCAACTGATAAACCAAAGGTAAGTGTTTGGATTTTCTTCTAAGCTGGAGAAGAAGATGTGAATCAGTCATGAGAAATTCCGAAAGCCACAGAAACTTTCTATGACACTCTGGGGAGAGCAGAACATCTCCCCACCCCCTGGAAACTGTCTGACAAGGATCCTCAGAGGAATGAGGTCTAGTCCCAGAGAATCTTTACAAGGTTCTGGTAGCCTTCAATTTCCAGGGCTTTAGCAATTTTTCCTTATTAGTAGTAACCTTCTAGGGCCTCCCACTGAGACCCTGGAACAAAAATATAGGGAAGCATAATTTGAAATGCAGAGAAATCACACCATAGTCTCTACACACCAGTCTCAAATCCCAGCTCAGAAATCAACCTCTCTAGGCTGTTTGCTCATCTGTAAATTAGGAATGTTGAAATGATCAATGAGATAAGGTTACTAAGCAGTCAGCATCATGCCTGGTGCATAGAAGACAGTAATAATAGGTTATACCTTATGTATTCACCATCAGCCTCATTATAATTATTTCTGTCAGATCCTTTAAACAACAGACCTAGGGGAGGGGAAAAATGCCCATTTTGGGCTCTACCTAAACATAAGAACAATTTTCTCTTTTTCCTAAAAAAAAGATTGTTCTAAGCACTGTACTTTCCCTCTGGTTTTGTGAATTACTTCCCATCAGGCCATTGCCATCAATCAAAGGAACAGAAGGGCAGAGAGAAAAGATGTTCTAACAAATATAAATAGATCTTAGAGGTTAGATGGAGAAACAAGTGATAAAGTAAATAGAATAAAACAGCAATAGTAGAATGTAGGTGGTGTTCAACTTTTCAATCTGTCTGACATTTTTCATGATACAATATTTGTAGGAAAAAAATACATTTCTATGCTCATTCTACCAAAGAGCCAACACTGAAGGGCCTCTGCGAAAGAAAAACAGAGCTAATCTGGTAAGAAGCCCCTAGAAATAATTTCCCAAGATTCATGTTAGGCAAATTTTCAAGCTTTTTTGAAAACTCAGATCCTTTCCTTCCCCAGGCCCTTATTAGGGTATATGAGAAGAGTAAGAATCTTTCCAAGGAACAGAACTGGGTTCTAACCCCAGCTCAGATACTCACTGGCTACAGATACTTTAATCTTTTTGCATCTCAGTATTCTCATCCTCAAAACAGCAATAATAATACGTATCTCACAGGGTTACTGTAAAGGCTGAATATGCATATGTAAAGTGCCTCACTGATAACAGAGCCTCTGTAAATGCCCACCATTATAACATTTCAGTTACTACAGTGGGTTCCGTAGAGACACTCTGCATTTCTCTATGGGCTTCAGAGGTGGGCTTCTCCCATGAGCCGTACTGCCAAGAGGGAGGAATGCAGAAGAAGCACGAGGCTTAAACCAGGGTATCCCACAAACCAGCCAGCCCTGGCCTCCAAAACTCTCCCAGAGTCTAGAGCAAAATAACCCAAACAAATGAAATTGAGACAAGAAATCGGAATTCTGCCCTCCCTTTAACCCTTCTCGAGTGAGTCCCAGTAACTGCACTTTGATTTTGATTAGAAAGCTCGTTGTGCTTCCCTGCACCCTTGCAGCCCCCAAAGCCCCATCCTAAACAGGGATGGCCTCTTATTAAAGACAATCGTGCTTTAATCTATGTACCAGAGCATGCTAATGATACTGTACTGAGTTTTGGTCTTCTGCCAAAGAGCAAACAGTGCCAACATTTTGTAGACTTCCAACAGGAAATTAAATAACTGCCCTGCTGGAAATATGAACCAATTTATGGTGGTCAAACTTGAATCTTCC
This sequence comes from Homo sapiens, assembly GCF_000001405.40. NCBI lineage: Eukaryota > Metazoa > Chordata > Mammalia > Primates > Hominidae > Homo > Homo sapiens. Next base: position 63,817,431 of record NC_000001.11, on the reverse strand, counting down.
AAAACACTGGCATGGTTTATGCACATCAAGCACAAACGTTTGAGGAAGGAGATGAGGAAAATTTTAAGTTAAAGCTCAACAAAGTCTTCAAGAGAGGCTTTGAAAATAGTCCTTTCTCTCCCTCTGCCCCGGCTATACCCTTCTTGTAGATAAGAGACCACGGGGCGTTGACATCATGCTGCCCTGGGAAATATTAACTGCTGAAACCTCAGGCAGGGCAGCATTACAGCCACAAATTCAAAAGCACAAGCAGGCAGGAAATGCAAAACTCCAGTTCCCTCCCAGAAGACACATTCCACATTCTACCCACTGTGTTATAAAATACATATTTAGAAGGCATCCTATAACATTAAAGCTTTCCTCTTAAATATACAGAGAAGGGTAATGCTTTGAAAACTTTCTCTTAGAGCTTTCTCTTTGTTAAGCGCAGTGAGGTCAGGAACGATGCCTATCTTTCCCCTCTGTTGTAGTCCAGTGCCCAGCACAGTGCCTGGCACACAGTAAGCACTCAATAAAGAGAGCTCCTTCTATTGTCATTATCACCACCATTTGCTCTGCAAGGTACTATGCAGGGTGCAAGGGGTTTTTCTTACATGAGCACACGCAATCCTTACAAAAAGCCCATAAAACAGGTGCTCTTATTCTCATCTTACAAATGAAGACATGGCTGCTCAAGGAGGCTTCACAAGGTTGGTAAGACAAAGGCAGCACTTGAGCCCGTCTCTTCTCCCTCAACAACCTCAAGGTGTGTACCATTAGCCCATATACTGCAGACAAAGAAACCGAGGCTAAAGAAACCCATGCTGGTGAAACTCATTAAATCACTCTATTAGTCCATTTTCATGCTGCTGATAAAGACACACCCGAGACTGGGAAGAAAAAGAGGTTTAATGGACTTACAATGCCAAATGGCTGGGGAGGCCTCACAATTATGGCAGAAGGCAAAGAGGAGCAAGTCACATCTTACATGGATGGCAGCAGGCAAAGAGAGAAAGAGCTTGTGCAGGGAAACTCCCATTTTTAAAACCATCACGTTTCATGAGACTTACTCACTGTCATGAGAACAGCATGGGAAAGACCTGCTCCTATGATTCAATTATCTCCCACTGGGTCTCTCCCACAACACGTGGGAGTTATGGGAGCTACTACATGAGATTTGGGTGGGGACACAGAGCCAAACCATATCAATCACTCTCCTCAGACCACAACTCCTGAATCCAGTTGAAGGCCCACTCTCCTTCAAGGGGCTAGTAACACATTTCTCTAGTGATGGAACTGGTTTAAATGACTACATGAGCTAAAGGGTGGGAAGACTGTCTAGCGGCCACCAGTGGGCACACAGCAAATGTTTGGTTGCTGTTAAAATAATGAATAAAGTGCAGCCTGTGGCCAGCTTCCAAAAGGGACTGTCACTGTGTGTTCTGCATGATTCCAAGAAGGGTCATCATCACTCTCCTTGGGTCCTAGTCACAGATGTGGCAGCCCCTACTACCCCAGGCAGGTGACTGCAATGCATTTCCCCAATCCCCAGAGGGTCCAGCTGAGGAAGTCCCAGGAAGTTTTCCAAGTGGGCAGGTCCCCCACCCCAGGACTGTGTCAGTAGGTCCTGGGCAGGACCTGGGTATGTGTAATTCATGGCGGTTCCCCACATGATTCCATACTCACCCCTGAACAAGAACCACTGGGATGGGGTCTCTCAAATTCACCCACACAATTAGAAAAGCTCCCACAGATCCATCATCACCACAGGAGATAGCCCTGAAATCACCTTGCCAACTGATAGAGTAAGTTCATAAAAGGAGTTGTTTTGAAAGGTTAAAGCATTTCACCACTGAAGGGTGGTATTAATGTTATTATTGGTTTTATCTTCATACACAAGCAAGTATATTATTAGACCCAAACATTCTTATGGTTTCCTTTCATGAGTACTCAAAAAAAAAAAAAAAAGAAAAAGAAAAGAAAAGAAAAGAAAAAGAAAAAAAAAATCCAGTCCTGGATATATAAGGGCAGGCATTCTTTCCTTAATACAAAATTATAGTCCACCACCCAGAAACAAAAAGACAACCAAACTTCAAAAACAACAGAATTGCTTATCCAAAAATGTATATTTGAAGACTTAATGCTCTCAGATTAGCATAATTACTGGTATCCCTCTGGTTCTGCTTCTCTCCATATCCAAAAAGTCTTCATTGCTCGGAGACTCTCACCAACATTAATTAAAGAAATGGGCAAAACTATAGAATGACCTGGGGGAACTAGGGCTGTTGAGGGAGGGTCAGGTAGCCTCAGGCTAGCCAAAAGACCAACCACAAATCATAGTGCATTTGCAAAAACAAACAGAGGCAGTAATAATACCCCAGTGCCCTTTTTTCCAAAGAGATCAAAGCTAATAGGCAAAAAGTGAAGGCAATTCAGTGAAAGGAAAAAGGCTGGCAGGACAGAACTGGGCAAAGCAGATTCAAACTCCTAGCGGAATAGGAGGGAATTGAGGGGAATAGAGACACTCCACCAGAAGTACTAAGAGGCTATGAAAAGCACTGGCCACTGTCCTGGTCCCTTAGGCCAGGGTCTCCTACTGGTCCATGGCCTGTTAGGAACCTGGCTGCACAGCAGGAGGAGAGCTGTGGGCAAGTGAGCGAAGCTTCATCTGTATTTACAGCTGCTCCCCCTCACTTGCATTACCGCCTGAGCTCCACCTCCTGTCAGATCAGTGGTGGCATTAGATTCTCATAGGAGCGAACCCTGTTGTGAACTGCATATGCGAGGTATCTAAGTTGCGTGCTCCTTATGAGAGTCTAATGCCTGATGATCTGGCACTGTCTCCCATCACCCCCAGATGGGACCATCTAGTTGCAGGAAAACAAGCTCAGGGCTCCCACTGATTCTACATTATTGTGAGTTATATAATTATTTCATTATATATTACAATATAATAATAACAGAAATAAAGTGCACAATAAATGTAATGTGCTTGAATCATCTCCAAACCACCACCCCCACCCCATCGGTGGAAGAACTATCTTCCACAAAACTGGTCCCTGGTGCTAAAAAGGTTGGGGACCACTGCCTTAGGCAGCCTGAATAGCTGCATTAAAAGAGGTGCCTGAAATGATATGCAACAAATCAAGAAAGGAGTATGTGCAAGAACTGTGGAAGCTGTTTTAAGGAGTTGCTCCAGTCTGAGATTTTGATGAACGACTTTGCTTTTCTGGTTGCCAGAGGGCGCAGAAGGTGCCCAGAGAGAGTTCCAGGCCAACTTCTTCCACGGAAACAAAAGCAGAAGGGCATTTCTGACCCTGACCTGACTCAAACAGGCCCCAGAGCAGCTGCCTGACTCCCAAAAGCTAAAATGTACACAGAAACTATTTGGATGTTGCTACCTCAGTAATCCAAAACAGCATGCAAAATAATAGGTCAGATGTAAAACACAAAGGAGATAAACAATGAATTGGCAACAGAAGAAGCAGATAGGGGAAAAAATTCTGAGTCAGAGCCACATGGACTGTGAAAGTTTCACTGAAAAGCTAAGCATGTGAGCTTTCACCAACCCACAGACTAGCAATTAAGTAGGAAGAAAAAATAGCTCATGACCTTATGTGACTATATCTTCCAGAGTGAAAGAAACAAATATGACTTCTATCTAAAGCAATAAATATGCTTTTCTTTGTCTTTGTTGGACATTTCCACCCTCAATATAAATGTGGGTCTCAATCAATGCCCTTAGACAGAGAGAAGTCCATCTGATCATCGTGCTAGTTTTCAATGGGCCATTCACTCAGCTGCAAAGCTTTAGGGGCCACAAAATAATTTGGGGGCCACAGCATAATTCCACAAATGTTCATTGAGCATCTACTCAGTTCCAGCCCTGTGCTAGGTAGGTACCATAAGGGGTACAAAGAAGTGGGCAGGGTACCAGTGCTCTTCTAGTGCTTATGCTATAATAGGTAAGGGCACACATTCACATAAAACCAAGTATACTGGAAGGCAATATGTGTGAAATGCTAGAAGGTACTAATTCATTCATTCAATCAATATTTATTGAATGTCTGCTATGTGCTAGGTACCCAGTTCCAAGTGATGTGCGGAATTGGCAGAAGGTTTCTGGGAGAAGGCAGCATTTGAATGTGTATTACCACTACGTACACCATTGCTAAACAAATGAAAATTCTACAAATCCCTAAAACTTACCTATTTTGTTTTTCCCAAAGAAAACATGCTCCCCCATTTAGTTTTTTCCATGAAGCACACTGAGCTGAACCTTAAGGAAGAGAATTTTTTAAAGTGCACTTCTAATGATGAGTAACTTCACAGTTTTCTAAATCACATAAATGGTTTAAAAGATTTGATAACCAACTTTTTTTTTTTTTGCCATTTGTTTCTATCTTGAAGACCCCTCTCCAAAATTGATATCTGTCTCTTTTATTTAAAAAAGTGGTGGGAAGCACCTAACAGCACTCAGAAGCAATGGGGCATGATGGGAAGCCTTTAGAACCAGACACCCTGGAGTTGGACCCTGTGCTCAATGCCTTACCAGCTCTGTGACCTCAGCAAGTAACTCAGCCTCTCTGGACTCAGCTCTGTCATCTATAAACTAGGATCAATAATTCCTCCCTCACAGTGGGTGGCGGTGAGGACTAAAAGAGGTAATAAAAATAAAGCTCTTAATAAAGTGCTCAACACATACAAAGCTTCATAGATGGTAGTTATATTTTTAATAGCATTTTAAACACCCAAAGTTATATTATGGGAAATAATCCTCCTAAGTACTGCCTGTTTCATAGGTAGCACTGTTCTTATTTTATTTAAAGGGAAAATGGAACCTGAAGTGTGTCATTAAAAGTCTGCTGTCAAATTACATATCCAACAAATTCCAATTTCCTGACCATTCATTCATTCATCCATTCATTCATTCATTCATTCAGTCAAAACTTACTGACTACCTTCAATGTCCCCAGCCCTCCTAGAGTTTATGATCTAGGACAGGTTAGTTAGCAAAATTCTTCTGTAAAGGGCTAGCTAGTAAATATTTTCACCTTTGCAGCCCACATGGTCTCTGTTACAACCACTCAACTCTGACATGGTAGCATGGAAGCAATCACAGATGATATGTAAATGCATGTGGGTGAATGTGTTCCAACAAAACTTTATTTATAAAAACAGGCCTCAGGCCAAATTTGGCCTGCAGGCCTTGGTTAGCGAACTCCAGCACTTTGGGAAGCTGAGGCGGACAGATCACTAGGTCAGGAGTTCGAGACCAGCCTGGCCAACGTGGTGAAATCCTGTCTCTACTAAAGATACAAAAAATTAGCCAGGCGTGGCGGCACACACCTATAATCCCAACTACTGGAGAGGCTGAGGCAGGAGAATTGCTTGAACCCGGGAGGTGGCGGTTGCAGTGAGCTGAGATCACACCATTGCACTGCAGCCTGGGAGACAGGGCGAGACTCTGTCTCAAAAAAAAAAAAAAAAAACACCTCTGGTTTTATTTCCCGAAAGCCTTCTTTAGCTTATTGGACTTGATCCCAACCTGGACCTAAGGACATAGAGCCCAAAGTGAGGCAGCTCTTCTCACACCCACTGCCTGAGCCACCCAGACCTTTCTAAATCATATGCACTCACTGAGTATACAGGGAAAACTCAAAACAGGCCAGAAAGGGGAGTGGAACCTTAGCTTATCAATGTCATAAGAAACACTGAGTCTCTGAATGTTTTTACCTCACAGATGAGGAGACAGAAAGAAGTACCATTCTATGTTCACCAGGGAACTAGCAGAACCTTACTTACTTCCAGCTAACCACACCTCCAGTCCCAAAGGCCAGGGTCCTTCCTGCTACATCTCAGTGTAGGAAGGAGGGGAAAAAAAAGATGGAGTGAGGGGTTTCCCTATAAGGTCTACTAAAATCAGCTGCCCACAGAAGCTTGCAACATTTTGGCACAAGGGCAGGCTAGTAGTCTCTCCTTGGCCACATGGGGTTTGTGACAACTCACTCCCCTGACAAAACACAAAATTTTGATCTCAAAAGTAACCTAAACAGCTGGACCAATTTCTCATAATCAGCTGCCTATGTGACAATTTTAGGGGCACTGATCATTAACTCCTCTCCAATCAGGGGCTGTCCAGCACAGGCATCTCAGCTCCTGGACGCTCCGAGTCTGAGCTTTTCAGGCACTGGTCCAAACTGTGTGAAAAATGTTTCTTTCTCTGTGTGTGCAGCCCACTTTAAAGGAAAGGGTGCTCAGAGCACACAATTATAAACAGATGAGTATGAACTTAACATTTTGCCACTCTCCTTATTCCACATTCACCCAAGTTAAAGCAAATTATATATTAACCTCAATCCCACAGTTTTCTACAGTCGGTTGGGTCTGTATCCTCTCACTACTTCCTGTCTCTCTTAGGGTCAGTTTCTAGGCAAAATTCAGGTCTTTGATGTCCTTGCAGAACCTGGGGGAGACCAGATAGTACATGTGAGTTCCTGGGGTCCACATTCAGGAGTTCTGGCCTTTTTGACAAGCATGTCTTTCTTTACCGTTTGTAGTTACTTTCCTACAGAGAAGTTATTTACTTCTTAAAAGATTAAGTTTAGATTTGTAGACTAGCAAGCATATCAGGCCATTTGCAATCCAGTATTATTTCCCAAAATAGCCTCCATGGGCCTCCCAAAACCCGTGTTCCAGCTAAATGAGACATCCCCTAGAGGCATCATGTTTCACACCTCCATGCCTTTGCATACGTGGATACCTCCATCTGGTCTGCCCTTTCCTCCCTTCTTCCTGGCAATCACCTTCAAGATCCTTCAGTATCCAGCTCAAATATAATCTTTTCTGTGAAGGCTTCTCTAATGTCCTCTGGACAGTTCATCTGTTCCTCTTCTCCAAAACCACAAGCCTTTACACCACTTATGGCATTACATTACATTATTTAGATTACATGTGTGTTTCCCCCTCCTGCCTAGCAGTTCATTAAAGGCTGAAGTGTGTCTGTTCATCTCCAGAACTCAACAATGGTTCTGGACACATAGTTAAGTAAAGAAATGATGCGTGCCTTCTACCGCTATGTAATTCCCCAATGCACATAAGAGATTCAGGGCTAGACAACTTGGAAGCCATCAACAAAAAAGAGGAAAGAGAATGCCTTAGAATGTTCCCAAAAATATCTTTTGCCTCCTCTGGCTGTTTCCCAAGAAGCAACATTCCTCCCCCAAATCAACCCAAAGGCTTTGTGACCAAATCCATTCATTTGCCGATAATTTCCCAACACACCTGTAAAATGAACATATGCACTAAATTCTCAAAATGGGTTTCTCGTTTCTTATTTGAATACATTTTTCCTGAGCAGGACAATGTTTTTCCTTCCCCTACACAAACACCTGGCCTTTAAACTCCATTGAACCTGGGCAAGCTGCCTGCATCCATCCTGCTTGTTGCATTGGAATCCAAGGGTTGGCAACTTAAACCACTGATAAGTTTACTTTGTTTTATGAAATTTCTCTGGTAAAATGAGTTCCACAGAATTGAATTTCATGCTTCTTCTTTGCCAACATGTCAATGCACCTTCTTTGATCTTCTTGTGTGCCTTGCTTTAAGAAAATCCAAAACCTAAAATGTTAAATGTCCAACGTATTCTTGACTTTGGAAAGGTGTGGAAGAGGATTTTTGTTTGCAAAGATTTTCTGACACAGATATTTTCAGGATCCCATGCCCCTTGCCTGAAGTGACATATATTCATGAGCAACTTTCTTTCTTTAATCGAAAGGAGAAACACTCAATTCTTAAAACTTGGCCTTTCCATGGTCTCTCTGCTTAGATGCCACATTGGAAGTACATTCACGTTTGCTTAAGCGTCTCCCCTAGACAGAGAAAAGGACAATGCTTCAACTCTAGACTTCTTTGAAACTCTCCATTCCCCAGAGTAACAAGTACAATGTATATATGATACACAAGATGCTAATTTAAACCCAATTTGGAAGCAGACTATATATTTCAGACCCACTGTTTTAGAATCTCTTTAGAAATTAAATATAGAGGCTCCAGGTACCTCCTATTGCTCTTCCAGGGAAACTTTCTGTCTTGTTCTCCCGCTTTGTTCCCAATACTCTTCACAGACATTCTATATGGCATTCATTACCCTGTGGGGGACTCATCAGTTTATCTCTTCATCTCCCTCTTGATGGCAGAGAGATCATTTATGGGATTCCCTGGTACCTAGCATTGCTGGTGCACAGAAGTACTTAAGTATTTGCTGAGGGTTTCTGACTGCCCTGACACTACCTTTTCCATATCACCTACAAACTATGGGATTGCCATGCCTTGCCTGGAATTGGCTGTGGCCCCAAAGAAAGCATTTAAGACACTGAAGCACCAGGTGGCCTCAGCATCAACATCCATCCCATTGTAGACAGTTCCAAATGGCCATGAATCAAGTTGTGTGACAAGATGACTACATCTAGCCCCAAGGTCCACGCTGATAATTATCTACTCTTTTGAAAACATCTTGTCTTCCCAAAATCTGGTTCAACTAGGATAAGAAGTACATCTCTTCTTGGCAATACTCAAATTAGGTGGCTTATATTCTTTAAAAAAAAAAAAACATAAATGAAAACTAATTTTCTTATATGTGACTGCTGATAGGTACTATAGATTGGTTCACTCATTCCTCCTTTTTCCTACCCCTTTTCTGCCTTCTTCATCTACAGTGACTGGAAAATAAAACTCACATCCACAGCCTCCTTGCAGCCAGAGAGACCCACATGACACATTTCTGGCCAATGAAATACGGTGAAAGTCACCTGGGAAACCTCCTTTCTCAATTTAAATGTATGCGCTGACCACTATTAAAGCTGCTCAATAATAAGGGAAGGCAGAAATTCATTCATCCATTTAACAGACATTTATCAATACCTCCTGAATTGATCAGAATACAGACTAGGCAGCTATAATAAGTGCCTTTTGTACCCAAAGGTAGAAAAGTTTAAACAAGATAGAAGTATATTTGTCTCTCATGTAAATGTTACTTTACAAATAAAAACAGTTCAGTTATTCAGTCTAGGGTCATGGCAACAGCTCAGCAAGGATGAGGACCCAGGCTCCTTCCACTTTGTTGCTCTGCCATCCCAAAAGTGTGACCTTTATTCATATGGTCAAAGATAGAGCTGTGCTCCAGCCCAACAGAAGGAGAAAAAGGAGATGGCCCACTGCTTTCCTTTTAAAGCACAAGTTGGAAGTTACAATTATCACCTCTGTTTATGTCTCTTTCACCAGAACCTCACATGACCATATTCAGCTGCAAGGAAAGCTGGCAAACGTGCCCAGGTAAAGTTCCTATTACTATTGGAGGAGGAGGAAGAAGAGGAAGAAAGAGAAGGAGAGTAGGAGTTGGAGGAAGAGGAAGAAAGAGAGAAGGAGAGGGAAAACTACTATTAATACTATTACTACAACTACCACTAATAATAATAATATTGGGAAGAACAAGTAGCAGCCTCTGCCACAGTTCAATATGCCAGGTACAGTGTTGGAGAGACATGAATAAATTTCAGTCCCTCCCCTCAAGAAACTCAGTTATTACTATGAACTGAAAAGTGTCCACGCATCTTTGTATCTCCAGAGACCAGCACAGATCCCTCCACTCTATTTACCAAATACTGATGCCAACCAGCAGCAACAATAAATATCCCCACCCCAGGACCAATATGCACCTGGTACTGAACAGTAACTTGAGAAACAACCATGCGTAGGGCATCATCCCTGCCTTCAGGAGTGCCCAGTCTACACAAGGAGACAAGATGGGGCTTACACATGGAAAGATGATATAACAAAATATTGCAAAGACCTATGCCAAGTGAGGGAAATCGCTCTAAAGCCTGGGACAGCCAGAAATGGCTCTGGATGAGGAAGAATGACATTACTTGGCTCATGTCAGCAGGACACATCTTAGATGAGATGCTGGGGTATGTGAAGGCAGGGCAATGAAAAGACTGATGCTAGCACAAACTCAGCACATGTGAGAGTCCTCCTTCACCCACCTGAGTGGAGGAAGGCATTGTCCCCTTCTCTCATCAGACAGAAACTGTCCTAGGTAATCCTGGCTCACAGCAGCTGCTCCCCCCAGAGAGACAGGCACTGAACCTTAATTTCCCAAACACAAACCAGCCACCCCCACCTTGCCCATCATTAGTGATTTCATGCTCCCAGTTAAAACAGCATTTCCGTAAAGCAATTTTCCCAGAAGTGGCAGAAGGGCAGAGATTAGCTGCAGGTTGCCATGGAGAGTCTCAGAAGACCATCTGTCCTGGCTGGTTTAGACTTTCATCTCCCTGGAGGTTATTTCTTAGGGTCAGATGCTCTCAAAAGTCCCTCCCAGTTGTAAGACTCTGAGAAACTAAATTAGAACCGTGAGATCTAAAACCTCCTAGGACAAAACTGAGGAACACCTTGATCACATTAAGGAAGAAATCATTTATGCAAAGAACCCAGTACCATGCCTGAAAAATGACAGGCCCTCAAAAAAGAGTTGTTATTGTAATTTTATTAGTTTGTTTTTGTTTCTTAATTATATTCATAGCCCATCTCAATCCAGGCAGATTCTGAAATGGCTTATGATACAACAAGCAATACAGTAACAAGAATTTTTAAGTCAGGGCCTGTGAATCTGTCAAGACAAGGAAAGAAAACTTGAAAAACAATACAAAGATACAAAGGTCACAGTATTCTAAAATGGAAACTAACCATGAGGTACAAATTTTCCTTGAGTTTCCTTGAGGCCAAAACAAAAACAAAAACAAAACACTAAATTATTTACAAAAATTAAATAGTCTGGGCCAGGCGCGGTGGCTCACGCCTGTAATCCCAGCACTTTGGGAGGCCAGGGCGGGCGGATCACAAGGTCAGGAGATCGAGACCATCCTGGCTAACGCAGTGAAACTCCGTCTCTACTAAAAATACAAACAATTAGCAGGGCGTGGTGGCGGGCACCTGTAGTCCCAGCTACTCAGGAGGCTGTGGCAGGAGAGTGGCGTGAACCTGGGAGGTGGAGCTTGCAGTGGGCTGGGATTGTGCCACTGCACTCCAGCCTGGGCGACAGAGCGAGACTCCATCTCAAAAAAAAAAAAAAAAAAATAGTCTGACAGTCACAAACAAGCTAACAACAAAACCCCAGGAACTCAGTTCAGAATTCTGCAGAGCAGTACCCTTGTTCCAGCGCACTTGACCAGGCTATGTAACAAGTTAGGAGGAAGTCACAGGGCACAGGAGAGGGGTCCATGGATAATAAACTAAGGAGTTACTGAACTAAACAAAGTAAAACGGATTTCTTTGTTGCAGGATTTTTCCAAAACTTTAATGTGCTCATTATAAATCTCCAAAAGGGCAATAAAATATGTCTTATACAGCCAAGGAGCATTTTTATTTATTTTTTGAGACAGCGTCTCGCTTTGTTGCCCAGCCTTGAGTGCAGTCATGCAATCATATTGGGCTGCAGCCTTGAACTCCTGGGCTCAAGCAGTCTTCCCACCTCAGCCTTCCTAGTATTTGGGACTACAGGTGCATTCCACTGCACCAGGCTAATTTTTTAAATATATTTTATAGAGACAGGATCTTGCTATGTTGCCCAGGCTGGTCATGAACTCCTGTCCTTAAAAGATCCTCCTGCTTCCACCTTCCAAAGTGGCTGGGCTTACAGGCATGAGCCACTGTACCCGGCCTGTAATGAAGCATCTTATACTTTGGAATGCTCGGATCCCAAGTGGATAAATGGACAGTCACCACAGTAATTCTATTCTTATCACGACAAAACATGTCAAACTTCTACTCTTTACCAAGACATCACCTTTTTGTGCTTTTTAAAAAAGATACAAGAACAGAGTTCTGCATCTTCCCCTCTTTCCTCTCTTACACTCTGGCTAGTTTCACTCCAGTTGATGCATTAGGAGCAATCATTTATAAACTGCATTATACTTTTTTATAGTGCATTTTATACTTTCATAGATTTGCCCCCATCTTCTTTCTGCTGTCTACATGTTTCTGGAGGTAGGAAGGATCTATACTACCATCTCCATTTTAAAAGGATGAGAAAACAAATCCCACAGAGGCTGAGCTCCAAGGTCACACTGAGCCAGTGGCTGACCTGATCCTGGGCCACGGGCTTCCCAACTCCGGGCTACACCCACGGCCAAGCCTGTCCCTCTCCCTCCTCGTTCCTTCCCCTCCCTGATCAGGTGCTGCTTTTATCCTATTGTGTGTCTGCAGGTGGGTGGCAATGCTGCTGACTCTTTTTTGGCTCCATTTGGGCCCTTTTCTTTCATCCACTAATTAAATCATGCACTTTTCTTACAGGGGAGCAGAATCTTCAAAAGAGGAAAAGGAACCCTCCCTTTCAGCGCATTCAGGGATTAAAGTTCATCTGGCTATGAAATACTCACCAGGGACTAAATGCATTACTGAGAGGCAACTGCTGAAAGCCAGTGACACATTAATATGAAAATGTGAAGAGCAAGTGACAAGATCTCAGGCTCTAGCATTCCCAAGGTGGGGTCAAACAGCCCAATGGCACCTCAGGGGACATTCTGATTCAGGAGCCTAGAGATGGCATCCTCTGCTGCAGTGACCTTAACAAGAAACTGGAACAAGAATGGGGTCCCTTCTTATTTAGGGGAGAGATTGCAGCTAGGCCACAACCATTCCCCTCTGCACTGAGATAAGCCCAGCCCCAAGCTTGTAGAAAAAGCAGCCCTGCACATGTATACCTATGTAACAAACCTACACGTTCTGCACTTGTATCCCAGAACTTAAAGTATAATTAAAAATAAATAAAGAACGGTAAAAATAAAATAAAATTAAAAGGGTCCCTGAACAGATGTCCACGCTCATCCTCATTCATACATCTTCACTGGGGTTCTTCACTGTAGAGTTCTAGGAAGGAGGCTTTACAAATAATAGAACATCTATTCAAGCACCAGGCTTTTATTTAATTTGAAATAAGTATAGATTGAGAGGAAGTTACAAAAATAGCACAGAGAGGTCTCACATACCCGTCATCCAGTTTTGCCCTCTGGTAACATCTTCTATAACACTAATACAATAGAAAAATCAGGAAATCAGCATTGGTACATCCATAGGCCTTACTCAGATTGGACCAGTTTGACATGCACTCATGTGTGTTTGTGTGTGAGTGTGTGCGTTCTGTGCAATTTTATCACATATAGGTTCATGTAACCACCATTACAATTACAATACAGGACTGTTCCACCACCACAGAGTTGCCTCATGATCCTCCTTCACAGCCACAGCCATCCCCCTCCCAGGACGCCCCCCTCCTGAGTCCCTAACCCTGGCAACCATTAATCTGTTCTCTATTTCTTCAATTTTGTTATTTTGGGAATGTTCTATAAATATAACCTTTAGAGATTACTCAGCATAATCTCAAAAGGGTACTTTTTTTAATGTCTCATAATTTTTTACCCAGTAAAACATTATTTTCACTGAGTTTTGCTGAGTCTTTGTTCACTCAGCACAATTCCCTTTGGACCCATCCAAGTTGTTGAGTGCATCGACAGTTCATTTATTTTTATTGTGAAGTAGTATTCCACGGTATGGATGTAGCACAGTTTGTTTAACCATTCACCCACTGAAGGGCATTTGGTTTGTTTCTAGATTTTGGCTATTACAAGCAAGGCTGCCATGAACAATCCTGTAAAGGCTTTTATGTGGACATAAGTTTTCATTTCTCTGGGACAAATGTCCAGGAGTACAATGGCTGGGTTATATGTCAAACCTTTTTTAAAAATATTTTTGGGCCGGGCGCGGTGGCTCACGCCTGTAATCCCCACATTTTGGGAGGCCAAGGCGGGTAGATCACGAGGTCAGGAGTTTAAGACCAGCCTCGCCAGCATGGTGAAACCCCATCTCTACTAAAAATATTAAGAATTAGGCGGGCATGGTGGCACACGCCTTGTAGTCCCAGCTACTCAGGAGACTGAGGCAGGAGAATTGCTTGAACCCAGCAGGCAGAGGTTGCAGTGAGCCGATATTGCGCCACTGCACTCCAGCCTGGGCGACAGAGCGAGAGTCCATCTCAAAAAAAAAAAAAAATTTGATGGAGAGTTTTCTAAATACATATTTCATACCATACTCGGCCCTCTTAAATACAATGTAGATAATTTAATCTTATTTTTAATGATTTGGAGTCATTATTAGGAGCCACCGAAATCTGTAAAACTATTTGTCTCGAAATTAAATGGCCCCAAAGTATTAGAGGCTTGTATCTCCAAGTGTTCACATGCCTGCATTTGTTACAATATTCTTCTTAAAGTTCAGAGGTGTGTTGTTCAACATATGTGGCAAGTGAGCACCTGAAATATGGCTAGTCTGAGATAAGCTGTGCTGTAAAGCAATTTACACACCTGATTTGAAAGACTTAGTACAAAAAGAAGAGTGCAAAATATCACAAGAAGAATTTTTATAAAGATTGCATGTTGAAATGATGATATTTTGGATTTACTGGGTTAAAGAAAATATACAATTAATTTTATTTGTTTCTTTTTTGTTTTGTAATGTGCCCAAAGGAAAATTTCAAACTACATATGTGGCTCAAATTATAATTTTATTGGACAGTGCTGGTCCAGAGGAGTTTTGTCTCTTTATTTGCTTGTAGGTTGCTAGAGGTGATTAAATGTCTAACATTGACATATGTAGTATGTTACTATTACTGATATGCCCTATGATGGTAACATAATGCTATAAGAAAATTATAAATATCTAAATAAAATCAAAGTCTCATCACTGCTTTCAAAACAGCAAGAAAAGAGGCAATCGAGAAGAGAGGGTAGAGATCTGGCTTAAGACTGAAAAATCTGAACTCTGCTTCCAACGCACCTTCAAGGAAATTACTTATTCATAGTCACACAATTCAACTTCTATGAACCTCCATTTTCCCACCTCTAAATTCTTGCCTTGCTTATTTCATGAGCATTGTAAAAATTAAATGAGAAAATCAATTTGAAAGTACTTCAAGAACTGTAAAGTAGCATGCAAATAAACAAATATAGAAGTTTTTTTAACCAACCTCCACATAACTAACTCACTAGATCGGGCAGGGCTCTCCATTCCCTCTATAGAGCACCCCACCTAGTGTCCAAGGATGCTCCGTGGATGCTCCTGGACAAGCCATGCACTATTCCCACCTCTTGAGTTCTATTCTGACAAGATTCAGTAGGGTTTGATCCCAAAGCTTGTTATACAGTTTCAGCTATATAATTTTTTGGAAATTGTGTACTTTACAGAATTTAAATTAATAAAACAAGAGTATAAGACGAGTTGTTGCTTCTGTGAAAATTAAGCCCAATTCTTTGGAAAGTGAAATAAAAATAACCTCCTCCCCTCCCCCAACCAAATAATTACCACTGTGTTAACTCTAAGACAAGGATAAACACATGGGGGGGCATTATACGTATCTAAAAGAATTCCCCATTTACAGTGCTTTACTTGTGTCTTTCAGCTTCTATCCACTTTAGAGAAAACAAAGCTGGATACCACAGAAAATGTATTACAGGTTAGGTGTGGTTGTGAAAGAAGACAGCACCCTCCAAACATCAGACCCAGCTCAAAGGAAAAGCTACATGATTAAATGAATGTACAGCTAGGCAGTTAAAGTGAGATAAAATAGTTAATTTCATTTCTTCACTATTTCCTCACTCCCTATTTTAACTAACCTTTTTCATTAACTGTCTAATGAGTGCTGGATAAAAAGGCTACTTAATCATTATTATCAGAATAAATGGGAGGAAGAAATCTCCAAAATGAAATATAAGTGATTCAGTGGTGTTTAAAAAATACATGATACCCGGCCAGGCACAGTGGCTCACATCTGTAATCCCAACACTTTGGGAGGCTGAGGCGGGCGGATCACTTGGGGTCAGGAGTTCAAGACCAGCCTGGCCAACATGGTGAAACCCCGTCTTTACTAAAAATACAAAAATTATCCAGGTGTGGTGGTGGGTGCCTGTAATCCAAGCTACTCAGGAGGCTGAGGCAGGAGAATTGTTTAAACCCAGGAGACAGAAGTTGCAGTAAGCCGAGATCATGCCACTGCTCTCCAGCCTGGGTGACAGAGCGAGACTCTGTCTCAAAAAAAAGACCAAAAACATGATACCCATAAATACAGCCACATAATACGTCCATGTTATGAGTAGAAGATTCAAAAACAGGTTAAAACAAGAGGTCAAAAGCATGCAAATGCTTTTTAATTCTTTAAGAATACTCATTAAATCATATAAATGACATAAAACTAATGCAAAATTACAACATTGTAATCATAATAATACAGCAATTTTCTCCTATCATAATAAATAAATAAACCATCTACACCAGGGCTCAGATAAAATAACAAAATCAGCAATAAGTAATATTTATTAAGTTCCTACTATATGCCAAGAGCATTATATTATTTCATTTAATCCTCACCAAAAAAAAAAAACCTAGCAAAATACCCAACATATACTTTTTATAGATGAAAAACATCTGAGATTAAAAAGGTTAATTAATATCCCCACAGTGGCAGCTCTGGGATTCAAGGTCAGTCAAACTTCACCATGCTACATCCTAGAATTACGAAAATCCAGACTATCGAGTCTCAAGGTTGAGGAAGTTCCCAGATTTTTCTCATCAGAGCAGCACATCTCAGATGTTAATGTGCAGATGAATTACCTGAGGATCTTGATGAACTGCAGTGTCTGATTCAGTAAGTCTGGAGCACATCTGAGATTCTGCATTTCCAGCAAGCTCCCAGGTAATGTGGATGCTGCCAGTACTCAGACCTCCTGTCCTGCAGCACATCCAATCATTGTCTGTCTCAGAGGGCCTGATTTCCTTCCAGTGGCAGAAACATTCAGAACATCATTGCCTTTTCTGCCTCCCCAGCTCCTAGTCCTCAGCAGTTTCCTACACCCAGGAAAGGGCCAACTCTGCTGAGGCCAAGTGAATAAGAACTCCAGGTATCACATCTTTTAAGGGCCTGCTCTGTGTCAGGCACAGGAGCACCAAGAAGAATAAGAAAAAGACCCACACTTCTTAGGGCTTTTAATCTCAAATTAAAAGTACAAAACATACTCCTGAAAATATGCCATTATAATCAATTCACAAACAAGTGATAATTTTATAGGTAACAGCAAAATCACCTTAAAGGGGTTGACATTGTCATCAGAATATCTTAAGGAATTAACACTCTTCATTCACATTTTCAACATCCATGCGGAGAAACATTAAAGCAAAAATGGACCCAGGGTAACCCTGGGACTCAGTCCTCCTAAGTCAAACCTTCTCATCTGTCTATGAAGCATCCCCATCTTTGAGCCTGGCTGCCTGCCCATCTCCTGAGCTAAGGAAAGGAAAATATTCACAAGCCTGCCTTCGTTACTAGGGGAAATGTTAGCTCCTGCTTTTAATTAAGCATTTTATACTGATTTTCTTCTTTGACCATAAAAGATAACCAACTGCATATTTTCTAAATGATCCATACAGATCTAATAAACAATGTTTTTCCAATAAAAAGGCAGCTCCCACTGTCTCCCTCGTCTGCCATAAAAACTTGAGCTTTCCAATATTCATCAGTTTGACAAATATTTAATGAGTGTCTCTTTGATTTGTGCCAGGCTCAATGTGCTGAACACTGAAGATATACATGAGAATTAAACACCATTCCTCCTCACCCAGACCTCACAGTCCAGAGACAGAGACAAACATATAAACAAATAATCCCAAAAGAGTGACACTAGCTGTTTAAAAACAAAAAAAAAAACAGGAGAGGAAAAATGGGTGTTTTTTTTCCTCTTCCTGAGTCAAATGCAAAACCATAATCCATTTCCAATTTGAAGGAACTAAGAGCTATAAACAAATGGGAAAAAAGCAGAATTGCACAATATTCCTGAAATACACTGTGATTAGCAACCAGCCATACAGACACTATGACAGGCATGCTCCTAGGCACTCAAGTGATAACATGGAATTCTGTCGCCAAGGAGGTTCCAGTGGCCTGGGGAACAAGACACAGCTAGCATTGGAGAAGTTTTTAAACACTGGTGAGAGAAGTCAGACAATGTAGGCTATGGCTAGATCATGATGAGCTTTGATCCACCATGGCCATGGCAATGGGGAGCCATTGAAGATATTTTTGAGGAAGGGAAATGACACAATGAAAGCTGTTTGTATGTCAACTTTATAATAAGAAAAGTGACTTGAACACCTACTACGTGCCAGTCACTATTATTCCAGGGGCTTTACATGTATTATCTCTAGTTTTCCTAGCAGCCTTTTAAGGTAGACATGATCATCTCTTCTTTACAGATGAGGCAAATGAGACTCAGAAACATTAAGCAAAAGTATTTAAGATTACGTGGCTAATAAATGATGATGCTGGGGAAGTTAATCCAGCTGTTGAATCAATAAAAGAAAGAGGTTACTAGCAGGGAAATTGACGTTAAGCCCCTGAATAGCCAAGATATAAAGTATGGTGCTGACACCAAAAATAGGAAAGTTTATAATGCATCTCACACAACACTTCATCTATTTTTTCAAAGTAGTCCAGAGATGAACCAGAGATACTTTTGCTTAACGTTTCTGAGTCTCAGTTGCCTCATCTGTAAAGAAGGGACGATCATGTCTACCTTGAAAGGCTGTCAGAAAAACTAGAGATAATACATGTAAAGCCCCTGGAATAATGGTTCATCTCTGGACTACTTTAGAGCAGCAATAAAGTAAATAGCCACAATGTGTTAAGTGATTACTATGTGCTGGGTACTATGTGTGATCAGGGCTGGGGATACAAAGGAGACATGCAGAGCAGTTAGTGTCTTGTCTATACTTACAAGGCAAAGTGATGGGTGGACAAGACAACAAACCACCCTGCTTACCTCCTCTCTATGGCAGCGGACTGCATGCTGCCTGGCTCAAGCCCATGTATAATACTAGGACCCATCACAAGGAGTCAGGTCTGTGGCCTCCTCCTCCTCCCCCAAAAACTGCAACCCCCACTGACTTGTTCCTCACAGGCTCTTGGTCCTGTTCTAGATTATTCTAACCAAGAGTACCTACTTAAGTTGATGGGCCCAGTGCAAAATAAAAAAGTGGGGCGTCTTATTGAAAATAATATCAAGAATTCCAATTTCCCTGCAGAGCGTCAAATCAACCAGGGGGCTCCAATGTGGATGGTCTGCGCAGTTGCACAGGTTGCATACCTATGAAGCTGGCTCTGATTCTAAACCAGTTCCTACTTCTCTAGATTGGTAACAATTGTATGCAGAGTGGAAAAATGCCTGACTGAGTCTCAGAAAATGTCTGTTCCATTCAAATCTTCATGATCAGGAGACCTACTGCCAAAAAGATAGCTTCTCAGCTCAATGAGAGCTGGCTGGCATGGCATGGGCTCATAAGATGAAGAATGCAGCCTCTCAAAAGGGCAACTTTCTCCCTTGCCAGTATATGGCTTCCAATGATTATGTGGTGCAGTATTTAGTGAAAAGGAATTTGGTCGTCTGTCCTCTCAAAGGTTATCCTGAAGATAGAGAACATGGAAAAAAAAAAAAAAAGACAAGACTACAATCAGTCCTGCTTTAAAACAACAACAACAAAGGTGTCCCTAAATTTAATATGTGAAGCTTAGTAAAAATGATAACCATAACAAACATCATTTGAGTGTTTATCAACTACCAGTGGCTATGCTGAA
Source organism: Homo sapiens (assembly GCF_000001405.40). Classification (NCBI taxonomy): domain Eukaryota; kingdom Metazoa; phylum Chordata; class Mammalia; order Primates; family Hominidae; genus Homo; species Homo sapiens. The sequence continues at coordinate 63,797,720 of NC_000001.11, read as the reverse complement.
TCCTTTTTAAAGATATATATAGCCCTCACAGCAACCTGAGATACAATATTCAAAACCGTGTTCATTTGCTTTCATAGAAGGGCTTGTTTCACTTGTTCAAATAGAGCTGAATTTCAGGTAGAGGAAGACCAGAACAAATAAACCCTACTAATTGTTTGACCTTGAGCAAGTTCCCTTCCCTTGCTGGGCTGGATGTGTTCACCTGTAAATGGAGTTTGTGGCCTGCATGCTTTTGAAAGTCCTCCGGACTCTGATAGTCTGTGATTCCCAGAGGAGGAACTCGGGAAAATTCATGACTCTCCGTTCAGCCTTCCCACACATGCTACTCCAGAGCACCAGAGAGACAAACCACAAAATCGGGCACAGCAGAAAAAAAGCTGGCCCCACAGCCAGGACACTGGGTTTCTAGCCTGGATCCACCAATTACTCATAGGATGACTGGGAGCAAGTCACTTCACCACTCTGAGCCTTGGTTTCCTTATCCATAAATTAATTAACAGATGCCCAAAGTCCTTTTTTGCAAGGCACAGTGCCTGGCACCTAGAAAGTTCTCGGCATGTGTTAGTTATTGTCATCATTATTAATTATTACGCCCTCTTCCAATAGTTCCCACCAGCTTCAAGTAAGAAAGAACCCTTTTAATGCAAAAATGAACTAGAGTCCTCTTCCCATCTAATAGGTTTAACATCTAGAATCAATTAATTAGAAAAAATATAGAACATCAAAAAATCACTATGAATTGTTATTCAATTCATCAAAGCACTTTCATATATGCTTGAAAAATGTGAAACATTTTTCTCATCACCGATGATGTTGGATTCTCAAAACCCTTGCAATGATACTGAGGAGCTGGGCTGGGGCCCGCTGCTCTCTGGACCACCTGCCAGCTCAGGGCTCGGTGCATTGCCATTTCCACCTTCAGTCACCTCGACTCTGCAACTCCTCCTCTCCTCTCTCCACCGCTGCCCTTACCACACTGTCAAGGCCCAAAACACAAAGGAGGCAAAAGGAAGAAATATGTATATCTAGCACTGGAACTGAATGTACGACTGCTTGTGCCTGTTTCTGCCTTTAAACCTTTTTTCTCACAAAGTACAAACTTTTAAAGGGTAAGAGATGATACACCCATTTTATGTAGAATGTTTGATGCAGTCTTGGATAAATTCTTCGTAACTATATTTTAATATGCATTTGGAAAAAAACACAAAATAATACATTACTAGAGCAGGAATGGTTCTTTAAAGCCATGGTTCTTTAATTTGCATATAAATCACCTGGGATCATGTTAAAATGCAGCTTCTGATCCAGTAGTTCTGGAGAGGAGCCTGAGACTCTGCATTTCTAACAAGCTCCCAGGTGATGTTGACACTGCCACTACACAGGGCTTGGTCCAACCTTATTGCTTTGCAGATGAGAACCTGAGGATCAGAGAAGGCAAGTGTTTTGTGTGGGGCCACACAG